>NC_000004.12:89224411-89527441 GCF_000001405.40 Homo sapiens | reverse complement strand
TACAGGTGTGCGCCACCACGCTTGGCTAATTTTTTGTATTTTTAGTAGAGATTGGGTTTCATCATGTTGACCAGGCTGGTCTCAAACTTTTGACCTCATGATCCACCTGCCTTGGCTTCCCAAAGTGCTGGGATTACAGGCATGAGCCACTGTGCCTGGCTGAACTCATTCTTTTTTTATGGCTGCATAGTATTCTATGGTATATATGTGCCATATTTTCTTTATCCAGTCTATCATTGATGGGCATTTGAGTTGGTTCCAAGTCTTTGCAATTGTGAATAGTGCTGCAGTAAACATATGTGTGCATGTGTCTTTACAGTAGAATGATTTATAATCCCTTGGGTATATACCCAACAATGAGATTGCTGGGTCAAATGGTATTTCTGGTTCTAGATCCTTGAGGAATTGCCACACATCTTCCACAATGGTTGAACTAATTTACACTCCCATCAACAGCATAAAAGCGTTCCTATTTCTCCACATCCTCACCAGCATCTGTTGTTTCCTGACTTTTTAATGACTGACATTCTAACTGGCGTGAGATGGTATCTCATTGTGGTTTTGATTTGCATTTCTCTAATGGCCAGTGATGATGAGCTTTCTTTCATATGTTTGTTGGCTGCATAAATGTTTTCTTTTGAGAAGCACTTGTTCATATCCTTTGCCCACTTTTTGATGGGGTTGCTTTTTTCTTGTAAATTTGTTTAAGTTCCTTATAGATTCTGGATATTAAACCTTTGTCAGATGGATAGATTGTAAAAATTTTCTCCTATTCTGTAGGTTGCCTGTTCACTCTGGCGATAGTTTTGTTTGCTGTGCAAAAGCTCTTTAGTTTAATTGGATCCTATTTGTCAATTTTGGCTTTTGTCGCAATTGCTTTTGGTGTTTTACTCATGAAGTCTTTGCCCCTGCCTATGTCCTGAGGGGTATTGCCTAGGTTTTCTTTTAGGTTTTTCATGGTTTTAGGTTTTACAGTTAAGTCTTTAATTCATCTTGACTTAATTTTTGTATAAGGTGTAAGGAAGGGATCCAGTTTCAGTTTTCTGCATATGGCTAAGCCAGTTTTCCCAGCACCACTTATTAAACAGGGAATCCTTTCCCATTGCTTGTTTTTGTCAGGTTTGTCAAAAATCAGATGGCTGTAGATATGTGGTGTTATTTTTGAGGTCTCTTTTCCGTTTCATTGGTCTATATATCTGTTTTGGTACCAGGACCATGCTGTGTTGGTTACCGTAGCCTTGTAGTATAGTTTGAAGTCAGGTAGCATGATGCCTCTAGTTTTGTTGATTTTGCTTAGTATTGTCTTGGCTATATGGGCTCTTTTTTGGTTCCATATGAAATTTAAAGTAGCTTTTTCTAATTCTGTGAAGAAAGTCAATGGTAGCTTGATGGGCATAATATTGAATCTATAAATTACTTTGGACAGTATGGCCATTTTCATGATATTAATTCTTCCTATCCATGAGCATGGAATGCTTTTCCATTTGTTTGTGTCCTCTCTTATTTCCCTGAGCAGTAGTTTGTAGTTCTCCTTGAAGAGGTCCTTCATGTCCCTTGTAAGTTGTATTCCTTAGTATATTATTCTCTTTGCAGCAATTGTAAATGGGAGTTCACTCATGATGTGGCTCTCTGCTTGTCTATTATTGGTGTATAGGAATCCTTGTGATTTTTACACATTGATTTTGTATCCTGAGACTTTGCTGAAGTTGCTTATTAGCTTAAGGAGTTTCTGGGCTGAGATGATGAGGTTTTCTAAATATACAATCATGTCATCTGCAAACGGAGATAATTTGACTTCCTCTCTTCCTATTTGAATACCCTTTATTTCTTTCCCTTGCCTGATTGCCCTGGCCAGAACTTCCAACACTATGTTGAATAGCAGTGGTGAATATTTTGAGGGACATGTGAAGCAAGACTCTTACCACCATTAATTGGGATATGAATGAAGTAAGGTAGGACTAGTCAGGTCAGCTATTATACTAACTGAAATAAAATTATGATTTCATCTTTACAGTACCATATGTACTTATGACCATCAGTCTTGGCTATTCTTATTTATATGAGAATATAATAATGAAAATAATTAATACCTCAAAATCAGGGAACCAAAGGGAAGAAAAAATCACCCAAATCAAAATTCCACTTTTGAAGAAAGCTTAATTTCATAGGAGAGGCCCAACTAAAAGAATACAATTTAAAGTTAGGCAAGCAGAATATAATGCCAAGGTTTTGGTGTATGTACTATATCTATAAACAGATACGCATATTAAAAATAACAAAGGGAAATTCATCAAAATATTCATGGGAATTATATTAATAGTAATAAAAATTTCTGAGTGATAAAAAAATTAGTGATTTTAAATATTATTTTTATTTTTCAAATTCTACACAGTGAGGTTATATCGTTCACATAATTTTAAAAAGCCAAAAAAAAAGGATTTAAAAAAGTTAAAAGAGGCAGTATATACTTAAAAGCCAAATCATTTTTAACAGATGGGCATCTATACTTTAGAAAGAAGTTGCAGCATGGAAAACTATTGGTGATCTATTTCAGTTTTTCTATAGTTAGCCATAAGCCTTTCAATAGGTGACCTAAATTTCCTACATTATGAGTGAGCAGCAGCAAAAGTAACTATCTCTTCTGATTCATAATTAAGCAGCATATTTAATAGTCCTATTGATTTGGTTAAGTAATAAACTCATCATTTTATCATCAATTTGATTTTGAAGGGTTTTTTGGCACAAAATTGTAACTGTTAACCATATTTTCTTTCTCTTAGGTTAAGAAACAAACCCAACACTATTACAGTGTTTTCACAGGGATCTGTAAAGAATGTCTGAGGCAAGGCACAGTGGCTCACGCCTGTAATCCCAGCACTTTGGGAGGCTGAGGCGGGCAGACCACTTCAGGTCATGAGTTCGAGACAAGCCTGCCCAACATGGTGAAACCCTATCTCCACTAAAAATAGAAAAATTAGTCAAGCATGTTGGCACTCGCCTGTAATCCCAGCTACTCAGGAGGCTGAGGCAGAAGAATCACTTGAACCCAGGAGGCGGAGGTTGCAGTGAGCCGAGATCACGCCACTGCACTCCAGCCTGGGCAATAGAGTGAGTGAGACTCTGTTCGCCCACCAAAAATAAAAGAATGTCTGAGGCCTACAATTACGCTACGAGAACTAATAAAAATATTCTCTATTCAGAATAAGGAAAGGGAGTTTTGAATTGCTGTTTCTACTACCAACCTCCTACTCCCACTGCTTCTTCAGGATCCACATCAGTAACAGCAGAGGGGCCTTGGGGAACACATATCTAATATCCCCAGTGGCCAATTGACCCCCATCTTAAACCAGGTGAGCATCCATGAAAACAGCCACCCTTGCCACTCTAAGCAAATACCCATGAAAGATCATTCAGAGCTCTCATATATTAGTGAATTATGTATCACTGTGCCTGTCCTGTTTTCCTTTCAACTCTATTGTAGTATTGATTGACCTTGGATTTTTCTACAGCTGCAAAGACGTTTTGGTTCCACTTTACTTATGACTATGTTTTCTCTTATTGTTTCTGTGTATTCTTCCTCCAAAACTTGTCTCCCTTTAGACAACATTATTAGGTTTAATCCCAAGTGAATAGTAACCAAAATAATGATTAAAATGTATAATTAGAAATTTGCAGGAGTAGATATTGGAAAATGAGGGTATCTATTTAAATTATGGAGGAAACTAGATGATGGCAATTACAGCATATTTAAATTTATGGGATGGATAGATTTCAATGTTATCACTGTAGTTCTGTGTGTATTTGTATAAACTAATTTATATGAACTAATGTCAAAAGTCTGAAATTGAGTCCTACTCTTCCTGGCTCATTTATAGAAAAACTGGCTGCATGGCCTTTGCAAGTCCCTTCATCTTTCTGCATTTCAGTTTCCTCATAGGTGGGAGGAATTTACTTACCTATTACCTAAGTATCCTTCATACATAAAATTCGATTATTCTGAGATCTTTCCCTATTCTTCCTCTCATATTTAATTGAAGTAAAGGTCCCATCAGTCTCATAGCTCCCTTCATCTGTTATTAAACAAGGATGGCTCTGTGTTCTCGTCTGTTCTAAAGGTCTCTTAAAGAGAAATCAAATTTTTTGAGATTCTCAAGTCCTGATTGACTGAGACCTTTACATCCTAACAATAGCTATTTGATATAGTCACTGGATAAGGCAAAGATTCTTCTGTTGATGTGTGTAAGTGCCTGTGAGTTCAGCCAGCAAAAAATCCATTTGATTGAATAGTCTTAGCACTAAACAAGGTCTCATCCCAAGGGATGTAAGGTAAGATAAAGTGTTGGGTCATCTTTTGTTGAAATCTTTGTACAATCCAAATGCCTTAGCTGATAACTTCATAGGCATTGGGGATATAGTTAAGGTAGATTTATTTTTTTTAATGAATTCTATAGTTTCTCGAATAACCATAGCAGCAATCATTGAGGGAATAAGCCATCCCCTAACATTGCAGTCAAAAATAAATAATGCAGATATTCTGTATTTCATAAAATTCTGCATAGTGAGAGAAACAGAAATATATATATTTTAAGTGAACTTACACATACTGATCCAAAACTTTTATATCTTAACAGCTTATGGACATATATGATAAAATCAAGTCATTATTCTAAACTTATTAGCCAAATGGTTTATCAGCAGTTGGACAACTTTATGGTAAAGGGAGGTCTACATTTCAGGCTGAGACATTCCTAATTGGAAATGTATAAAAAAGTCCAAAAAATCCCAAATGAAATTTTAAAATATCTCTGTGATGAGGACTTTTATTTATAAAGCTTTCAATATTTTTAAAGCATCTGAATATTACTTTTAATGGTTTAATGACATTATTAACATCTAATCCCATGCCTTTATGCCTTTTTCCAAAAGTTCAACAGGCATTTTGCTAAAATCATGAAATCTTAAACTTGATAAGCTGTAGGAAATGACTTTCTCTCATTGTTTTTTCTTTTTGTTTCTTTTTTTTGCTTGACTCTTGTCCATTCTTAAACATCTGTTCAGCAAAGCTTTTCCTAACTCCATTTCCCCTGATAGATTAACCACTACCTCATTTCTGTTTTTCCTTTACCTTGGATATATTTGTGACATGCATGCACCATTCCATGCTTTAATGGTTTGCATATCTGTCTCCCCCGTAATGCTGTCGTGTCCATCTCTGTGTCCCTAGTACAAGGCACGGGGCCTGGCATACAATATGGGCTCAGTACATATCATTGAACTTGTGAGAAAACTGAGACTCAGAGAGAGGCTGTTGTTTTCTTCAGATAATGTAGGTCATTTATAACAGTGTTTGTACTGGGATTCAAATGACCTACCCTTAGCACGATGCCCCTCACTTAATTCATACATATTGAAGGAATTAACGAATCAGCATATTAATAAATCAATTGTTCTTGAGCACTTTCCATTGCACTATCCTAGTCAAATAATAAATATAACATTTTTTTTAACGAGTCTTCTGGCTACCTGGCTTCAGTGAAACAAGTAATGAGGAAATGAGATTAATAAAACATCAATGAGACCAGATATTTCACATACATTTGATTATTATAGCCTCATAGAGATATAGTTTATATCAATCAGATATGCTAAAATTTATCTGGTAATAAAATTCTATTGTTAACATCTAACAGTCTAAGCTAGTGATCTGAGAGACAACTTTCTCACCAAGTCGAATATCTATCCAGTCAACACAGCTATCCCAGGATTCTTGTTTGGAAAATGAATCCTCTTGGGCATGGATCAGTCCATGTGTCACAGATGGTTTATGGATAGTTTGCTGGTTTCCCTTTTGTTCTGAAAGCAAAGAGGTAACTTTTGTATTGAATTGAATGCTAAGCAACAGCTCACTTGACTTTAAGGGCCATAATATGTTTTGGGTATATCCCTTCTCAGAAATGAAGCAAGAACCCTCTTCCCTCGGATAGCCACAGGGCTTCCACTCTGATGTCAATCAAATACCTGTGCATACCTTGCCTTACCAGAGAGGTCTATCCACACTTACCTTTTCTAAAATAGGACCACACTCTGGCTTTCCCCTTCATCATCCCCTTTCCCTGCTTTTCTTGCAACTATTATCACCTAACACTCTTATTTTCTCAGTTTTTGTTATTACATATGTGTATATAATATGTTTATGCTGTCCAGAGCTTACACATTCAATATTTTTGGGGTAATTAGTAAGCAATGTCATAGATACACCAGAAATTCTGTTGGGAGTAAAATTCAGATTCAAGATTTTAAAATTGTTAAGGACATTGTAGGTCATGTGGTACAAACTATTTATTTTGTAAGTATGAAATCCAATGCTAATAATAACAGCTTTTTAATTGCACATTTCATGTTCCAGGCACTGAGTAAAGCGCTTTACATGCGTAAACTCTTGTGACACTTTGGCAATTTTATAAGAGGGATCTTGTAATTATATTTTATTAATTTAAAAATAAGCATTTTCTACATTTCAATTTTAACGTTTTAAAATTATCAAAATTGAAATCAGAATGATTATTATCTTCAAGCATTTTGGAATTTGCTTATGTGAGTTTGGAAAATAGAAGAAGTAAAAAAAATCAAACAGAAGGTCTTTGTTTAAATAAAGTAATAAACTAGATTACTGTGTTTACCGATGTGTCATTTTTCAAGAAAAGGATGTAAAAATAAATTTGCTAGTAATGTAGCTTCTATTTTTCTCTGATCTGTTAAGAAAGAAGACTTCACAATCCTTCAAATGCAAGAACCACGTCCTCATCCCCTCTATCATGTACAATGTGTGAAACATCATTTTTCCAGTGCTGGTATGAGACTCTACCATATGGAAGAGTGGCTGGAACAACCAAGATCATGGGTCCTGACACCGTTTTCCAAGGTAACAAGGTAAAAACCAGGGGACATTGACAAGGAAAATTTATAAGTAGAATGACAAAGTTAAATTTCAGAAGCCCAAAGTGGAGTGGATAAGGTTAAAAGGCAGAGCTGCTATCCAAATAGCTCAACAAAGTAGAAAGTGTGATTAGAATAAAAGATTGGGGTCAGCTTTGACAAAATCAACCTTGGCAAGGGGATGGACAGATTCTGACAATTGTGCCCCCTGACAACCAAGCATGAGTGATTTTTAATTGTCGGACACAGCTGTGTGCCCCTACGATCCCTGGCTTTAGGAGACAATAAGCCTCTGAGATACTTTCCACTCCACAGGGAGCAGACCCTGGTGACAGCACTTGGGTGGGTCCTCCTGGAGCACTAATCATTCTAACAACCAATATCTGGCTAATGAAATAGATGAAATTAGAAATCTACCAAAAGACTCAAGAGACAAGAAGATGTCAGGCATAACCTTCAATGAACAACTCTTCACAAACACATGTTAACATGCTGCACAACAGCCTTTTTCTTGGGTCTCGAGAGTACCAGAGTGACAGATTATCATGTGCACAGTAATCCAAGTGGATGACATTCTGTCAAGGCTGTCCTAATTACAGTCTTGTATTTATGACACAGCAATCAGGAAGACCATTCTCAACTCTAATCCCTGTTGTTTTGTAGGCTAGTCATTCAGCTTCCAAATAAAGCTACCTCAGAAAAAAAGCCCATTTGTAAAATTAAAGTGATCAGGTTAAAGTGATAATATGAACAAGTATTTATTAATTTATGAATACGAAGGTTTTCTTCTAACACAAAAATATCTTAATGAATGTAATCACACTTGGCAATCCCTGCTAGACACTTATGAGTAAGAATAAATGCTCATGAAAAACTGCTCTTGGTTTTCAACAGTTCTACATTTCAAAAAATAAAAAGCTCAGCAGTTAACTGCTGCAGTGATGATGCAGAGGATTCAGCCTTCCACTTGAATATTTCAGCCTGCCATCACTGTTTCTTCACCAGATGAATGCTGGTTTATCCAAGCCACTTGAACAGGGCAACACCGAGTCAGAGGAAGAGTGCTGCCACAGCATCTGAGATGTTGAGTGCAGCTTTAAGCGGCTGTTTGGGGACTGTAAGCCACTGACTGCAGCTAGTCCTTATCGAATGCCTACTATTCACCAGTGAATTTTTAAAGACATTGATATATTTTATCTGATTTCATCCATATATCAAACTTCTAAAGGAGAATTACTTTTCCTCATTTCACAGATAAGGAAACATAGGATTATATTAAATAAAAGTTAAATAATATATCCAAGGTCACACAATTACATGGGGGCAACAGAAAAGTGCCTCTCCCATGGGAGATGGGTACCGGGGCAGGAGGGAGGATGGAATTAGGGATAAAGAAAAAATTTGCTCTGTCTAGATTAAACTAATAAGATCCATATGCAATATCTGTGTATCAGCCTTTTATAGGAGTATAGAATTAGGGATAAAGGAAAAATTTGCTCTGCCTGGATGAAACTAGTAAGATCCATATGCAATATCTGTGTATAAGCCTTTTATAGAAGTAAACTCCAACTTTTGTTTTCTAATTTTTTTCTTTTTTGGTTTTATGAAGTATGACTAAAGACATTTTAAGATTTTGTAAACACCAGAATCTTGAGTCAACATCAGGCAGTTATTTTCAGAAAATATATAACTGGAATAGAATTGGAATTTTTGAATTTAGAATATTACCCACTTGTATTGTACTGTGTTTATAGTAGTATTTGTCAGAGCAGAGTAGGGGGGATTGTCAGTCCAGAGAACAAGAGACCCAAACAGCTAGAAGCCAGCTATGCCCATTCAGAACTTCATACTTGTGGAGGCAGACATGGCCTCATCATGAAGAAGGTGCATCAGCCTGGTTTGACAATATGCCATGAAGCACGGGAATTGTAAAACTCCCCTTGTTTTGATCCACGCTCACCAGGCAGGCTTCTGATGGTAATTTTGCTTCTTGAACATCATATTTAATTGGAAAGATTCTATTGACGCAAGTACTCTAATTTGCTTACCATTGCATTTATTACTGTAAATTAGTCAATCAGAGTTATGGAGATGTGTCAGTTTCCACAAGCTTGAATAACATAAGCCTGCTCCTGAAAGGTATGTCAGTTCTCAGTGTGCTAATAAAACAGCATGAAAATAAGGAGACCAAACTCCAAAATGATGAACTCACCAAATGATTATACCTACACCTGTGTACCGGGCCTTTTCAACTCAGTGAGCTCTGTAAAACATAACACTCATGGTGCAACTCAGCTGGGAGAAGATTAATCCAGGGATAAGTTCTTTTTGAAACCATCTGTTTCTTGCTGTCAAAACAATTCCCAGTGTAATCCACTGGTCTGTACATCTTATAGGAATCCTACCCTCCCCCCCCAAAAAAAAATAAAACAGCAACCAGAACTTAAAGAAAATAATACACAACAGAAAACCCTAGTGAATATATCTAATACATGAAACAAAACTCTTCCCTCAGCTAAATACCAGACATGCAGTGGTGTAGTGATATTTCAGTGGTAGCTGGAACTTCAATAATTGTGCTCTTAAAAAGACAACTGTTACCCAGTGCTCAGATGATCGGCTCTAACTCCAATGTCCAATAAAAAGAACCAGGATTCTTTGAAGAAATGGCTACTTTTAGAGCTGGGGGCGTGGGATAGACAAGGTAAATTAGGAGCATCTTACAGTGCCAGGATTTAAGGAAGTACTCAGAGAATAGAAGGATGGAGGCATGTCAGAGGCAACTTGAAAGACCTTCTAATGGCCAAAGCTGGAGCAATGAGAACAAAATAAACAAGGATAGTATTGGGTGATAAGGCAAAGCATAAAAGAAATATCCCAAGTCCAAGTCCATGCTGACATAAATAAATGATTGAATGAATACATAAGCAAAGGTGGAGACGAAAATTTCAAATAGTTTATGTGGCTTCCCCCATCTCCAGGCAGTGGAGCTTAAACTGCCAACCACTTTTGAATGTGGGATACATGTAATGACTTGTTTCCAATGTATAGAGTAGGGAGAGCAGGGAGGGCAGGTGACTTTACAATGGAGAACCCTGTTCAGGTGATTAAGATTAACATCTTCATATCTACATCACAGGAATAGCCCGTAGCCTTGATATGATGTGATGTGAATTTGCCTCTGTGATCTTTCTCACAAAAGCCCCACATCCCAGTCAAACCGTGAAAAAATATTAGACACATCCATATTTAAGGACATTCTACAAAATACTCCTCAAAAATGGAAGGACACGCAAACCAAGAATGATGAAGTAATTGTCACACAGTGGAGATGACAAAGGAGGCATGATGAATAAATGTAATGTGGAATCCTTGAGAGGATCCTGGAACAGAAAATGGACATTAAGGGAAAACTAGTGAAATCTGAATAAAGTCTGGAGTTCAGTAAACAATATTGTACCAATGTTGTTTTCTTAGCTGTGATATACCTACCACAGTAAAACAAGATGTTAGCATTAGGGGAAACTGGGTGAAGGGTACAATTGAGCTCTCTGCATTATCTTTGCAATTTTCCTATAAATCAAAAAACATTCTAAGATTAAAATCTTATTTTAAAAATTGCTTTCTTTAGATTTTGTCTGTATTGTATTTTAAAGGTATGTAATGAAAAATTATGTCAGGTGGATTTTGACATTTCTAATTGTTCTTCAATGGTCAAGTCAACTTTGAAAGATTTCATTTGGATTTGAGCAACACAGCAATTCAATTAGATGCCACATTGAACCCTCTGTACTGAGGATCTTGTAAGGCACAAGCTCTTTGACCTCAATTATAATAGTAGGAACCTGTTTTGATCTGGCTCCTTAGTTTCTAGTAAAGGATAAACCTGGTGGTAAAAATGAATAGATAGTAAATGAAGAAAAACAAGATCAATAAAGCAATCTTGTCCTTATAGGTTCTCGGCTTAGCTTGGAAGAAAATAAACAAGGTGTGTTTTGAAGGGTTGCCCCATGAGAAGCAGAGTCGTGACAGAAAGCTATTTATTCATTCAATAATCTATGCAATGAAAAACATTGTTTGCCTATTGTGAACTGGCTAATCCAGAAACAGAAAAAAATAAAGCCCTTGTTATCATCCTCAATGAAGTCATAATCTGGGGACTGAGGTAGGCAAGGAGAGGGAGAATATAAATCACTGATGACTGCTGGAATGCCAACTTCATCCAATGCCCATGCTTGGTGAAATAGGCAAGAGGCTGCCTCAGTGCACCGCCTCTCTCCACACTATCAGTGGGTAAGAATTTAGAGATCATTCCAGATTTATGAAGAAAAAAAATTCAGATTAAAAACTACCTTGAAAATCTTATCTCCTTTTTAAGAAGTCATTACTTAACGGAAATGTCTCTGTCTCCTTCAAATATTGTTCCTGCTACAACCACCTGGACATTTATTACTTAACCATTTTATGCCCACTTACAAGTAAGTCACCATAGTGACCTAATGGTATCAGCTTATCCTTAAAAGGAGATTTATGATTCCTAAAGATTTCTAAATGCAACTCCTAAATGAGTGAAGACTGTTTTTGCCAATACTGTACCATACAGATTCTTTATCTCCTCTGCCTTTGCAATCTGGACATTAAATGTTACCTGGCCAGTATCTGCCCTGACCAGCAAGTCATAGGCAGCATTTGAGATTATGTTTTGCTTTAAATCATTTTTACTGATGAACAAAATATACCCCCTTTAAGTGTACATTTCAATAAGTTTTGATAATGAATATATGTATGTAACCACTGCAATGACAAAGATATAAAACATTTTTCCATCACCCAAAAAAGTCCCATACTCCCACTTCAGCCCCAGGCAACAATTTTGTTAATCTGAGTATTCTGGGAAGCAGATGTCGAGAAAGGATTAGCCATGAAACAGATGTAGGGAAAATGCTGTGAAAAATAAAGGGAAGAGAATCCTGAGAAGACCTGGAGAGTCTACACAGTATGCAGTTCCAACACCTGCAAAAGAAAGGAAGAAGGCAGGATAAGGAGGTTAAAAAAAAAAGGCTTAGACTGCAGTGCAATTCCAAGAAAGGTTTGGTTAGGCTGAGGGGGTGTCCTCAAGGCAGTCTCCCACTGGAGGAGTCCTGTGTCTCTTAGGAATGGGCCTTAATCAGTACATCCTCTGTGCTCGGCTGCTGGCTGGGTGTAGTATCCCATTGTAGGATTACCAAGTTAGTTTACCCATTCACCTGCTGCTGGACATCAGCATTGTTTCCAATTTGGAGCTATTACAAATAAAGCTGCTGTGAACATTTATGGCAGCTCTTTGTGTAAACATGTGCTTTCATTTCTCTAGGTAAATACATAAGAGTGGGACTGCTGGGGCATATGGTAAGTATTAATGGTTTAACGTTATAAGAATCAGCCAAATTTGTTTCTTAAGTGTTTGAGTCATTGTATATTTTACAAGATTTCCAGTTGCCTCCATCTTCCCCAAAACACGGTGTTAGTCTTTTTAATTTTGTCCCTTTTAGTGAGTATATAACAGTATTTCAATGTGGTTTTAATTTGCCTTTTCTTGATGACCAGTGATGAGCGTCATCTGTTCATATGCTTCCTGGTAACCCCTTTTAAAAGTTTCCAAGAGTCTCATCCCATTATAGCATCAGCTCAAAGGCCCATTACAGCATTAGCCCAAAATCACTGAAATCGGACCCAGCCATAAATGAAGTTCCAGGGTGTAATCTGTTAAGTACTGTTCCTGGGGCATAATTCCTCTCCTTTGTCAGATATATGTTGAAAATATTTTCTCCCAGTCAATGTCTTTCCTTTTCATTTGCTGGGACCTTACGATAAGCACAATCCCTAGGCAATATATCACCAGAAAAATAAAAGAAGTTTATATTTAATATAAATCTATGAGTGTAACAGCTCACCTTTGACACATTTAGACCAAATATATGTCTTCTTAAAGAACCATTCTTTAAAAGATTTCGTTGCCTGCTTCCTCTCAGTAGGAGATCTGAATAGGCATCGGGTAGGTTGATGAACTCTAGATAGCTAAATATCTCAAGACCTGAAGATATGGTAATTCAAAATGCTATCTAGTAATGACCGACTATGCACCATTTTGAATTGCCAACTACCTACTAGATAATTCCATCTCAATCTTTAATCTGGGACATAAGAATTAACTGAAATTATTGATCCCACAAGATGGAATGAGAATTAAAACAACTATAATTTTTAATAATCACAAATAGCATAAAGCAGTTTCTCCTTACTAAACAGCTGGAAAAACTGACTAGCCAGGTGGATGGCTAAGATAATTGTTTCTCCTGTTGATGTAGATGATTCCCTTTCCTTCTCTGTCCAGTTTATGGCAGCTCAACTCTGTATCCCAAGCTGCCCTCCACAGGGGTGTTGTTTGAAGGTTTAACAGCATGCTTATCCCTAGTTGTAGAACATGTTCAGTCTCTGGATTTGAAATCACTGAAGTTTTGCTCAGTGACTTTGAACAGTCTTCCACGGTAACAATGATTACTTTTTTTCTCCTGTCAAATAGCATTTAGCAAATGTCTGATGCTCTGTTCTTATCACAAGGCATGGCTTATTCCCTCTGTGTGGTGCATCGTATCTGTATGCCTGCGCATGAGGGGCCTCCCTGTTCTCCTGGTGGGCTGAGATGCCTGAACCCTCTTAGCTGGTGAATATCACTTAATTTGCTTACAAGACCAAAACAGCTTGCTTGTTGGAAAAATAATAACATCATTATATTTCCTGTGCAATGTTTTAAGCTAACCCTTAAATATCTTCCTATCTGCAGAGATTTTATTGTTCAAACACTTTACATCCAATTATTCAAAGTTTATTAACCTCTTGATCTATCAGAAAGCATCTTACCTATCAGGAAAGTAGGAGAGGGGGAGACAGAAGAAAGATGGAAAGAAGGGGATGGAGAGAATAAGAAGAAAGAGTGAAAAGATGCACATTTTTTTGGGTTACTACAGAGTACCTGACAGTGAAGTGATTTATCCATGTTCCCTATTGAGGGAAAAATAGTAAATCAATCTAAAAAATAACCTCAAAGAAGTTGTAAGATACTACTTTGACTAGGAATATAGATATTCTTTTAACCTTATATCATCTAGCTATCACACTTTGTCAGTTTATATTTGGCTGCTAAAAACAGTGCCAACCACAGGGATTTAAAATACATATTTATCTCACATAATAGAAGTAAACAGTTGATGCCATTGATTTAGGACTTCAAGCATATTAATGCTAAAGTATCTGAGATTCTCTTGACCATTTTTACAAGGTCCCAAGATGGTTGCTGTGACTTCAGCTATTTCATTTCCATTTCAGGAAGGTAGAGAAAGGAGAGGGGAAAAGGACATGTCTCCCAGCTGTGTCAGTCCTTTGAAGAGCTTTCTTGGAAGCCCAAGCCCACCCAATGGGTGGCCATTATATCTCATTAGTCACCCAACTGCAAGGAGGCTTGGGAATGTCATTTTAAACTGATCATATTACAGTAACCAAAATTAGAAGAATTCTGGTACTGAGAATTGAAATTGACTAGGCAACCAGTAGTCTTTGCAGTCCTCTTGCCTTCACACTCCAGGGCCTTAAAAGAACAACCTTACATTCCTGTTCTCTCCTTAATCACTTTTCATTCACCCTTTAGTATATCTAGCTTCCGCCTCCACCACGTCTCTGTAACTAGTATATTTCATCCTCTCAGCATATTACATGCTCTTATCTGGAGTGTTTATCCATAATTAAATTCCTTCTTATAAAAATTTCTTGCTTGCTTTACAGAACATTAAGCTAATTACCACCCACTGTCCAGCTACTCCTTCTCACCTCCTTTCTTGGCTCCTGGCCCCTAACCCTTCTGATTCCTATGCATTCTCTCCGGCAATATCTTTCACACCTGTGGGATCAATTTTAATATGACCTATACTTCTCCACTATACTTTCTTCTCATTCTCAGACTTTGAACTGCTAATCACTTACCAGAGACCATTTTGAAATGCCAACTACCTGTTTAGATAATTCCATCTGGATATCTTACAGGACAATCAGATTCTAGATATTCCAATCAAACTTGTCTACCTCTTCTTTTTTCACCTGAAATCTTCCATATTGTCTATCCCAACTGATGTTACAGAACTAATAAGAATCAGGGGAAAAAAAGACATGACCAAAAAATTATTCATCCTTTAGGCAGAGTCAATGGTTAAATATTTTCATGTCCCATCTTGAGGCAGCGCTCTTTTCACGGGGGCACTAGCTGCAGGGGGGTCTGTTCCTGCAGACCCCTGATTCGGCGATGGATGAAGAAAGTACACTGACACACAGATATTCTGCTCTGCCAGTCCAGCTGAGGGTCCGAGCAGCTTACAGGTTCCAAGCTGAGTTCTGTAAACAGTTGTGACTCAGCCCTCATCTGCTAGTCAGGCTCGCATTTATTCAGTAAGACTAATTAACAAAATTGTGAGTAAACACCACTAGAGGGTAAAGATTAAAGGCCAGGTTCGGAGCCTAAAGCAAACACCATTTGCGGGTGATAAACTTCTGCAGACTGCTGCCCCCCAGTAGGAGGCCGTCAAGTACCCACAGGTAGGGGTAGTTTGAAAGGTTAGTCTTAAACCTGTATAAGTAAGCAGGTTAGTAAGATAAACTTCCCACATTCCTTTGTACTTGCACCCTAATCTTTCCGACTCCTGCAAAGAGACCCTGGCTGCCTTCAGCCAAGCAATCTGAAGCTATGCAAACTCTCGGGCTTCCCAAGAGAGTTTTTGGCTGTTATATAACTATCTTTAATATTTTTCCCACCAGCCTGCTTGAACCCCAACTCCATCTCATTTCATTGTCACTATAATCCTACAAGAAAGGTACTTTATTATACGCAAGATACAGGTAAGAAGACTGAGACTTAGAAAGGATTGATAATTAATACCAGAGAGATAGTAAATGTTACTCCCTCCTAGCCTCAAATCCAAAATCATTACATTAGGCTGTTTCCCCTTTTTTTCCTATTAAGATATCTGACAAAACTTTCCTATATATGTATCTGCCTAGGTAAAGTGACTTATTCTAAAACAACCCTCACAAAATTCAGTGGAGTGCACCTTATAACAAATCTAAATAATTCATCTATCCCACAGCCATTGCTTTAATGCAGGATCTTCACATTTCTTATCCACGCTAATACAAATAGCTGTTATCGAGTCTCCATATCAGTGTTACCAGGTTTCATTTTCTTCCTTCTCCCCTGAATAAAGAAATATTTGTAAAACTACATTCTGACCATGGCAGTACCTTGATGGTATTCCTTCAGTGACATTTTATTATGCACAGCATGAGGGCCAGACCCTCAGGATGATAAGCAGAGTCAGCCGTGGCTGGGCCCATACCTGCTCCTTCCTCACGTTTGCCCTCTGTGTTAGCTACAAGTGACTTCTTCTTGGTGACTCGTTGTCCTTGCATATAGTGGTCCCTCTGGAAGTTACCTCCCTTCAGCCCATCTTTATAACTTCCTAACATCTTTTGACATTTGGATTACCTATTACACTCTTATTTTCTGTATTAGTCTGTTCTGCATTGCTATAAAGGAATACTTGAGACTGGATAATTTATAAATAAGGATTTATTTTGCTCATGGTTCTGTGGACTGTGCAGGCATGGTGCCAGCATCTGCTCAGCTGCTGGTGAGGCATCCGGAAGCTTACAATTATGGCCGAAGGTGAAGGGGGAGCTGATGTATCACATGGCAAAAGAGGCAGCACGGGAGAGTGGCAGAGGTGCCAGCCTCCTCTAAACAACCAGATCTCACATAAACTCATTATTGCAGAGAGGGCACCAAGACCATTTATGAGGGGTCCATCCCCATGAGCCAAACATCTTCAACCAGGCCCCACCTCCAACACTGGGGATTACATTTCAACATGAGATTTGGAGAGGACAAATATTCAAATTATATCACCCCTCTGGGAAGTTCCCTAGCTCTTCCAGGCAGGTATAGTGCCTTCCTTAAATGCTCACAGTCAAGTGCAAGATACACTTGAAAATATGTAATATATTAGCTTGATGCCCTGCCACAGGTTAGACTTCAGTTGCCATATTAATATAGATATTGTTATTTTTCTGTAAACTTTATTTGTTTATCCCATTTCTTCTCCTTCCTCACAATTAACATAAAATAATGAAGTAAGTGAACCGAGTTTCTGTAAGACGTTATTGGCATAAGAATGAAACCAACAAGTATTTTGTCCTTTCGCAATACTCTGGGAGGAAAAAGCATTACCAATCATGTCCATGGACAAAGTGCCAAGAAAAGCAAGGGGTATGTTCTAAATGCATAGCAATGTCTTCCTTTCTTACTTCATACCACATGGGATAATTACTCCTGATTTTCATAGTATTCATCAGCTTTGCTGCAGTAACAAACCCTCTCAAGTTTCAATGGTTTCCTACAATACATTTTTCATGCCCATTCATGTTAAATGCAGCTGCGGTTCTGCTACAGGTGGAGGCACTGCTCCATGGGTTTTCTCATTCAAAGACCAGGACGAAAGAACAGCCACCATCTGGGACTTGTCATAATAGCATGAGAGCAGGATGCCTCACACAGTTACATTTCATAATTCTGTCACATCTACTCACATTTACCTCAGGAAGTCACATGATCAAGCCTAGGGCTGAAAGTGAGAAAGTAGAGGGAGATACTGAAAGTGACATGGCAAGGACAAAGAGATATAATCCCCTTATAGGGAAGGGAACAAAACAATATTTCAATCTACCTCATTCAGCCATTGGTTTCTAAATTTCTTTCTGTAGACCTCATACTACAGTGGAAAGAGGGTACATCAGAAGTCAGATGGATACATCTGTCTCAGCTCTTGTCCAATTCAATCTCACTGAGGTTTGGTTTCTTCATCTATAAAATGAAGGGATAGAACTAAATCATCTAAAAATTACCCATCCAAATAGGCCATCCAAGTTTTGTGTGACACTTTCTTATTCTGTCATGATTGGGAAGGAAATGCAAAATGCAACAAGAAAAACTAGTTTCCATTTATAAGGGCTGGTTCAAACACATGATGCCACAGATGTAAATTCTATTATATTTTATTGGGAGGCTGTTGGTTTTTTGTTCTGTTTTGTTTTTGTTTTTTCCTGTAACATATTGACATTACCAATTTGTTACTCTTTCATTTGAAAAAACATGTCAGCCATAGGTACTCAAGTCTACTGTATTAGTCCGTTTTCAGGCTGCTGATGAAGACATACCCAAGACTGGGAAGAAAAAGAGATTTAATGGACTTAAAGTTCCATGTGGCTGGGGAGGTCTCAGAATCATGGCGGAAAGCAAGGAGGAGCAAGTCACATCTTACATGGATGGCAGCAGGCAAAGAGAAAGAGAGAGAGAATTTGTGCAGGGGAACTCCTTTTTAAAACCATCAGATCTCATGAGACCCACTCACCATTGCAAGAACAATGAGAGAGATCCGCCCCCATGATTTAACTACCTCCCACTGGGTCCCTCCCACAATATGTGGGAATTGTGGGAGTTACAATTCAAGATGAGATTTAGGTGGTGACACAGCCAAACCATATCATCTGCTAAGTTGCAAATGATAGTCTTTTCATTGCAAATAACAGAAAATCCAGCTCACATTGTTGTACACAATAAGATGATTAATGAGTTAAAATAGCTCAAAAGTCTATAGGAGGAAATGGCTCAAATCAGATGTGATTTGATTTGATAACTAAATCATTTCACCAAGACCCTGTCAGCTTTATCCCAAGACTAAGTCTTCTCTTGGTGACAAAACGATTATCAGCTGCAATTTGAGTAATGTATGCTCTTCCTTCCAGTCCCAAAGGAAGATGTTTGCCACCCTAACTATTGGCTAAAAGTTTTGGGCTTTACTCTGAGTGGACAAACCTGTGCCAAGTTCTTATCCTTGAACCAATCTCAGTCAGAAAGAGAATATAAATGTGCTCTTCAGCTTCTGCCTACTCAGATCCCCTGGCTTTGCCCAGTGGGGAAGGAAAACAGCAAATACTGGAGAAGCAACCAGTCAAATCAACAAGTAAAGTCAGAGATTTAAAGAGAATATTTTAATGACTGCTTTGTAAACTTTATCAATACTAAGGAATATATCACGTAAAGAGATAGAAGATGATAGGAAAGAATCCACCACATTTACATATCCATGAGCATATTTTATGCTTCTAAAAAAAATCATGACTTATTCTAATCTGAATTTTGTAAATTTTCAGTGTGTTTTCCTACTGAGAGTGTTTACTTTGAAGAAAGTTAAATTTTCCTATTTTTAGAGTTCTTAAAAATCTTTCTGAAAAAAAGGAGGTTCCACTACAAATGGCTCAATATTTATGGTGGAGAAAACATAAATCTAATTTATCATCCTTAGAAGTTACCCCTGATTCTTTTATATTGATTTCAAGATTTTATGAATACAACTTATTTTGCTTGACTATCTCTTTTGTTATCATAAACAGAATGTTCTTTTACCTGGGGTCAGAAATAAGAAAGCACTCTATTCGAGGGGAAAGGGTCCTAGATTAAAACACACAGCACATGACACATGCCAATCCCTTTTTGTTCCTTTTAATTTCAATATTATTCTCTTATTCCCAGAGGAGTCCTTGGAAAAGCGGGGCATATGAGTAGCTTGTGGAGGAGCTAAATAGCAGAGAACAGCTTTTAGCTTCTGAAGAATCAGGTCTTACAGATGTGCCTTCAATCTTTTGTATGAAATACTGGGAATTCCTAGAGCATCGACCACATTTATTCCAAAAGAAATGCCAAAATGTACTCCAAACATAAATATAAGTGATTTTTGGATTATCTAGTTTTGTTCCTCTCCAATAGCTTAGAATATTGAGTCAACAGCATGTGAACTTCTTATTCACAGTTAAACAGAATATAGCCTCCTCTGAATTATTTATGCTAATTATGGGGAAAGAGAAGAAATGTCACGAATAAATTAAATTTGTAGGTGAACAAAAATATCTGTATTTTCATGGAGTATTGTATTTATCCTTGAGCTAGAATGTCTCACAGTACAATTTCTTATAATGTTTTACCTATCAGACTTGAAGTTTTGGGGTGCCAATTTATAAGGAATTGAGGCAGGCACTACAACTACAATCAGCAAGTCATGGTTAGTCATCTCAAGGAATGTAAAGTCTTACAGAAGACACAGATAAGAATACTAAGGTTCACAAAACAGTAAGATAATTGCTACAATTGCTGTAGGGGAACAGGAACAGGAAGAGGGGGAGCCTGAACAATACAGAAATTCTAAAGCTAGGTAATATAGGAGCTGAATGTTCAACGATGAGGTATCTAGACAGCTGATGAGAAAAGGCATATGTGGCCAACGTACATGAAATAAAGAGATCCCG
This sequence comes from Homo sapiens, assembly GCF_000001405.40. Classification (NCBI taxonomy): domain Eukaryota; kingdom Metazoa; phylum Chordata; class Mammalia; order Primates; family Hominidae; genus Homo; species Homo sapiens. The sequence goes on along the minus strand of NC_000004.12, from coordinate 89,507,065 downwards.
GGCTTGCAAAGAAAACCAAACAGTTCCATAGAGCTTTGGCCAGCTCCAGGCAGCAGTACAAATCTGGGGTGGGCTGCTGCCAGAGCCTTTTTTGGCATCACAAGCAGTTATGGAGTAAGACTAAAGTATCATGCAAAGAACCAAGCACCTAAAGATTTATTCCTTTAAAACATAGATTTCTGGACTCCACACCTAATCAAGAAATGAGAACACTGGAGCTGGCCCCAAGAATCTGTATTGTTAACAAATGATACAGATATTTTAAATGTTTACTAAAATATGAAAATTATTGTTTTATTACATGGAATGCACATTATAATCACCTGGGAAGCCTTAAAAGATGCCAGTGCCTGGACCCCACTGCAGATATTGTTACCCCGGCATCAGAAGTTTTTCATACCTCTCCAGTGATTCTAATGTGTACCAGTTTGAAAACCACTTGTCTGGGGAAACAGTCAGCATGTGTTTCCTTTTCTTTTTGCTGACATGTGTCCCCAGTGACTTTTTAGCAAAACAAAATCCATTTCTCTAAGTACTAAAACCCACTTTTACCAGCATCAAAGTAATGACAATCTGTTCTTTGTGTTTGGGTTTTCCAATAATTTGAAAAAGACCTTGCAGTCTAGTATAACCACCTAATTATGCCTAAATTCAAAAAAATAATCAAGATAACTGAAAGAAGGTTAGACAACACCAAAGCTTTAGGGGAAAAGTATCTGACACTTTCAAGTACTGTGCATTAGAATTAAATATTTCAGGAGCTCCACTTCGGGGAGATCCAGAACTTTTGCTTCATGAATGTAATTTGATGATGATATGTCTTTCTACACATGTGCATAAAACTACTAATCCCTGTGAATTTTCCAGTATAAATTCCTTCTTTTGTGGGCAGGCCTTTGTTGTATGATCATTTAGGAGACACATTCAGAGATGTTTTATCTCATTTGTTCATTTGCTTGTTTTTCCTAATAACTATTTATATTTATAATAAAACTGTAAGCTGCCTTCTAAATGGACCATCACCCTCGAACCTGCACTGTATAGTCATTACCTGTTGGACAGTACATCCTCTATTCATTAAGAAGGAAAAAGGAGGCAAACAGCTAGCAAGCTAATTTCCAGCTGTACCAGAGGATAGAAAGAATTTTTGGACTAATCTCATTGTTTTGGATACAACAACAGTGAAAAAGATAATAAAGAATATAAAAAAGATGGATATAAGAAGATAATCCATGCATTTGTTGGTTAAAATAATAGGAGCACCAGAATTTTTAGTACATGTTAATCAAGCAATAGAGGGAGAGATGGGAAGGAGTAAGAAAAAGGCAATAAACTATTCATCTTTATCTGTTGACGAAGATAATTCTTCACTGCTTTAAGTCTGGGGCCAATGTTATTTACTCTGGAAACTAAGGTGGCTGAAAAGAGCAAAGAACAAGGCCATGCCTAAGTTTGTGTGTGCTAAGTGGTGAAACAGCCACCCTTCTCCACAGTGTTCTCTCAAAACTGTTTCTACATATTGATGAGAAATGACAAAGAAAAGGTAAAATCCATTCTAAAGTGTCACCTTTATCACTTTCCTAGTAATGCCTTCAGGCCAGATAGGAGTATTTGTTTCATATTGTCCTAATAGGAAATGAACCTAATTAGATCCTATTTTGTTCTTGGCCTTATAAACGTAAGTATCACCATAAGCATTCATAATATTACACAAGGTATTGTCCATAGGAAACCAAATACATTTACTTTCTGTCTTCTTTGAGGCTAAAAACCAAAGGCAACTGATCCTATGAATGGGGCAGGCAAATACAACATGAGCCTGAAACATCTTGTAGTGCCAGAAAGTAGGAAGTAATGGGGCATGTCAAAGGACCCAAAAGCCAACCTAAAAGAGGTCACAATGATTAAAACTGGAACAATTTGAACAACAACGTAATTAACTCAGTACTAGATTATAATCCAAAGTACAAAGTAAATACCCATGAGTCCATACTGATGTAAATAAATGACTGAATAAATAAACAAATGGGGGCAGAAGAGACAAATCTTTCTTAAAGAAGAATTCTAAATAATTTATGTAGTTACTCTCCCCTCCAAAAGGTGGAGCTTAATTCCCGATTGATCCCTTTAGTGTGGAATGGATTTAGGAGTTGCTTCCAAACAATTGACATCATCATCAAATACTATCTAGGTATCCTGGATTGGGTCTTAGATCAGAAAATAATTGGTGAAAAAAACTAGTACTATTACCTTGAAGTAACAGTAATGTACCAGTGGTTTCTTAGTTTTGGCAAATGTGCCCTGATCGTATAAGATGTTAACAATAGGAGAAACTGGGTGAGACGTATATGGGACTCCCCATTCTATCTTTAAAACTTTTCTACGAATCTATTTCAAAATAAAAAGTATATTGCATATTAAAAAAATAAAAGGCAACATTATGAAAGTATATGGGATGATAATGTCAAAGTAAGAAGATTTATTTGACAAATGATATGCAGGTAATATTTTTAAACTTGTGAATTAAGTGCATTTTAGAGAGAAGCAGCCAAGGTCATACTATGAAAATGTTGTGCATAGAATTTAATATAGTTCCACTTCTTTGTGACAATTCAAGAAGGCTTTCTACATACACTAACTTCCATTTCCTAAAACAAACAAAATATCATATCCTTCAAGTGCTTTCAAAGGTAAATTTTCTGTAGGCCATATCAAACCTGAGACCACTATGCAATAGGGTAAAAACTTCAAATATTTTGCGCCAAGTACCCACCTAACATTTATTATTAGAGCCCTAATCTACCAGGTACCCTGACTTTTCTGTGAATTCATGATGGTGTTTCCCACTCTTCAACTGCCATATGCTTTATCTCCAGATGTAGTCTTATAGCCTCATTTACCACTTCCATACCGCTGCTATCACTAGCTTCTCTTAATTCTGTCATTTGGAGCGGGAGCAACAGAATTTGGAGAACAACATTTTTCCATCATAAAGTTTATAAATTTTGATCAGGGTTGGATAGTATGCAAAGTTATTTTGACCACCTCAGTTTTGTTTCTAGGTCAGAGTTTCTCAGAGTAGTGAATTGATATGTCAGAACCCCTTGACATATCAATTCCTGGCCTAGAACTACTGAGTTAGAATCTCTGCAGTAGGGTGCAGAAATCTAGCATTAACATTGGCTCCCAGGTGACATTTTTGTTCCCCACTATGGGAGGTTACAACTCTCTGGACTTCCCAAAAGATTTTCTATTTCTTTTGAGATGGAGTCTCGCTCTGTCGCCCAGGCTAGAGTGCAGTGGCGCGATCTCGGGTCACTGCAAGCTCCGCCTCCCGGGTTCACGCCATTCTCCTGCCTCAGCCTCCTGAGTAGCTGGGACTACAGGAGTCCGCCACTACGCCCAGCTAATTTTTTATATTTTTTTTTAGTAGAGACGGGGTTTCACCGTGTTAGCCAGGATGGTCTCGATCTCCTGACCTCGTGATCCACCCGCCTTGGCCTCCCCAAGTGCGGGGATTACAGGCGTGAGCCACCGCGCCCGGCCCAGGATTTTCATTCTTAGTTTTAGCTTCTTTCTGTGAAAGAATGTGAAACATTTTGGGGTAATCTCTTGTCTCCGCATGACTGTTGAGGTGTTCCAGATTTCAGAGGCTGAGGAAGCTCTGTCTTAACTCTTCATTAGGAAGAGTCTTATCAGTTCCAAAATAAAGGACTCATAGAAATAAAACTTCTGTGACTGTTTCTCAATCTCCACCTTTCCAAGGATGCTATCCAAATAAGGCCCCTACTACCACCCAGCTATGGACAGCTTCTTTGAGAAGTGTTCATACACATTTAAACATTGTTTTAATCACTTGCTTCACTTTCTTCATAGATTTCTTCCCACACTTACTATACTAATAATATAATAGGTTTCATATACATGATGTAGTAGAGAATTAGGTTGAACCTATATGAATAACAGATCGTTTAAGCTGATACTACATAGTTTAAAGATTCTCTGAAAAGATATTTCTTTTCTCAAAGCTAGAATAATTTGAAAAGTGTATGTGGCTTGTACTTGTTCAACTTTTCTTTCATAGCTAAACTTTCCATTGCCTGCCTCACTGTGGACACATCATTCTCATTTTCTTCTTTTTTCATTTAAAGTGGTCAAATTGTCTTTCATGTTAATTAGCTTTAAACAAGAGAAAGAATCTGTGTGTGTGTAATATCCAACTCCAGATAGGTATTATTTCATTAACTTCATGCTTTGGAGATATAATGGTTCATTGTTATACCACAACACAGCAGGTATAAATTAAATCTGAATGGGTTATTCATTAAACAGACAGTGTGAAGTATCCGGAAAAGCAAGGTCCCTTCACTTAATTTAATGGTATTTTCCCCATAAAATCACAATGTTGCTCTAGTAGTTCAAACACATACCTATTTTAATTAATTTCTAAATTCTTTACTCAAAAATAGTAACTTCAAAAAAAGAGATTAATGCTGATTTCAACATAAGACAAAACAAACCTAGAATGCCAGCCTCATTGATGTTCCTAGGCAAATGTGACTGATACCTGTACATATGTTTTTGTTTGTGGATACGATATTTCCCAAGAAAATATTATGCAAAAAGCTTTTGATGTCCACTAAAATATCAAATTTAATTAAGAAATACTAGTAGTTTTTAAATTACTTATTCCTTTAATATTCTGAATTCTGAAGTAACAGTGTAGACAAGGTTACATTGATTAATAAAGTCCTTTAAACAAAAACGCTTTGAGTTCTGAAAACCTTTCTTAAGGGTTTCTTAAAGGGTTTAAGAACAAATGCAAATACAGTAGACATTTTCCCTGCCCTTACAGAATCTGGAACCTAGTGCTATTATTATTTCTAAAAGTATAGTGACTCTGTCATTTTCACACTAGGTAGATTCATAGCTTACTAATCCATAAGTTTTTTTAGTACTTAATTGTTACTGTCTCAACACACAACAAAGAAACAAATAGGAAATTTTAAACATGGTAGAAACATAAGCATACATCAAAGATGAAATAATTCATGAAGGCATTAACAGTTTTACAGAATTAGTAATCATATCGCTTCTTGGCCTTTTGGCTAAGACCAAGTGTGGTAATCACAGCATTTATTATATGATTCAGCCAATTATATAGTAAAATTAGAAAACAAGAAACTATCTGAAAAAATGCTAATTCTGTGATATAAATTACAGTCCCTAAAAAATTAGGAGTTGATCTTTAGGAAGTTTATTAGAAGAAATAAGCCCTGAATGCAGAAAGTCAAGATCTTGTCCTTTCCAAGTAAATGATAATATGATGTAAATAAATGGAGGAAAGGCTATCTCTTCCACTCGCCTATAAAAGTATGAAATTCTTAGCCTCTTCTGATTGTTACTCTTTAGAAAATCATATTATGTAAATTAATTAGGAAGATTAATTTTAAGTAATTCACAAAAATCCTGAAAATTTTTCATTGTGAAATTAATATTATACACACGTATTAAAATGTAAAGCTTAGTCATTTTACAACCTAATCCATAAATCAAGAATGACCTAGAAACTGTTTGGTTTCTCCCAACTGTTGGTTCAGCTCAACCTGTCCATTTGCCATTACTAAGTCAGTAAAGAACTTCTGCTGGTCATCTAAGGAAACTATAATATAAATTGTGATAATCTCATTTTCCATAAACCTGTAAACAAGAGATAAACTGAATAGAGAAAGCACAAATGGATTCACCATCCCCTTGGAAAAAAATAAGTTTTAAATTATCCTACAAAAAGCCTCTTTGAAATATGGGACATGCTGTTTTACAGTAAGAAAAAAAGAAAAGCAAGAATCTGAAGATTCTCAAGAGGTACTAGGATAAATGAAGAAAGAAATGGAACATGAAGAATAATGATATACATTCATTGCAAATTCAGGAAGCTTTTTTCCTCTTGTCTAATTTAAAAATTGGACTCACAAGCCTGCAATTCTGCCAGTATTACTTTGCCTTTATCATACAGTAGGACAATTTTATTTGTTCACGTAATATAAGCAATTTCAGAAAAGATTTAATGAAAACAAAATCTCAGCAGTAGCATTTTTGTATTTCACTGAATAGTTTTAGAAACATCCAGAACTATCACTTTATTAAAATTCTAGGAATTGACTTAAGTGTGTAAAGGTTTTCAGTTTCCTATTTTCCAATTTTGATGTTATAAGACTGAAAAAAAAAAGTCTATCAAAAAAGGAGGAAAAGGAGGTACAGGAAGAGAGAAGGATGAGGAGGTGGTGGTGAGAGCAAAGTGTTAGCAATTATATCAGTATTATTGTATGGCTCATTCTGGTCATTTAAAAACCCAAGTAAGAGTGAAGAGTAGTGATGGAACAGAAAAAAAGTATTTATGTAAAATATTGATAGTAGGGAAGGTCACCAATTGAATCAAGTTTCAATTATTGTATAATTTAGATCAAAACAGCCCCTACATAGGCAGCTGTTCTATTACAAATTGCATATAAGTTACAAATCAGCACCTGGTTGTATTGACAAGATATGCTCCTTGTCCAAACTTTAGTCAGTCTCCTCTGAACCCTATACCCAACTAAGTTTCAACCTGTGGAATTTTCTGTCTCTGCATTGTGCTATTTTAGCAGAAGTCCTAAGTCAGTTTAGCAAGCATCCCCCATCCTTAATATCTGATCACCCTCAGTATCTTTCTTCTTTTTTTTTTTTTCTTTTGAGACAGAGTCTCACTCTGTTGCTCAGGCTGGAGCACAGTGCTGTGATCTGAGCTCACTGCAACCTCTGACTCCTGGATTCAAGCGATTCTCCTGCCTCAGCCTCCTGAGTAGCTGGGAGTAGAGGCACGCACTACCACACCTGGCTAGTTTTTGTATTTTTAGTACAGATGGGGTTTCACCATCTTAGTCAGGCTTGTCTTGAACTCCTGACCTCAGGTGATCCACCCGCCTCTGCCTCCCAAAGTAATGGATTACAGACCTGAACCACCACCCCTGGCCTGATCACCCTTGGTATCTGATCAAGTTCCTCATCCTTCACACACCTTCCAGATCTGATCACCCTTGCCTCCCTCTGGTGAGAATCCTGTTAGGTTTGTTTAATCAGAATCCCCAACTTCTGATGTTTCCTCTTTGTAATTTTTCATCCATTGACCCCCAACCTGATCCTTAACTATAAATCCCCTCTTGCCCATGCTGTTTTCAGAATTGAGCCCAGTTCGACACTGAAGTCTCAACAGTTCCCAAATGAACTCCTTTACTATCCAGCTCTGGTTTTCCTTTAAAACACTCAATTAAATATTTTGTTACATATCACTTTCTATGGTCCTCTGTTTCACACTGCTAATATACATCTTGAAAAATACTAAAACTCTCAGTCCCTTGAGATCTAAAGTATGCTATATATTTCTCTCATGCTCCCCTGTTGCTCCTTCCACAGGTAGCCAGCAGAGAAATAATAAATACTCCAAAGATATAAGTAAATTACACAGGAATGGGATTGGCTTCCTTAAAGATTGAGTAGGGAGGTACATTTTCAGTCTTGAATTATTTGCTTCTACCAGCAGAGATATATGTTAACATCTTCCAAAGCTGCTTTTTGAGATGTCCTTCTCATTGAATGACTTTAAGACTAAAAAAGTCTGAAAGTCTTAAAGTTAGTTGCTAACAGAGCTATCAAGGTTTAAGGACTCAAAAAGAAAGTTCAAAATCTACCTAGTATACTTAGAATTCATTTGACAGATTTTCCCCTAAAATGAAGAAAGTAAAGGGAAATGGAATAATGTAACATGCATAGGCTTTCTCTAGAATAAAAATGTCTCTTCCAAAATAAAACTTCATGTCCCATATTTTCTAAAAACCCAGTTTCAATTTCTATGGGAAAGATGCACATAATGCTATTACTTGCCAGCTAAGGGATGTGACCTGAAGAACTAGCTACTTCTTTGCTGCCTTTCTTAACACCCAATATGGCCGCATCCAAGCACTACCATTGGTCATCCTTGCATGCATGGACTGTGAACACGAAAGAGGGACTGTGCCAAATTTGTGACTAACTTAATGCACAGATACTAAATTACTGGTTTTGTCTAGTTTTCATTTTTATAGAAAAAAGAAACCAAGTAATTATGAATCTAAATAGTAATAATAACAATCCTGCAAATTTGTATAATGCTAACACATTTATAAATTAATGTTGTAGACATTTTCTCATCTGACCATCACTACAAATCTCTGGAGTGGACCTAACAATTATTATCTTTATTTCACAGGAAATGGAAATCTGACTTAGAGAAGCTTTAATTCACTATACCTAAATTTTTAACCCCAGGGACATTCAATAATACCAAGCAGAAATATGCCTCTTGGAGATACCATTTGAAAACGACATGGTGATATTCTGATGGACTAGAAACCATGTAAGATATGAGATATCAAGTATCTCCTACTTTGCTATATCAAGTGATGTGCAGGGAAAGAATTCTATGGCCCAACTAGAACTTAAGTAATACGAATGTCTGCTATAATAGATTTCACTCTATTTAACATGTGATTTTTCCTTTTTGGTATGACTTAAAAAAAAAAATAAGTCAACTGGGCATGGTGGCTCATGCCTGCAATCCCAGCACTTTGGGAGGCCAAGGCAGGAGGATCGCTTGAGCTCAGGAGTTTGAGAACAGCTCTGGCAACATAGCGAGACCCCGTCTCCATACACACACACACACGAAAAAAAATTAAAAAAAGAATTCAATAGAATTTAGTAAAACAATTTAGCATGCATTTTAAAGATCAAACCATTACTATACACCTATGGAATTACATTGTTATCACTTTTATAAGGAATTGCCCTTTATCCACAAGCGTCATCCAAAACTAATAAAATAAGTGATAAATTTCCTTTTAACAAAGTAAACATTGTGTTCTACTGTGATGACCAAACATTCTACCAGTAAATGTCAAAGGTTGGGAACAGGGAACTCTTGTTTGAGATGACGGAAGGACGTTTCCTGAAAGAAGAGCCTGGCAAGCAACACTGGAAAATCTACTCTTTAAACTTCCCTTTATAAATCCCAATGAAGCACCTCTCCCACTTGCAACATAGATAAAATGGAAATATTCTCATTCCTCTTTTCTATATTAGTGTTTATATGTTTTATAAACATATGTAGAGGCTTATGTTTCACATTTGTGTTTTTAAAATAACAATATACTTTGAAAGGTGAATCCAATGTTATTGAAACATAAGTCTACAAACCTTGGAGTTCAGTTACAAAGGTCCCATTGGGACAATTTTCTTTTTTTCCCTGAATGTCACAACAGCTTTGGGTCACCAGTAATTTTCCTTTGCTTTTCTTCCTCTCCTTGCCATGATCCAACCATGCCAGCAGGGAATCGGCATGATGCTTTGCAGCCAGCTTCAAAAAAGCTACATCTTCCCTAATGAGGCACTAAGAGGAGACAGCCACAGAGTCTGATAAAATTCCACTATGTAACTTTTGATGCTTCTAGCTCCATCTTCCACCCAAATCAGATGAAAGTAAGGAAATATATAAGATCATGAAAAATACAGTAATAGAGATATCATAGCCAGGTGTATCCACAACATGGAGACCCACACAGCTTTGAAATTTATTTAACTCAGTATTATTAGAACTCAAAGATTTTAAGAGTTAAAATTTTAAATCATGCTGGGCATTATTTCAATTTTTATCACAAATTGCCTTGACAATGAAATGAAAATCATTTTCTGACCTAAAAATGTACTGTAATATGATTAAAATATTCCTATAATTAAAAGAGAAAACTTGAATGATCTGAAGTCTAACCAAACTACACAGAATGACTTCAGCCCTGACAAAAGCCCTCATGGGACCCTGCTTTAGTAAACGTAGATGTTATGGTGGGAGGTTCCCCACCTCTGTTGTCTGCTGCCAGGTGAACATCTGTTTGTGGGTAGACCACAGACCAATCAAGATCAACACTAAGGTTGAGTCCTGCATAGGCCTGTGGAACCCTGGAGTAAGGGGAATTAAGGTAATAGAGAACATTCCTTACATTCTTTTCTTCAGCATAATTCCATGACTGTATTTCTATTCCACAGTTTGGGTTAAATACAAGTTATAAGCCAGATAGCTTAAAATTTCAAAACTTTTCTCCAGACAATTCAAATGTGCTCTAGTGAAGAAGAGTGGAGATTTTCTGCATTGTCATCATGAGCGTTTAGACACATGGACTCATCTGGAAGACCCATGGAGCTGACCAAGAGCCCACCTGGACAGCCTCCTGAGAAAGACTGCATTACCTGGCTTCGGAGGAGAGATGCCAAATACCACTCAGAATGTCCTCACTTTGTTGTCTAGTCGAGACCTCATGGTCTCCTATAAAAGTTATTAAGATAAAATTCCTACAAGAAAAAAAACATTGATTTTACAGAGAAATTTTTGTGATATACTGGGAACACAATGCTGGAGTGATCTGAGCCAAAATGAGGCTCTCAGGAACAAGTCTAACAATTCCTTCTTAGCCCACTGCACACAGACCCCAAATGGGGCTATTATCTCCATAGGTGTACAAGCAGTGTCCTTATAGAAAAAAATTCTTGGTAGCTTGAAACACTCAGAACATGTGAGTGTCTGAAATACTCAGAAATACCCAAAAGAATCTGATTTTAAGCAGCATCCTTTCACTATATAGTACATTGTTGGGATAACTGGGAAAATCTGAATGAAGTCTAAGGATTAGCTAAATAGTGGTATTTATTTCCATATTTGGATGATTGAATGGTTGTATAAGGGAAAGTCCTTTTTTTATATGAAATGCATAACAAAGTACTTGTGATCATAGGCTATCAGGTCTGCAAGTTACTTTCTAATGATTGAAGAAAATAAAAGTTATATGTATTAAGCTTGCAACTTTTTATAAGTAAAGATTCCTTTAATTTTTGCATTTATTTGTTTACTAGTTTTTGCTTATATGTGCTTTTAAAAATTACAAATACACACACGTACACACTCCACAACCTGGCCTAAACCTGTTATTCCAGTATTTTTACTTATTATTCCCCTTCATAAATCCTGTACTCCCATTTGTCTAGTTTATTGGCTGTTCCCCAACATAGTCTGAAGACTTTTCCACTGACATGACTTTGCTTTAATTGTTACCCTCACCCAAGGAACTTTCCCAGCAAAAAATCTGCCATCAAATTCTACTCATCCCTGAAGACCTGTTTAAATGGCATTGTCTCCATTAAATCTTCTACCAGAGCCTAGTCTGATGCTTCATACCTAGTATGGGCTCAGAATATATCTGGCGAAAAGAATTCAGTCACTTAGGATTGGAACACTTAATGGTAAGTTAATAGAAATTGTACATGAGAAATTAGTCCAAAGGTAGATGAACACTTAACTTTTACTCTATGAATACGAGGTAAAGAATGTATTATTCAGGGTTCCCCAGAGAAACAGAACCAATATATAAAGAGATTTTATTTTAAAGTATTATCTCACACAATGATAGAGGTGGAGAAATCCCACAATCTAAGAGATGCAGGAAAGACAGTGGTGTTTTTTGAAGGAAGGCCTGAAAGCTGGAGGGCCATGGTATAGAATCCAACGTGGGCCTGAAGGCTGAGAACTAGGAGTGCTGAGAGGAGTAGATCCATTCCAAGCTCAAGGAGTCAGGCAGAGAGCAAATTCAAACTTCCTCTGCCTTTTTGTTCTATTCAGGCCCTGAATGGTTTTGATAATGCCCACCCACACTGGGAGAGAACATCTGCTTTACTCAGTCCACTGATTCAAACACCAGCCTCTTCCAGAAATGTCCTCAAAGACACATGCAGAAATAATCTTTAACCAGCTATCTGGGCATCCCATGGCCCAGTCAAGCTGACACATAAAATTAGCCATTACAAACAAGAAGGTCAAAAATGGAGATATAAAGTGGTTATCTGCAGGTAAATTTGAGACTGCAATGTAAAGAACCATGAGAAAGAGTGTAGAAGAGATTCAAATAATTGTAGCTGGCAGTATAGAAACCTAGCCTTGCTATCTTGAAGCACTGGCTAATCAACTAGAAGTCTATTAAAACAAAATAAACTAGAAAGCTATTGAAACAAAAAATAAATGAAGACATTTTCATGTACAAGCAATTAAACAAAGCAAGACAAGAGCTCTAAATATACAGATAGTATGTTTAGATATAATTTTGTTTGATTGAAGAAATATGGGGTTGGATCACAGGAAAAGATTAAAGATAATCCTAAAACACTGTTAGGGGTAGAACAGTCCCCTAAAATGACATATTCTGACTATATATTTCCTAAACCATTTTCTTCAGAAAAGATGCTCTAAATTTAAAATGCAGTCATGAGTCGCTTAACAACAGGGAAACATTCTGAGAAATGTGTTGCTAGGCATTTTTGTCATTTTGTGAACATCCTAGAGTGTACTTATACAACCTTGATGGTATAACCTACTACACACCTAGGCTAGTTGGTATAGCCTATTGCTCCTAGGCTACAAACCTGTACAGCATGTTACTGTACTGAATACTACAGGCAGTTGTAATACACTGGTGGGTACTGACATTCCTAAACACAGAAACAGTACAGTAAAAATACAATACAAAAGATAAAAAATGGTACACATATACAGGGCACTTACTATGAATGGAGCTTGAAGGACTGGAAGTTACTCTGGGTGAATCAATGAGCGCGCGGTGCATAAATGTGAAGGCCTAGGCCATTACTCTAAACTACTGTAGACTTTATAAATATTGTACACTTTGGTTACACCAAACTTATTTTTAGAAATTTTTCTTTCTTTAATAATAATTAATCTTAACTTACTGTAACTTTTTTATTCATAAATTTCTTAAGTTTTTAAACTTTTTTGACTCACATAGTAACATTTAGCTTAAAACACAAATGCATTGTACGGTTGTAAAAAATTTTTTACATCTTTATTCTACAAGCTTTTCCTATTTTTAAAATTCTTAATTTTTACTTTTTAAAATGTTTTGTTAAAAACTAAGACACAAACACATACATTAGCCTAGGGCTACACGGGATCAGGATCATCAATATCACTATCTTCCACCTCCACATCTTGTCCTACTAGAAGATTTCCATGGGCAATAACATGCATGGAGCTGTCATCTCCTGTAACCATAGCTTCCTCTGGAATACCTCCTGAAGGACCTGCCTAAAGCTGCTTTACATTTAATTTACATATATATATATGTATATATATATAGGAGTACACTGTAAAATAACAAGTACAATTACAGTACTTACAGAAACCAATAACAGTTGTTTATTATCATTATCAAATATTATGTACTATACATAATGTATGTGCTTTACTTTTATACAACTGGCAGTGCAGGAGGTTTGTTTACACCAGCATCAGCACAGACATATGAATAATGCGTTATGCTACTATCAGAGGCATTCAAACCACAGTGACTCCATCTTGAAAAGCGGCTGGGTAAAATGAGGCTGAGACCTACTGGGTTGCTTTCCCAGGAGGTTGGCATTCTTAGTCACAGGATATCTACAGTTGGGTCTGTTATATCCTGGGTCTGTTAAGTCCTGGGTCTGGCAGGAAATAACAGACCCGGGAAATGTCCTGATGTCCCAGTATCTTAAGAACAAAAGCATTCTTAGTTTAAGAATAAGTTTCACTTCAAAGATAAAAATATAGACTATTAAGACAGTAGTTATACACCGATTAACAATCTTTTTGTCACAGCCCTTGTAACAGAGCACCTCTCTTCCACGATATTTTGTTTTCTTACCTTAGTGCAAACAAGCATTGTACCTAATGTGGATGTGTTCCTCCTCTTGCTTCTGGGAATGCCCTGCTCTGTCTATGGAGTAGCTATTCTTTCATTCCTTGCTTTCTTAATAAACTTGCTTTTACTTTGCTCTGTGAACTCACTCCTAATTCTTTTCTTGCACAAGATCCAAGAATCCCCTTTTGGGGTCTGGAAAGGGGCTTCTTTCTCTCAACACTGGAACGTCACTAGGCAATAGGAATTTCTTGGCATCATTATAATCTTATGGTACCACCATTGTTTATACAGCCCATCATTGACCAGCATGTCATTGTGCAACACATGACTGTATATGTATTAGTCATAGTTATGAAAGGCCAAGCATATAACTGCTAAAGAGACAAAGTATTCCAGCTTCTCCTTGAATTTTCTGTCAAATAAAACCTAGAAGTCAATGATGGTAATTCCTATACATCCGGAGTATTTCATCACAGGGCTACGATGAATTGAGCAGACATTGCAGACTGTTACATTAATATGAATTCTACATTTTAAGAGGACTTCCTCCAAAGATGGGAAAAAGAACAAAAACGGTTTCAGTTTCTTAAGGAAAATATTGGAATTATGCCAGTTTTCAAGAATCAGCAGTTTGGCAAATGAAAATCTCACAAAACATAAATAAATAATTTTATAATCAAAGTTGCCATAGTGCAACATCTGTCACTTCACCCTTAACCTTAAACTGTTTTTCTCTATGACATTTTAGGAGGTTCAATATTTCTATTAAGCTGTGGATCACCTATTTCTTAATACTTCACTAACCAGTTCACTTGTAATACCCAAGAAATAAATCTTTCAGGATCTTTACAAAGAAATGCATTTTTATAAAGATTTCCTGAGTAAAATATATTGATCTCAAAAAGGCTTGGAACATCTCTGTTTATTTATGCCTTCATGTTTCCCTGTTTCTAGCATCTCCCACAGACAGATAAGCTAGATTTCTTTTTCTTTCTCACAGCAGTCTCCTGAGTCTAGTGTGCCTTGAGTAGAAGACCGTTAAGACACTTTCTGAACCTGAGATTCAGTCATCTATGAATGTAAAAGGTCTTTGAAGTGATCAATTAGAATTAACATTGTAGGTTTCAAGTCCCTTTAGCTTTCTCCTTTTCAAAGCCGAAAATTAAACTCATTAGGCAAAAAGAAATCAGGAGGCCAATTTTTTGCAAATTATGGTTCCCTTGGGGTGCTTTCCTAGGGAAGAATTAAAGGATAAGAAGCTCATTTGCACTCTAGGAATGAATAATAATGGCTTATAATGACCATGACAATAAGCACCAGCCTATGCAGTCTAGGGCTTAGAATAAATCAGGGTGGATCTAATACGTAACAGGCAGTTGGCAGAGGGCCTAATGAGAAAGGCAATGATTTCTGTCATGCCTTTCCATTAATTTGTGGTTTGCTTTTTGTGGGTATTGATCTGTAGGTGACCTTTAAGAAACGTCTCTTCCAGGCATGCTTGGTTTCTCTTATCTCTTGATTTGGAGATCACCAGATGTTACTGAGGAAGACCAAGAAGAGAAAAATATGTCTGAAATATGTTAAGAAGGCCTAAGCAAATATTCAGTCTATTTTAGTCTATTTGAGTGAGTTGCTAAGCCTAAGATATTAATAATTGTCAAGAGGGTTATTTGGGAAAACCCAGCAAATTGTAGTAAATCTCTTTCTAAATCAAATATTTCCTGAACTGAATTGTGAGTGGAATAGTAAAAACACTTCACACTTACAAAGTCGATGATACCGCAACATCTTCTTAAATTCTTCCATAAAATAACACTATCATTCTTTCATCCATAAGTGGAATATTCTGAGGCCAGCTGCGTCTATGATAGAAACAGGAAGCAGCCAAGTCCCCCTGTGTCCGGAATTGGGGGGTTCTTGGTCTCCCTGACTTCAAGAATGAAGCCGCGGACCCTCGAGGTGAGTGTTACAGTTCTTAAAAGCGGCGTGTCCGGAGTTTGTTCCTACTGATATTCGGATGTGTTCCGAGTTTCTTCCTTCTGGTGGGTTCGTGGTCTCGCTGGCTCAGGAGTGAAGCTGCAGACCTTCGCGGTGAGTGTTACAGCTCTTAACGCGGCGCATCTGAAGTTCTTCGGTCCTCCCGGTGGGCTCGGGGTCTCACTGGCTCCAGGAGTGAAGCTGCAGACCTTCGCAGTGAGTGTTACAGCTCATAAAGCCAGTGCAGACCCGAAGAGTGAGCAGCAGCAACATTTATTGCAAAGAACCAAAGAACAAAGTTTTCAAAGGGTGGAAGGGGACCCCAGCGAGTTGCCACTGCTGGCTGGGGCAGCCTGCTTTTATTCTCTTATCTGGCCCCACCCACATCCTGCTGATTGGTAGAACCCAGTGGTCTGTTTTGACAGGGCACTGATTGGTGCGTTTACAATCCCTGAGCTAGACACAAAGGTTCTCCACCTCCCCACCAGAGTAGCTAGATACAGAGTGTCCATTGGTGCATTCACAAACCCTAAGCTAGAAACAGGGTGCTGATTGGTGTGTTTACAAACCTTGAGCTAGATACAGAGTGCCGATTGGTGTATTTACAATCCCTGAGCTAGACATAAAGGTTCTCCAAGGCCCCACCAGAGTAGCTAGATACAGAGTGTGGATTGGTGCATTCACAAACCCTGAGCTAGAAACAGGGTGCTGATTGGTGTGTTTACAAACCTTGAGCTAGATACAGAGTGCCGATTGGTGTATTTACAATCCCTTAGCTAGACGTAAAGGTTCTCCAAGTCCCCACCAGACTCAGGAGCACCCAGCTGGCTTCACCAGGTGGATCCCGCACGGAGGCTGCAGGTAGAGCTGCCTGCCAGTCCCGAGCAGTGCACGCCAGCACTCCTCAGCCCTTGGGTGATCGATGGGACTGGGTGCCGTGGAGCCGGGGGCAGCGCTCGTGGGGGAGGCAGGAGCCCACGGAGGAGCGGGGAGGCTCAGGCATGGCGGGCTGCAGGTCCCGAGCGCTGCCCCGTGGGAAGGCAGCTAAGGCCCCGCGAGAAATTGAGCACAGCAGCTGCTGGCCCAGGTGCTAAGCCCCTCACTGCCGGGGGCCGGCGGGGCCGGCAGGCCGCTCCAAGTGTGGGGCCTGCCGAGCCCACGCCCACCTGGTACTCGCACTGGCCTGCAAGCACCACGCGCAGCCCCGGTTCCCGCCCGCGCCTCTCCCTCCACACCTCCCTGCAAGCTGAGGGAGCCAGCTTCGGCCTTGGCCAGCCGAGAAAGGGGCTCCCACAGTGCAGCGGCGGGCTGAAGGGCTCCTTAAGTGCCGCCAAAGTGGGTGCCCAGGCAGAGGAGGCGCCCAGAGCAAGCGAGGGCTGTGAGGACTGCCAGCATGCTGTCACCTCTCACCCCGACCCCCATCCCCCCAGGTTAAACCCTGCCTTCAAGCCTAAAACAGCCTGAGGACTGAAAAACTGAACTGCCAGTCCCGGATGAAGCCCGCCCTTTCCCCACCGCCCTGCAACCCCCCCACCCCCACTAACACCCTCCCCACCCCGCCACCACACCCCCTCCCACACCACCCCTTATTCTTTCTGAAGACGGAAAGAGAAGCTGTGCACTGAGAGGCCGCGGTGGGGCATCGGGAAGTTCCACTGTTTGCAGGGAGGAGAAGCCTGGCCTAGGCTCTCCTGTTCCGGGGTGGTGACCTGGGATTCAGTCTGTGAGATGGAGGCCTGTTAACAGGAACTCCTATCGCTTTGCTGAGTTTTTTTTCCTTTTCGCCCAATACATTTCGTTCCCCCTCACCCTTCAAAGTGTCTGCGAGCCTAATCTTTCCTGGTCGTGTCACAGGAACCCACTGTTTTCCTACAATATCTATACAAACAAACTCATAAATCATGTGGCTTCCGCTGGTCTTTTGAAAAAAGAGCAAATTAACTTGAAACTAAATGTTAACATTTTAAACAACCAATTAGAAACTAGTATTGAAAATTAGTTGTTTGGTTAAGACAAGCTGTATGTTCTATAAAGTAATGATTGATTTTGTCATTTTGGGAGAAAAATGTTTAAAAAGAATTGGTCCCTTGGTATGTAAATACTAAGTTCCAGAGAAAAAACATAGTCTAAAATTCAAGAGCTGAGTAGCACTGTGTTGAATTTTACTGTTTTCAATTATTAACAAATTCTTATTTTTAGTTACTCTCAAAATTTGTTAAGACACTAAACAGTATAGTGTAGCAAATGTTTCAAAGTTAATGAGAATTATTAATGGTAATTTTTATCATATGCCCTCCCTACAATGCTAGTAGATTAATAACTAAATACGGAAGTTACCCACAGCTTGGCTGCCAGGAAGAATTATATAAACTAATTAACAGAAAACCTTGCGGGAAACTGGTCTCATTAAAAATCTTGATAAAAGAGGGGAAAGATGCCATAAAGAAAAAAAAAAACAGATTTTCCTACATATAACCATTGTTTCTTTGTAATGAAATATATCGTAACCAAAATAAAAGGTAAAAGGCTAATAAAATATTTTCAGAAAAAAACATGAAAGGATAAAATGCAAGCACATATAAGGAAAAATTAGTAAACAAAAAATTGAAAAAGTAAATAAAATTTTCATTAAAATTTGGAAAACATACCTAATAAATATACACAGTGTAAAATAAGGTAATAATTTATGCTAATGTGTATAATAAATGTGTATAATAAAATAATTTATGGTAATGTGTATATGTACATTGATATCATTTTAGAAACCATTTTTATTCTGGGTTCCAAAAATTACATAAAAGTCTCCTTCAATGCAGTAATCTCACTCTAGGGAATTTTCCTAAAGATTATCTAAAAGAACTAATATATTTCTATTCATTGCAGATTTACTTATAACGGAAAAAAACCTAGCTACTTGGCAATAAGAAATGATTAATTAAATTCTGGCCTATCAATTCGATGAAGTATTATTGGGCAATAACTAAATTGTTATTTATGAGACTTCTGTAGCAACATTTGATAAACATTAAGTGCAAATAACTGTCAAAAACTTTACATAGCTACCAAGAATAGAAAAGAATGTGGAAAAAGTTTTGAGTGGAAATATCGTGAATGCTATGTCTAATTTTTTGCCACATTTTTATTGTAGCTTATTTACAGGGAAGGACAGTAGATTAAAAGCTTGCTCAAGCTTTTATTGGAATTCAGTGATTTCAAAATAGTGAAATATAAGCTATTCTAGCTGAATTTGCATTGTACTGTTTTTCCAAAAACAACATTTTTCAATTATAAATGTGCTCTAAAGAATATTCAATAAAATATTTCACTAGTGCAGTTAACTCAGACAGACAACGTTTGACAGGACGTTTTACTGAACTAATTGATAACGTTTTGGATTTCAGAACTAGGAACTAAGTAAGGTCTGGCACCAGGCCGAAGGCAACCCAGATGGAACCCCAGCTGTTCTAAGTAGAAACCATCTCGAAGTTCTTAGTGAAGAGAAAGTAAAACTGATACGAGAACTCTCCTCTCGTATATAATTTGCCTATATGGTTATATGAAAAAATCGATACGAGAACTCTCCTCTTCTTTATAATTTACCTATATGGTTATATGAAAAAATTGTCACAGGAATTTCGTTAGAATGCAAGCTCAGTCTGCCCGCAAAATGCTTTGGCTGCTTTTTTTTTTTTGAAAGGGAGTCCCACTCCGTCGTCCAGGCTCCAGTGCAGTGGCGCAATCTCGGCTCCCTGCAAGCTCTGCCTTCTCCCAGGTTTATGCTATTCTCCTGCCTCAGCCTCCCGAGTAGCTGGGACTACAGGCGCCCACCACCACATCCGACTAATTTTTTTGTATTTTTAGTAGAGACGGGGTTTCACCATATTAGCCAGGATGGTCTCCATCTTCTGACCTCGTGATCCGCCCGCCTCGGCCTCCCAAAGTGCTGGGATTACAGGCATGAGCCACCTCCCTGGCCTGGCTGCTTTCTTAAAACCCTGATTCAATTAGAGCAGGGGTCAAAAGCTAAGGGCCTGGGGGAAATCTGGCTTACAGATTTTTGTTTGTGTGGAAATAGCTTTGATAAAGTTTGAACTGAAATACCTTATGGTGGGGTTAGCCGTCTAGACCAATTCAGACATTTATGTTACTTGCCTGGATCCCAGAGGCATTTGAGCTGATGATGTCTGTATTAGAACATTTGGGACCCTGAACTGGTGGAGAAGTGACTGTGATCTGAAAAGTCTTCTGAGTGGGCCCATTATGGGAGCCCCCTAGATCTCCCTAATTAGTTGATAGTTCAATTTTTCTAGGAGGCCTAGGGCTGTGGCAACTGAATTTGAATTCTTCAATGTATGTGGTTGCAGAGGTTGGGGAGATAGGATCCTCTCACCCCTGAGCTTTCTTATCTTAGCCCCAGGGGTTGAGATATTTTGCACCTGTTGTCCTGGGATCAAACTATCAGTGTAAGGTTGGAATCAGTCAGCCTTCAGTAAGTTGAGAAAGTGCTAGAAGGCCCTTTTCCCTTTTCTGTGCTTCCTACTGGAGAAAGGCAGCTCCCAGCAACCCTTAATTGACTGTCAGATATAATATTCTAATATAATGATGTTGGCATTAATGATAGTATATGGAGAGTCTTCTGCCCCTGTTTAAAAGAAAAATACAATCATTTGGAACATATTGCAATTAGGCATGCATCTCACATAACACCTTTTACCTGAGAATCTCAGACGTGTATAGAAATTAGCTGATTTACCTTTAATGAATGATATATTTTTAATTCTTAGAGCCTGCAGACCGCATATAAAAAACATAAATGGAATTCCAAGGTTGAAAGAAAAAGACAGAGCGTAAAAACAAATAAAATACATTGTCTTTTCAGGAGGGTTGAATATGTCCAATGGGAAGAAACATTGCATGTGATAGATAAAGGCATCAGTGTGACATGCTTATGAAAAAGCACGTTTTGCCCTCTAGCATTTTTCACCGTTAGATTCAAATAATAGTTAAACATTTCTCCTTTGTACCAAGAGCATCTATTACTCAGGCATCTTTAACTTTTGGTGACATCTACTGTACAAAGGGGAAAATGCTGTGGAGTCATTCTAGGAATGATAGTTGAGCTGCTTAGAGTGTATCTAGCTGTTATTTCTTCTTCTTCTTCTTCTTCTTCTTCTTCTTCTTCTTCTTCTTCTTTTTGTATTCACAATGCTATAACTTTTTTGATATTTCTCCTCAATATAAATAGTCCTCATTTTAAAAAGTAAAGATATTTAAATAATTTCCATATGCATTGTGTCATAGAAATATTGACCTGAACTGGCAAATTCTAACTTAATGTTCTGGCAAATAGTTTAAAGATTGTATTTCAACTTAATAACTTTGCTAAAACTCTGGTCTAATATTAGGAATGACATTAAGGTGGATATTTAAGTACATTCTCTTGTATTTAAAAACAGCTACATCTGAAGGCTGATTAAAATATTATCAATATTATAATAGTAATATTTACAGTAGAACTTGAATTTTAAAGGCAATTAAAGCTCCTAATAGGTTGTCAACTTTACTTTCTAGTCGCTGTTCTAGCTATAAAAAATAAGCACAATTATCTAGTATGCACCAGAAAATAGGCATCATTTATACACACTCCTAATTACACTCCATCTCAATCCTTTGGCTCTGTTCCACAAGTGATGGTTTGAAAAACACTTACATACTTCATAGCTCTTGATTATAACTAGGAAAATCTCTGAGGCATATGGTAAATCAACAACAAAGTAAACCACTTTTTAATTGAGTATTCATTATTTGCAGGTATTCTGCAAGACACATTTACCAATTAAGGTGATAAAATCATCCAGCTCCCAAAGAAAAGTTCAAAATAGGAAGATCTCAAGTTCTATAAAACAGCCTAGTCTCACCCACTCCTGTTAACAGGTGAGAAGATATTTCCCCCAGTTGACTATGGTTCTCCAGTTCTTAAAAAACAAACATAGTTTTTTCTAATTCTGTGAAGAACGTCATTGGTAGTTTGATAGGAATAGCAAAGACATGGAATCAACCTAAAAGACCATCCATGGTAGACTGGATAAAGAAAATGTAGCACATATACACAATGGAATACTATGCAGCCATAAAAAGAATGAGTTTATGTCCTTTACAGCATCATGGATGGAGCCAGAGGCCATTATCCTAAGTGAACTAACACAGGAACAGAAAACCAAATATCACATGTTCTCATAAGTGGGAGCTAAACATTGAGAACACATGGACACAGAAAAAGGAAACCATGGACACTAGGGCCTGCTCGAGGATGGAGGATGGGAGGAGGGAGAGGGTCAAAAAACTACCTATTGGGTACTCAACCTATTACCTGGGTGAAAACATAATCTTACACCAAAACCCCATGACACACAACATACCTATATAACAAACCTGCACATGTATCTCTGAACCTAAAATTCAAGTTCAAACAAACAAACAAAAATGCTTATTCTTCTAATCTTATTCTTCTTATGCATTGTAATCTAGTAGACAGACAGCCATTTCAAAGTTCATGGTAGGAGAAAAAACATATATGGTTGAAATAAACAAAACTAGAGTCTCGTGCAATGTTACATGAACAGGTTGAACTATTAAGCAATTCCCTTCCTATTGTGACTTCCTTTTCAGTCCTCAATATCCTTTTATTTAAATGACCCTGAGACCCAATAACCTGCTTGAAAGGATTAACCCATGTCAATAAATACATATATACATACATGATTATCTTTATAATTATGTGATTTAGTAATTACATATTTAATTTAACAATTATGTGATAATAATTATATATGGTAATCTTAATTATTCTGTGAATATTTATCAGCAAGGTTGGCTTGCCTATGAACAATAAAATATATGTTATCTCTTAAGGGTTTACAGCGTAGTAAAAGAATGCATCAACAGTTGAAACCAAAACAGAATGCGTTAAGCGACCAGATGAGGTACTTAGCATGAATTTAGGATTTAGAAAGAAAGAGTACTTCCAGCTGAGGGAATCAGAGGAAATTTTATGGACAAACTGATCCATTTGGTCAAATATGAGCAGTGTGTTTATTTTCAAAGTGGAGGTGTAGGTAATCTAGGTAAAGAGAAATTCAAAACTCATGTCACCATGGCAGCAGGAAAGCACAGACAAGAGTGGCCCATAGGTCTACTCATTGGATACACACTGGCTATGAAAGAAGTGACTAGGAAACAAACAGAGGTTGGGCCATCTCATAAAGGGAACTGAATTGCAAACGATGGAGTTTGAATATTTTCACCAGGAAAATTGAGTTGCTCATTTCAGATCCTTAGATCATGGTAGAGAAGTGTTTCCATATCTGCCTCTCAAGTCAAATTCCTTTTAGCGTCTACTCAGAGCTATTTTCCTGGGTTGGGTTTACCCTAGCCTCATTCTTCTTATGATTTTGATTTCTTACTGGCCTTAAACTAAGGCTTTTGGGTCTGTTATTTGCTATAAATCTTTTACACTAGATCAGTTTACACTTTGGATTCTGAAAAATCTTTGTTTTCCCCAATTTCTCTCAATATTACAAATTACAGACCAGTGGTCCCCAACCTTTTTGGCACCAGGGACTGGTTTCATGGGAGACAATTTTTCCACAGGCCAGCAGGGTTGGTTTGGGGATGAAACTGTTCCATCTCAGATTATCAGACATTAGGTTCTCATAAGGAATGCACCACCTAGATCCCTTGCCTGCGCAGTTCATAATAGGGTTCACTCTTCTATGAGAATCGAATGCCAAGGCTGATCTGACAAGAGGGGGAGCTCAGGTGGGAATGCTCACTCACCTGCCTCTTGCCTCCTGCTGTGCCGCCCAGTTCGTAACAGTCCGCAAACTGGTACCAGTCCATGGCCCGGGGACCAGGCACCCCTGTTAGACAACCACCATTTTGCCCTCAGAAATTACTTCTTATACTTACTGTCAATTTTAAAATACTTTACATTTCCTCCCCAAATATATTTTATCATATTCAGTCCTTGAATTTCCTTGATCACTTGTAGTAAGTAAAGGAGTATCCTGGGAATCCATCGGTCATCTCCCCGGACTATGGAAGGTGGGAAAATAATAGCATAGGAAAAGGCAAAGAGGCAGGAGGAAACTTCACCCAGACTTAGTCACTCTTACCCACCTTCCAACAACCCTGAGTCACTTTCTCTTAAAGTGTGAAATAATCCTTTCTGTGACCTGTCAACAAAATACAGAAACAACAGTTTTGAAATGCCTAATATATAGGCCCCAAAATATTCACAGCTAATTAAATTCAGTTGATAATTCAACTGCAAATCATAAATATACATGCTACTTGAGATTCTGCCTAGAATTTAATTTTCATCCTAATTCTAGCAATAACTAACCATTTTTCCACTATATCAAGTTTTGGGTTTTAAACACTAGGTCAAACAAACACAATCTTGAGGTTTCAGTCTATGAGTTTATAAATTTTTAAAATCATCTATCACTATTCTTCTACTAATCTCAGCTTATTGTAAAATTAAGTCACCATATGTTCTTTTTAGTTCGTGGTCTCAAGGAAAATAGGACAATTTCAACTAATAAAAGGAATTATAAAGATTTTTCACATTTCTAGAACTAATTATTAAAATGTTTGCATGAATCAACCAGCTTAATTTGGGCTCTGCACAAGTCTACAGTAAGTAGGTAAAATGACCATGAATAAATCACAGTTCTCTCCATAATTTCAGCTTGGTCCACTTGCTTTGAACTGGTGTTCCCACCTGCTTCACTCTCCCTTAGATCACATTGTCAGGACTGCCATCTACTGACAGAGCTGGCTGCATCTAAGTGAGATGATTTAAAAGAGTGGCCATGTCATTTGTTGACCAATCAGGACAGCTTTGAGAGTCCTGATGTAAAAAAAAAAAAAAATTTTTTTACATAGTGCTCCTCAAAAAAAAGTTAATTTTTTTCTAAAAAGAAAAATACAGATCTGTACAACTGAAACAAAATATTTAAAACTTCTTTGTATTCATTTCATTTTCTGAACCTTAAAAGATAATATAAGCAGAATAAATATTCTTGGTACATATCCATGTTCTAAAATAAAATTTTTTAGTGA
Organism: Homo sapiens; assembly: GCF_000001405.40. Classification (NCBI taxonomy): domain Eukaryota; kingdom Metazoa; phylum Chordata; class Mammalia; order Primates; family Hominidae; genus Homo; species Homo sapiens. Next base: position 89,482,157 of record NC_000004.12, on the reverse strand, counting down.
TATCTTTCTCTAATACCATGTCACTGGAATTTTCTTGAAAAGTATATTTTTAAAATATAATTTTATTATTTTTACATTTTTAAATTTAAATGCCTTTCTGAAATCATTTGATTTAACGTAAGGGATGATATATTTTCATTTAAATTTATCATCTTATTCAGTGCTTTCTATTTTTCTTGCCTATTTTATATTCCCTTGTCTCTCCATTCTTGCCTTATTTTTTTTTTTCAACTTTTAAGTTTCAGGGTACATGTGCAGGATGTGCATGTTTGTTACATAGGTAAACGTGTGCCCATGGTGGTCTGCTGCACCTATCAACCCATCACCTAGGTATTAAGTCCAGCATCCATTAGCTATTCTTCCTAATGCTCTCCTTCCTGTCTCCCCACTACAACAGGCCCCAGTGTGTGTTGTTTACTCCCACATGTCCATGTATTCTCATCATTCAGCTCCCAATTATAAGTGAAAAATGCAGCGTTTGGTTTTCTGTTTTTGTGTTAGTTTGCTAAGGATAATGGCTTCCAGCTCCATCCATGTCCCTTCAAAGGACATGACCTCATTGCTTTTTATGGCTGTATAGTATTCCATGATGTATATATACCATATTTTGTTTTTTATTTTTATTTTATTTTAGGTTCTGGGATACATGTGCAGAACGTGCATGTTTGTTACATAGGTAAATGTGTGCCATGGAGATTTGCTGCACTTATCTACCCATCATCTAGGTATTAAGCCCCACATGCATTAGTTATTTGTCCTGATGCTCTCTTTCCCCCTGCCCCACTGACAAGCTCAGTGTGTGTTGTTCTCTCTGTGTCCATGTGTTCTCATTGTTCAGCTCCTACTTATGAGTGAGAATATGTGATGTTTGGTTTTCTGTTCCTGCATCAGTTTGCTGAGGATGGTGGCTTCCAGCTTCATCCATTTGTCTGCAAAGGAAATGATCTCATTCCTTTTTATGGCTGCATAGTATTCCACGATTTACATGTACCACGTTTTCTTTATCCAGTCTATCATCGATGGGCATTTAGGTTGATTCCATGTCTTTGCTATTGTGAGTAGTGCTGCAATGAACATACATGTGCATGTATATTTATAATAGAATTATTTATATACCTTTGGGTATATACCCAGTAATGGGATTGCCTGGTCAAATGGTATTTCTGGTTCTAGGTCCTTGAGGAATCACCACACTGTCTTCCACAATGGTTGAACTAATTTACACTCCCACCAACAGTGTAAAAGCATTCCTTTCTCTCTGCAGCCTTGCCAGCATCTGTTGTTTCTTGACTTTTTAATAATGCCATTCTGACTGGCATGAGATGGTATCTTATTGTGGTTTTGATTTGCATTTTTCTAATGATCGGTGATGTTGAGCTTTTCTTCATAACGTTTGTTGGCCTCATGAATGTCTTCTTTTGAGAAGTGTCTGTTAATATCCTTTGCCCACTTTTTAATGAGGTCATTTATTTTTTTTCTTGTAAATTTGTTTAAGTTCCTTGTAGACTCTGGATATTAGAACTTTGTCAAATGGATTGATTGCAAAATTTTTCTCCCATTCTATAGGTTGTCTGTTCACTCTAGTGATTGTTTCTTTTGCTGTGCAGAAGCTCTTTAGTTTAATTAGATCCCATTTGTCAATTTTTGCTTTTGTTGCAATTGCTTTTGGTGTTTTCATCATGAAATCTTTGCCTGTCCCTATGTCCTGAATGGTATTGCCTAGATTTTCTTCTAGGGTTTTTATAGTTTTGTTTTTGACATTTAAGTCTTTAATCCATTTTGAGTTAATTTTTGTGTAAGGTATAAGGAAAAGGTCCAGCTTATTGATTATCCAGTTTTTATTGATTTGCAGATGTTGAACCAACCTTGCATCCCTCCCAAGGATGAAGCCAACTTGGTTGTGGTGGATAAGCTTTTTGATATGCTGCTGGATTTGGTTTGCTAGTATTTAATTCAGGATTTTTGCATCAATGTTCATTAGGAATATTGGCCTGAAGTTTTCTTTTTTGGTTATATCTCTGCCAGGTTTTGGTATCAGGATGATGCTGGCCTCATCAAATGAGTTACTGAGGAGTCCCTCCTTTTCAATTGTTTGGAATAGTTTCAATAGAAATGATACCAGCTCCCCTTTGTACCTCTGGTAGAGTTCAGCTGTGACTCTCTCTGGTCCTAGGCCTTTTTTGGTTGTTAGGCTATTTATTACTGCCTCAATTTCACAACTTGTTATTGGTATATTCAGGGATTCGATTTCTTCCTGGTTTAGTCTTGGAAGGGTGTATGTATCCAGTAATTTATCAGTTTCTTCTAGATTTTCTAGTTTATGTGCATAGAGGTGTTTATAGTATTCTCTGATGGTTGTTGTATTTCTGTGGAGTCAGTGGTCATATCCCCTTTATCATTTCTGATTGTGTCTATTTGATTCTCCTCTCTTTTCTTCTTTATTAGTCTAGCTAGTGGTCTATCTAGTTTATTAATTTTTTCAAAAAACCAGCTCCTGGGATTCATTGATTTTTTGAAGAGTTTTTTGTGTCTCTGTCTCCTTCAGTTCCACTTTGATCTTGGTTATTTCTTGTCTTCTGCTAGCTTTCGGGTTTGTTTGCTCCTGGTTCTCTAGTTCTTTTAGTTGTGATGATAGGTTGTTGGTTTGAGATCTTTCTGGCTTTTTGATGTGGGCATTTAGTGCTATAAATTTCCCTCTTATAAGTGTTTTAGCTGCATCCCAGAGATTCTGGTACATTGTCTCTTTGGTCTCATTAGTTTCAAAGAACTTCTTGATTTCTGCCGTAATTTCATTACTTACCCAGGAGTCATTCAGGATCAGGTTGTTCAATTTCCATGTACTTGTGTGGTTTTGAGTGAGTTTCTTAATCTTGAGTTCTAATTTGATTGTGCTGTGGTCTGAGAGACTGTTATGATTTCAGTTCTTTTGAATTTGCTGAGGAGTGTTTTACTTCTCATTATGTGATCAATTTTAGAGTAAGTGCCATGTGGCAATGAAAAGAATGTATATTCTGTGTTTTTGTGTGGAGAGTCCTGTAGATATCTACCAGGTCTGCTTGATCCAGAGCTGAGTTCACGTCCTAAATATCTGTTAATTTTCTGTCTCAATGATCTAATACTGTTAGTGTGGTGTTAAAGTCTCCCACTATTATTGTATGGGAGTCTAAGTCTCTTTGTAGGTCTCCAAGAAATTTATGATTTATGATTTTGGGTGCTCCTGTATTGGATGCATATATATTTAGGATAGTTGGTTCTTCTTCTTGAATTGAACCCTTTACCATTATGTAATGCCTTTATTTGTCTTTTTTGATCTTTGTTGGTTTAAAGTCTGTTTTGTCAGAAACTAGGATTGTGACCCCTTCTGTTTTCTGTTTTCTATTCCCTTGGTAAATTTCCCTTTATTTTGAGCCTATGTGTGTCTTTGCGCCTAAGATGGGTCTCTTGAAGACAGATGGGTCTTGGCTCTTTATCGAGCTTGCCATTCTCTGTCATTTAATTAGGGGCATTTAGCCCATTTACATTTAAGGTTAGTATTGTTATGTGTCAATTTGATCCTGTCATCATGATGCTAGCTGGTTATTTTGCAGACTTGTTTATGTGCTTGCTTCGTAGTGTCACTGGTCTGTGTACTTCAGTGTGTTTTTGTACTGGCTGGTAGTGGGTTTTTCCTTTCTATATTTAGTGCCTCCTTCAGGAGCTCTTGCAAGACAGGCTTGGCGGTGATGCATTCTCTCAGCATTTGCTTGTTCGAAAAGGATCTTATTTCTCCTTCGCTTATGAAGCTTAGTTTGGCTGAATATGAAATTCTGGGTTGGAAATTCTTTTCTTTAAGAATGTTGAATATTGTCCCCGCATCTCTTCTGGCTTGTAGGGTTTTTGCTGAGAGGTGCACTGTTAGTCTGATGGGCTTCCATCTGTAAGTGACATGACCTTTCTCTCTGGCTGCCTTTAACATTTTTTCTTTCACTGAAATCATTTTAAAAGGTAATTTATGATTAACAAATTTAAAATTGTTGGCATATTCAATTGACTCCTCTCTTTAGGCCATAATTAAGAAAAACCTTCTCTGTAGGTGCTGAAGTACCAGAGATATTCAGAGTAAACTCCATTAAATGGCAGGCATAGTCATATATATCATGTGGAATGTTGTAAGAGAAACCAAACTTATAAATTGTGAAGTAGATAACTAAATTAGATTTTAAATGGAATGTCACAAACTAATAATATTATCAATTTAAAGAAGTGGGAGATCAGAGGCCATACAGATTGGGCCCTTCTAGCAATTTTAACAAAAATATGGTATGTTTCCAGTCAAAAATTAAATTTTTTCCTTAGGCTTTGGAGACTAGAAAATCCTTGTTCTGTATTGTGGATAAAACAAACTTAGATATTGATTTTATACCTTCATTTGCACTGGCCAAAAGGATGCTCAGATCAGAGAGGCACTTCGTTCATAATTGTGCAAGATCATAAGTGTACATATTGTCATTATTGTTGCTTGATTTTGCCTTTAAGTTTATTTACTTGAATATATAATATAAATACAAATATAATATAAATTTTGAGTGTTTCAACTGATATAAAAATGTATACAAGAAAAGTTATCTTCACTTTTCTATCCTTCAGCTACTCATACCCCCACTCCCATGAGGAAAAAAAATATCGTCAGTTTCTTTTCTATTCTGTCAATGGTCTTCCAAGACCACTGTGTGTATACTTTTTCTTTTCTTCTTTTCTGTAGGAATGGAGCAAGCCATACACATGATTCTACCTTTTGCTGGATACTTTTAACAATATATGTAATGTAGTTTCCTATAAGGACATAAAGATCTTCTACAGTCTTCTTTATAACTGCTTAGTATTCCAGTTTCAGAATGCTGTACCAAAATTTGGCTATTCCATAATTTATTTAACATGACACGTACTAATTACATTAGGGTTGTTTTCAACCTTTTGCCATTTCAAAGAGTAAAATAATGAATAATCTTATAAATATATTATTATTTTACACACATAAAACATTTTTAATTTTGAAGGTTTTCTTCCAAAAGGTACTCTATACAAGTATTCTCAATTTACATTCCTACACAGATATGCTACATTTTTATTATATTTGCCAATTTGACTGGTGAGAAACAGTATCATTGTGATAGTATTCTCTTATTGTAAGTGAAGTCAGGCAGCTTTTCGTGATTAAGATCCATTTTTATTTTCTGCTAATTTGTATTATTTGCCCTTTTCTATTGGATTGATGATCTTTTCCTTAATGATTTTTTAGAGTTCTTTTTATATTAGGAAAACTACACTTTTGAAGGTAATAGCTGCAAATATTTTTTCCAGTTGGTCACTTTTCTTCAAGATATTTTACCTTGCAGAATTTTATCAATATCATCATCATCATCACTGTTTTATGGAGTTGAATTTATTAGTCTTTTTTGTATATATTCTAAGTTTTGGATCACACTTTATATATATTGTAAGTTTTGGGTCATACTTTCCCTCTCTGAGATTATTGAAAATATATTATTTTGTCAGTCTCCTTGATTCCAGCCCTGCTGTTTGACCTTCATTGTTTATGGAATCCTTTCCAACTATTTTTGAGTCTGGGGTTTATCTGTCAGCTGGTTTTACCAAAGAAGTGATTTGTGTTCAATTATCTTCTTGTTGCCTTCTTGTGATTTCTTAAAAGGAGAAACATTTTGGCTATATGTATTCAGGTTCAAACTGGAAGTCCTTTTTAAGAAAAAAATCTTATTATATACAATGTATTTCTGTAAGTCAAGTCAGATCCTTTGTAGAATGTGAATATTAATGCATAAACACAATTATCTTGATATACAATTAGTGCTGGGTTTTTGTTTATTAGCATGTTTGTTTTATATTACTTAGCTTCCTTTCACCAAAATATATGTTGATTTTTTAAATTGTCTTGGGGCACTGTCCTTCTAGGATTAAGTTGCACTATAATACTTTATAATTTTACACACAAACTTTTCTTACAACCGCAGGAGTTTGAGAGGCCTCCTCAGAACTCCTAATGCTCATCATGACCTCATTTGAGATTCAGAGAATCCAAACAAAATCATTTACGATAAAAGAGAAAAACTTGCCTTTGATGTTGCCACTGATGCATGAGGAATTAAAATGCCAAACAAGATGTGACCTATTTTAAAAACCCATAACAAACATTATTAAAATGGTTATTTATTTTGAAATGATCATGGAACATATGATTCAACATAAAACCTTGCAGTTTCCAATATGAATAAGCTTAGAAAATATATACTCAACATAGTTTTAACCAAATTATTAATTTTTATTCAAAATCTTTGGTTAATGTAGCAAGTTCATTGACAATTAACTTTTTTATATAGAAAAAGATCTAGTCAGACTGTTAAGAATATAAATTAATTAATGTTGTAGAAAATAAAATTTAGGTACAAAATATAACAGGATATTAAAATGAGACTTCATATGCTTCAGTTTCATGCCAGGCCCAAAAGAAAAACAGAACCATACATGCCAGCTGCCCTCCATTTCAAAGTATCTTGCTAAATCATCTATGTAGGACTGCGAAGTAAGTAGTAAAAAATATTTTTGCACTTATTGACTCATACCCTGATTTGAAAATATGTCTTGGTTTATATTCTATACAGGTTGTAACAGAATATCACAGATTAGGTGATTTATTTATTTATTCATTTATTAAGACTGTGTCTCGCCCTGTGGCCCAAGCTGGAGTGCAATGGCACGATCTCGGCTCACTGCAACCTCCGCCTCTTGGGTTAAAAAATAAAATTTATTTATTACAGTTCTAGAGGCTAGGAAGTCCAAGGGCATGGTGCTGGCATCTGGTAGGGTCTTCTTGCAGCATCATAACATGATGGAGGGCATCACAGGGCGAGAGGGTGACAGCGTGTGTGTCAGCTCAGGTCTGTCTTCCTATTCCTATAGTCACCAGCCCCATAACGAAGGCCTCACCCTGATGACCTTATCTAATTCTAATTACCTCCCAAAGGTCCCATGTCCAATCAACATATGAATTTGGGGATTCAGTTTCCAACACGTGAAATTTGCAAGACACATTCAAATGTTTGCAGGTTGTAAAAAGTTGAAGAAACCTAACTAAAGAGAGAATTTCTTTAAAATAAGTTGCCCAGATGCAGTGGCATTTTACCTATTTCTATTATGTGGCTAAGAAACAAGGTGTTTGTCCTGACCTCACAGCTGCGAAGTGGATCTTCCAAAGTGCTGCCCAGATAATTTGATATTTGTCCACTAAAGTTTAGAGATATAAACATTTGGTGTTTGCTTCACACCTGAGAAATTCAGAAGTGGAAGTTTGTACCTGGATCTGTAAAGAAAGAAGTCTCTATTTTCCATCAGTGGTTGGTCAGAGAGGTGTAATTTTTATGTTGAGAAGTGGGTTTTATAGGAAAGAACCTGACATGCTCTTTTAATGGGACACTCCTCTTCAAGAGCATTTGCTGCCAGGAAGGAGGAGCCTTTAGCAAGAAGAGGCTGTAGATACACTGTCCAATGGAGAAGCTGCTGGGAGACAGGGGAATGTAGGGAATAACTGTCACAGAAACATTCCCCACACACAAAAACTGAATTTTGATGTTTTTGCAAAGGGAGAAAATCTAAGAAAGCCACAAAAATATTCCAGAAAAAAAAATGAGCCCTGGGAATCTGCCATACTCAGAGGACACTAAATACCAAATTGTATCTGCCTCTGTCAACTAAGATGTTTTTCACATCTTTTGTTCTCCCTCCAGAACCAATCCAGGAAGTTGCAAGAGCAGCCTTGTGGGCCAAGTGATGCCAAGAAGGATCAGAACAAGGTAAGGAAATGGAGAAGTGTCCACACTCTCCTCCCCTGCTAAAGGTTTCTCAGATTGAAGCAGTGTGTCAGGGGCATTTTAAAAAGGCTTTAATTTGATTAAAGTGCAGAGGTTGGGTTATTAAAAGAGACAAGGTATACCATTTCAATACTGAGTCCCAATGGATGACTAGAATTTAGCAAGATAAAAGGAAACTTTTTTCCAAAACATAGGAAATATAGCATACCCATGTTGTATTCACCTCTTCTTCACTCTGTTGATGAGGAAGGGATTCCTACCCTAGGGTTAAGGAAATGGCTGAAAACACAACACCTGCCATTGAACAGATGAGATTGACAGGAGTTTATTAATCAGATATACGCAGAGCCCAGGGGAGAAGGACATCCTAAACCAAGGAGGACTATGTGGAGGTGCACTTGGGAATCGATGAACAAGCAGGGGCTGTGGGGGGCTTTGTAGTAACAAGAGGGTAGGGTGAACCCTGCTTCCTATGGAAGGATGTGAGTGGCTTCTTTGAATAATTTTGTGAGCTGGCACAAAAGTGAAGCCAGGGGACATAGGGATTGTGCCTGGTCCCCATGATAGGAGGGTTATTTGGCTAGGGGAGCTTATTGCAGAAGCAGAGGGGGAGGATAACTTGTTGTTAGGCCACTCAAGACCCTTCTAAAATTTCAGGCCTTCACTATAATATAGAAGCACCAGAAAATATTGTATATTTAGAGTCTTAGTACTATTTTGGAATGCCTTGAATGTGGAGTACAGGAAGAGAAAAGTTGGGATGAGGCTGAGAGATAAGCAGGAGCCAGAATCTAGTCTCAAATTCCTTTTTTATCTAGGTCTCTAGCTATAATAAGGTGAATGTTCGTATTAGGGCATAGTCAGAGACAGGTAGAACAATTAGGAAGCTGTTGGAGTCTTGTGGGAGAACGGAATGTACTAAAAGTAATACTGGGAATAGAGATACATGGATAATCCCAGAAACATTAAGAAGAAGAAAAACCAGTTTTCTGGATTAAGCAACTAGATAAATGACTATGTCAAGTTTCTCCAACCTGTGGCAGGCCATGGGCTACATGTGGCCCAGGACGGCTTTGAATGTGTCCCAATTCATAAACTTTCTTAAAACATTATGAGGTTTATGCATGAACCTTTTTTTTTTTTCACTCATCAGCTATAGTTAGTGTTAGTGTATTTTATGTGTGGCTGTGATGGTTAATACTGAGTGTCAACTTGACTGGATTGAAGGATGCAAAGTAGTGATCCTGGGTGTGTCTGTGATGGTGTTGCCAAAGGAGATTAACATTTGAGTCAGTGGGCTGGGAAAGGCAGACCCAGCCTTAATCTGGGTAGGCACAATCTAATCACCTGCCAGCAAGGCTAGAATATAAAGCAGGCAGAAAAACGTGAAAAGACTAGACTGGCCTAAGCTTCAAGTATCCTCTTATGGTGGATGCTTCCTGCCTTCAAACATCTGACTCCAAGTTCTTCAGTTTTGGGACTTGGACTGGCTTCCTTGCTCCTTAGCCTGCAGATGGCCTATTGTGGGACCTTGTGATTGTGTGAGTTAACACTTAATAAACTCACCTTTATGTAAATATCGATCCTATTAGTTCTCTCACTCTAGAGAACCCTGACTAATACAGTGGCCCAAGACAATTCTTCTGGTGTGGCCCAGGGAAGCCAAAAGATTGGACACCCAGGACTAGGTCTTTCACTGTAGTAAGGAAAACCAAATAGTCACAGTTCAGAAATAGAAATGCACTATTCACAAAACTACTACAAATTTTTCATACGGTAGGAGGATGAGAGTCATGTATTATAAATGTTAGATTTTTGCATTTCCTGTGTTTATTGATTGTAAGAAGCTTATAGCACAATAGAATCAATATCTGGGTGATGTGAAGTAAGTTTAAAACATAGTAGTCTCAAGTAATTTTTACTAGTTGGTTATACTGAGATGAGGCTCATATAAGAACTAATAGTACTTTGTGGTATTTGATAAGTACCAAATGATCAAAAATGAAAATAAGTTTTATAAAAGTATTTAAAGATATCTCACAATACTAATGAAAACTTCTTGCAAAACACAAAATATAAAATGTCATATTTTTAACTTTTTATGTTAGGAAAATAGTGCTGGAATTATGAACGAATATTTTTGCATAAAATTGTCCTTTTTATGTTTTAACAGTGAAAACTTAGCTATTATTAAGTTTGTTATCTATATTAAGACATTATCTATATTAATATCAAAAATTGACTGGGCCTGGTGTTCTGGCTTGTGCCTATAATCCAAACACTTTGGGAGGCTGAGGCAGGAGGCCTACTTGAGTCCAGGAGTTTGGGACCAGCCTGGGCAACATAGCAAGACCCTGTCTTCAGAAAAAGAAGAAAAAAACGGATTGGTTATATAAATAACAGTACAATTATATAATTGAATATTATGCAGTCATTAAAAAATAATAAAATAGAACTGAATGTATTCTTTTAAAAGACATAAACAATATATTACTTTAAAATGCAGCTAAGGGAGAATATTATGGCACAGTTATATCTCTATCTCTCCCGCTAGCTCTACATGCGTAAGAAATTCTGCAAGAAATTACCAACAGGTTAATAGTGGTTATTCTGATAATGTGAAATTGCAAGGTTACTCTCACTTTCTCTCTACCATTTGAAATTTTAGAATAATAAAAAAACCCTGACTAGTATTAGTCAGGGCTCTCCAGAGAAACAGAACCAACAGGACATATACAAATACATAAGAGAAAGATTTATAAGAATTGGCTCATGTGATTATGGAGGCTGAGAAGTCCCACAGTATGTCCTCAGACCCAGAAAAACTGGTGGTGTAATTCAGACTGAGTACCACGGCCAAAGAAGCAGGAGAGCAGATGATGGATTTCACAGTCTGGGGCCAACAGCCTGACAAGGTAGGGAGTAGGCAGAAGTGTGCTGGTGTGAGTCCCAGCGTCTGAAGGCTCCGATGTGCAAGGGTATAAGCAGATGGATGTCCCAGCTCAAGAAGAGAGAAACAGAATTTGCCCCTTCCTTTTGGTTTGATATGGGCCCTCAACAGACTGCATGATGCCAGCCTATATTGTTGAGGGTGGATCTTCTTTGCTGAGTCTACTGACCGAAATACTAATCTCCTCCAAAACCACCATCACAGATACACTCAGAAATATTTTCCTAGCTACCTGGATATCCCATATTCCAGTCATATTGACACATAAAGTTAACCATCACAATATGTTATCTGAAAAAAAAATTTATGAAATGACTTCTATTGTTGCCTTATGAGGAGCTTTCTGAACAACCCTTTTTTAGACAGACAAAATCGTACAGGCCAAATGACATAGAAACCCTTTCTTCTATGTTTGCATCCCAACTCCTACCACTGAGTGCTTTCCATTCCCCAGCAACTAAACTTAAAACTGATATATTTCATAGGATTTGCTGCATAGCAAACTCATGACTACTTACTGTTCATTATTTTAGCTTTACATAGTGGTAAATTACACAAAGGTGTCTGGCCATTTGAGAAAAGCCCAAATACAGGGCTTCCTATTTTTATTAAGGTAAAACATGCTCTCAATAATCCAAAGTTGAAATTATGGAACAATTTTTCATTTCCTCTTTGCTTTCTATATTATGTCACCAACAAGGTCACCCATATACTTCCACTCCTTTCTATTCTTTACAATAGGGATAGGTAAATGTTTTCCTGTAAAGGACCAGGTAGTAAATATTTTAGCACAACATGCTTGTATTTTAAATACACTTTGCTAAATGAAATAAGTCAGACATTAAAAGGCTCATTTTGTATAATTTCATTAATAAACACTCTGGAAAAGGCAAAACTATTGGAATAGAAAGTAGCTTAATGGTTGCCGGTGGTAGAGGAATGATGGGAGAGGTGAATATAAATTAGAAGCAACTGGGAACTTGGGGGATGAGAAAACTGTTCTGTATGAAACTGTGACTGTGGACACATGACTCATTGCATTTGTCAAACTCACAGAAACGTAAGCCGCAAAGAGTGAATTTTACTGCACGTTCCTTTTTTAAAAATCAAACAGGATGTGTGGAGGAGTGGAACGCAAACTGCCAAATAAATCTAGCTGTATTACAGATGAATCACATGATCACACTAAAGGACATGAGGAAGAAAGGAGCTGACTTAAGTAACTTTGGTAAGCAGTTATGTGACGGTATATTTTAAAGACAAAAAGTAATGTACACTAACACTCTGCTCTAGTGTAGGGGTTGGCAAACTTTTTGAGTAAAAAACAAGATAGTAAATATGTTAGGCTTTGTGGGTCATATAGTCTCCATTACCACTTCTCAACCCTGCTGTTGGAGCACAGAAGCAGCCATAGACAATACATAAATAAATGAGTGTGGCTATGTTTTAACAACACTTTATTTATAAAAACAAATACAGGGTCAGATGTGGCTTGTGAGCCATAGGTTGCTAATTCCTGATACAGTTGGCAAATTAGTCTCTTACATGGGTATGGGTTTCATTTCATATTTTATAGTAAGGTTGAGCTAATAAGTAAATATAGTGTAGACAGTGAAAGCTGAGTTTCTCACTGTCAAAAGAAGAAGTTACAAATAAGGAAAGGGTGGATGCTGGAATGAACCACTGGTACTGGATTAGAGATGGAGATATCAGTATGAACTCATGATTTTCAAATATCTGCAAATGTAGATAAACAAATATGAGGCTCATGCCTTATGTTTATAGGCATGAGTTAGTGTAATACATGTATCTCCAGTTGTATCCATTAAAATGTGCTAGAAGAAGTATCATGCCAGCAGCAAAGAGCTTCATTTCTAAATATCATGTGCTCATAAAAGGAACTATGGTTCCTTGGAAAAATGATTCATTTCAGGGTTATGGCAGGAAAAATATAAACAATCCTGGAACAATTTGTGATACTGGAGAGTAAGAAAGTAATTAAAAATGAGCAAATAAAATATCAAAGCATATTCAAAGGGCAAAAGAGACAACCTGAAAAAAAATCCCAATAGCCAAAATTAGGACAATTTGAGAAACAAAAAAAGTAATGATAGTATTGTATTGTAACCCAAAGAATGAAATAAATACTCATTCTGATATTAAAAAAAAACTGAATAAATAAATCAGTAGAGGAAAAGAGACAAATCATCCTTACGAAATATTTCTAATTAAAAACTTAAAAGGCATAAGGGAAATAGAAAATAGAAAGTCATTGCTAGAACACCACAGCAATAATTGACTTATGCAGGATCAGTGATGGATCCTAAAATTGATAGGTAAAATTTAAGTAGAAATAAGATTTTGCATAGTCACTGTGTGTCCATTTGGACTGCATTAACAAATGATCATAGACTGTGTGGCTTATAAACAACAGAAATGTATTTTTCAACAGTTCTGAAGGCCAGTAAGTCTAAAATAAACACACTGGCAGGTTCAGTGTCTGGTGAGGACCCACTTCCTCATAAAAAGCTATCTTCTCATTGTAACCTCGCATGGCTGAAGGTGCAAGCAATCTCTCTGAAGTCTCTTTTACAACAGCACTAATCCCATTCTTGAGGGCTCCACCCGAATGACCTCATCACCTCCCAAAGGCCCCACTCCCAAATACCATGACCTTGGGTGTTAGAATTTCAGGACATAAATTTGGAAGGAACATAAACATTCAATCCACTGCAATCACAAAGTATCTCTCTCAAAATATTTAGTAATCACAAAGAGAAAAACAGCAACTTTACAATGGAAAAACATGGCAGACGCCAAGTGATCAAGATTAATATAATCAGTAATAAGACATATCAATGTCATTTACTTTGGATATGATGCATTCAGAAGTGCATATCATCAGAGGTAAATGATATTGATATGCATTATTCTTCTTAATAATGCATAGCCTTAATATAATCAATAAAAAATCTAACAAACCCAAATGGAGCAAAGTTCTATAAAATAACTCCTCTTCAGTAATATTAAAAACAAGATAAGGAAAGACTGAGAAAGCATCTCAGATTGGAAGAGGCTAAGGACATTCAGCAGCTATGTACAATGTGAGGTTCTAAATTGGATCCTGAACCAAAAATAATAAAATAAACTAGTGAAAAAATGGTGAAATCTGAATAAATTCTGTAGTTTCATTAATAGCATAATACCAAGGTTAATTTCCTAGGTTTGATCATTTTATTCTTTGGCTGTGTAAGATGTTGGCATAAGGATAATCTGGGTAAATATATATAAAATAGACTCTGTACTACTTTTTGCGTCTCTTCTGTGTGTCTAAAATTATCACGAAATTTTAAAAAATGTTAAGGCTAAAAATTCATCTGCTGCACACCAATTATAAGTATAGGATTAAATGGTGGGGCTATTAAAAACCTTTCACAATGGTATATAAATGCCTATTCAATATAATTAACATATACTTTACAGATTAGATGATTTTTCTTGGTGTAACCCATTTGTCATCATGGACTCGGGGTTAAAGGAAAGCATATGACAACTGCCAGTAGGATCCAGCTCTGAAGAAATTAAATACAAGGTCAATGATGATGATCTGCTTCCCTGGTACAGCTTTGCTGAAGCTTCAGGACTCTGTGAGAAGCCCAGAATTTGACTTGGCACCCAAGCTAGCCTAGAACCAACAACATTAATGCAAAGAGGCTCTGAACTAGGAAAGTCTAAAAGTCTAAATAAATACACTGTCTCTCCATGTCCTGTACATATGGATTCAGAAGTGTTCCCATGATCTGAGATAGAGAATACTGAGAAGGCTAATGGACTGACAAAGGTTGGAGGGTCATGGCTGAAATATTCTGGGATTTCAATATTGGAGGCAAGTGACTAGAACCATTTCAGAGTAGGTGCCAACATAATGTCTCAAAACACTATACAGAAGTGGTCACATCCAGTGGATAGCAGTCAGGGGTTGGTAAGACTGCATGCTTCTCAGAAAACTGGCAAGGATTCCTATGACTATGCCTTCAAAACCATTTTCTCCTATTCCTACAAGGACTTTTGAGTCTCCAAAAAAACTCAGAAATCACCTGAAATTAGATCACAGGGAAAATGAGGAAATCTAAAAGACTGAAAACTTGCACAAAAAAACCTAAAACAAACCAAAGAGATTTATGCTGGAAGAAATTGAGACCTTTATTTATATTCTGAAATAGGGTCTTTTGCAGAAAATAAAAATGTTACATTTTTACTTGCAAGTCTGAGAAGAAATTACTGAATTAGTGGCCTTACAATCCCTATTTTTTATTACCATTTGACTAAAAGTTTTACCATTATGTGCCCAACATGATAGTATGTATTTGATATATATTTGTCACATAAATCAATTAATAAAAGATAAGGTCACTACCCTGGAGCTCAAGACCCAGAGAGGCAGGCAGACATGTAAATAGATAATATTAATATTTAAAACAATCATTAATGAAAGATGCAACACACCTAACCATGTCTCTCTACAAGAAGCAAAAAAGATTTCAGAGAAGAGTGGTGTGGATCTTGAAGGATTAACAGGGGTTTGACAAGGATCTTCTGAACTAGAGAGAAACATAAACTTTCTTGGGGTTGAAACCATTTATTTTAGACTTCTTAATATTTTCTCTGAGAGACATTCAGCAAATATATTAATTTGATTAGAGTTTTAGTTTACAATCCAATGTAAAAATAAATTGCCAGTTCCTAAAACGTATTTCCAACTGATGATGTTAGAATGCTTTTTATAGCCAAGTTGATAACTATAGTGAGTTTGTATAGTTGGTGAGGTCTATTTATGAAATACTTACCATGGGATCAAATCAAATAATGATCATGAATGAGCATGCAAGTAAATTGACCTTTTTTAATTTTTTGTTTTAAATATATAAAAATTTAATAATAATGTTATCTATGGAAACCTCAGATTTTCTGAGAAAATCTATGCTTTTGTTTGAACTTCTCTGCCTACATTATTAAAATTTGATTGTATTTATTTAAAAAGTACTGAGCTTTAAATGTTATATAAAAGGTGAATTTGATCTCTCTTATCCCTGCTTTGAATCTTCTTACTCTCAATAAATCAAGAAATACATTAAGAGAGAGCAGGGAGGGAGGAAGCGAGGGAGAGAGAAGCAGAGACAAAGAGACAGAGAACTTCAATTAGAGACACATACTGATCACAAATGGATACAGTTTTTTTTTTTCAGATTTCAGTATAAAATTATAGAATCATGAAATCTAAATTGTATTTCTGGAGACAAACTTAGAAATCATCTCTTTAGTTCCTTTGTTTTACATATAATATTTATTAAACTACAAATTGGGCTTTATTCAATAAACAGAGAAACATTTTAAATGTCTTAGTTTGAACTATTACTATTTTTAGTTTAGTTTGTTTTAAGAACTTTATTGGGATATAATAGACATATAAAATTAACCATTTTAAAGTGTACAATTCAGCGAGTTATAGTAGAATAACAGTTATGCATTCATCACCAACATCTAATTTTAAAACATTTTATCACTCCAAAAAGAAACACATACTTATTACAGTCACACCCCATTCCCACCCTCCCCCAGCTCCTTGCAATCTAAGGTACTTTCTATCTCTATAGATTTGCCTTTTGTGAGTAGATTCTTTCACTTAACTTAATGTTTTCAAGTTTCATCTATGTTGCAGGAGGTGACAGTACTTTATTCCTTTTTACTGCTGAATAATATTTTATTTTATGGAAATACCACATTTTACTTATCTATTCATCAGTTGATAGGCATTTGGATTGATTCTACTGTTGGACTATTTAGAATAATGTTGCTATGAATATTTTTTTTGAGGCAGAGTCTTGCTCTGTTGCCCAGGCAGGAGTGCAGTGGCATGATCTCATCTCATTGCAGCCTCTGCATCCTGGGTTCAAGTGATTCTCCTGCCTCAGCCTCCTGAGTAGCTGGGACTACAGGTGCGTGCCACCACACCCAGCTAATTTTTGTATTTTTAGTAGAGATGGGGTTTCACCATGTAGGCCGGGATGGTCTTGATCTTCTGACCTTGTGATCCACCCACTGTGGCCTCCCAAAGTGCTGGGATTACAGGTGTGAGCCACTGCACCTGGCCGAATATTTTTATTCATAGTTTTTATTCAAGTTTTTATTTGGACATATACTTTAAATCATGGGTCTATAACAAGGAGTTGAATATTCTGGGTCAGATAGAAACTCTAGGTTAAAATTCTGAGGAACTGCCAAAATGTTTTCCAAAGTGACTGAGCCATTTTAAAATCCCACCAGCCTTGTATGGTGATTCCAATTTCTTCATGTTCTTGTCAACATTTGTTATTGTCTGTCTTTCTTGATATAGCTGTCTGTCTTAGTTCCTTTATGCTGCTGTAGCAAAATACCTGAGACTCAGTAATTTGTAAACAACAGAAATTTATTTATTATAGTTCTGGAGGCTGCAAAGTCCAAGAACTGGGCACTGGTAGATTTAGTGTCTGGTGAGGGCCTGTTCCACTGATGGTGGGTGTCTTCTCATGGTAGCGTCTTCAAATGGAAGAAGACAGAAGGGCAAAAAAAAGCCTAAGGTTGTTCCTTCCAGCCCTTTTATAAGGCACTAATCCATTCATGAGGGCAGAACCATCACAACTTAATCACTTCCTAAAGGGCCTCTCTCTTAACACCACCATAATAGGGGTTAGTTAAGTTTCAACATGAATTTTGAAGGGGACATATTCAAACCATAGCTTTGTCCTAGTAGTTGTGAGGTAGTATCTCACTGTTGTTTTAATTTGCATTTCCTTAATGGCTAATGAGGGTGAGCACCTTTTCATATATTTATTGGCCACTCATTTGTCTTCTTTGCAGATATGTTTGTTCAAATCTTTTCTTCCTTTTTAAGTTGGATTATTTGTCTTTCTATTATTGAGCTGTAACAGTTTGTCATGTATTCTGGATACCACTCCCTTATCAGATTTATGATTTGCTAATGTTTTCTCTCTCTGTGAGATGTCTTCACTTTCTTGATTGTTTCCTTTGAAGCACAAAAGCTTTTAATTTTGATAAAGTCCAATTTATTTTTTGTGGGGTTTTTTTGGCAACTTGTGCTTTTGGTGCTATTTCTAAGAAACCATTACCTAATCCAAGGTCACAAAAATTTAGTCCTACTTTTTCTAAGAGTTATAGTGTTAGCTCTTACCTTTGGGTCTATGATCCATTTTTCAATTAATTTTTGTATATGATGTGAGGTATGGGGTTTAATGTCATTCTTTTTCATGTTGTCCCATTTTTTGAAAAGACTATCCTTTCTCCCATTGAATTGTCCTGGCATACTGGTGGAAAAGGTACTAACCAAAAATGTAAACGTTTATTTCTAAAATTTCTACTCTATTTCATTGTTTTAGGGTTGAATTTGTAATAATGCCTATGCTAGTACCTGTCCCCACAATGCTTATTTTCTTACCAAAATGGTTTAGAATGAAATTCAACCCTCAAAGTCAGCAGAGGTATTTTCTTAGTTCATTTTGTCCTGCTATTGTAGAATACCACAGGCTTGATAATTTATAGTAAAACAGAAATTTATTGGCTCACAGTTCTGGAGGCTGGGAAGTCCAATATCAAGGTGCCAGTATCTTGCAAGAGACTTCTTGGGGCACCATTCCATGGTGGAAGGTGAGAGGGTGAGAGAAAGAGAGCAAGAAAGGGCTGAACTCATTCTTTTTTAAGGAACCCACTCATTGATGACAGCATTAATCCACTCAGAGGACATGCCCTCATGGCCTAATCACCTCCTAAAGGTCACACTTCCCAATGCTGTAGCACTGGGTATTAAGTTTACACCACATGCTTTTTGGTGGGACAAATTCAGACCATAGCAGATTCTTTTCTTCCTGTTGTTGGCACTAGTATCCAGACACAGTCTTGAAAAGTCAAGCAAAGAAATTCATTGTGCCTTTTTCTCTTTGTATCTATCTTCCTTCGTTTCTCTCTTATTGTTGAAGTATACCTTTGTTTTAGGTTTAGGATTGTTGTTGTTAGAAATAGTGATTTACTTGGTCTCCTTTACTATATGTAGATTCTAAACTGTTCAACATAATGAATTTGATTACACACATTCTCTGTTGATAATGACTTTGTAAGTATCAGCTTTTACAACCTATCTGTACTCAGATAGGTTTCTTTTGTATCAGCAATATATTACTCTTATAAAGAAGTGAAAAAGCAAGATTTGCTGTGAATGTTTTAAATTTAAATGTAACATAATTGAAAGACAACTGAAAAGACCTGAAAATTTATTATTATCGTGTTTGTTGATATAATGACAATTAATGAAGATACTTATTGTCCCATTACCATTCTTTAAATATTTCTAATTCTAATGGACTCCAAAGCTCCTAGAAAGCTTTATGAGTTCATGTATTAGCCCAACAAATATTTAAAGGGCACATCCTATGTGGCTAGTATTGTTTTAAGTACATAGGATTTATAAAGATAAATGAGGCATAATCCCTCTTATGAAACAGGTCTGCTAGAAAAGAAAATTTCATACTTAAAAAATTGTAACACAGCCAGGCACACTGGTTCAGGCCTGTAATCCCAGCTACTTGGGAGGCTAAGGTGAAAAAAATCACTTGAGGCCAGGAGTTTGAGACCAGCCTGGACAACATAGTGAGACCCTATCTCTAAAAAAATAAAATGAAAAGAAACCATAAAAAAAGTGATGTGGACTACTGAAAGACACAATAAGTATTAAGGGAATTGAGGCAAAGTTGAATTGTGGCTGGAGCAAGTGAGATAAGTGGGAGACTATAAGAACATTTAAAGAAAGATGTAAAATGATGAAAAAAGTTTATCTAGAATTTATTTTATCTCCCTCTAAAATATTATGCCTATAAATCAAAGGAGTTCTTCCCATTTCTTCCAACATTCCTCCCTCGTTCTCTCTCTTATTATCTTTTTCTCTTCTACCCTTTCTCCTCTCTCCCTTCCTCCACATTTCTTACTTGCCAGGAACCAATCTGGAGTAGAGAAAGAGAGTAAGAGGGTACAGTGATTGAATCAAGCTGATTGAGCATGTGTAGTGATGGTGACATCTCCATGTTAATATGAATATCATCATCTTTTAGTCATTATAACTTAAGCCTCAAAGTACTTCATTGAAAATACTGAGGATTTTAAACAATCTGACAAATAGAAATGGATCCATGGACTAGATTTTTGTCTCTCTCTCTCTCTTTTTTTTTTTTTTTTGAGATGGAGTCTTACTCTTGTCACCCAGGCTGGAGTACAATAGCACCATCTCAGCTCACTACAGCCTCCACCTCCCGGGTTCAAGTGATTCTCCTGCCTCAGCCTCCCGAGTAGCTGGGATTACAGATGCCTGCCACCACGCCTGGCTACTTTTTGTATTTTTAGTAAAGACGGGGTTTCACCATGTTGGCCAGGCTGGTCTCAAACTCCTAACCTCAGGTGATCCGCCCTCCTCGGCCTCCCAGAGTGCTGGGATTACAGGCGTGAGTCACCGCTCCTGTCAGATTTTTGTCCCTCTTAAGCCACACATCTCAACTAACCTTTTGAAAAGAGTTAGTCAGCCTTTGATAAAAATGCCAAAATCATTTGAATTAAACTTCAAATTATACAGATTTTTTAACTGCGGAAAACATGGGGATTGCTAAATTACCATTTTAGCCCATAACTTCAGTCATTGAATGAACCTAAAATAAAGCCAGATGAACTAATTCATACTTTAAGCACAAAGAAAGCAAACGCATTTTCATTAAACTTTAGAAATACTGCTGTAGTACTTCTGGCCATGTAAAATAAGAAATTATTTTTACACATAATGTGGACAACTGAAGAATGACTTAACACCTTTAAATTTTTCAATCTAAAAAAGAAATAAAAGATTACCTGTTGTCCACAAGTTAGAAAGCTGATAATATTCATGTTAAACATTCTATTTATCCTCCTTTTTAAAATTGTGGGATGGGGAAGTTGGAAAACGATAAATTATTTATGCTGTCATAGGTTATTAGAATACAGCATTTGGAACTGGTGATTCTGAGTATGAGGAATAAGATATTACATCACACTTGCCAGGAAGTGATCAAAAGACTCTTAAGCTACAGAGGCTATTGCCATATACCCTGCTTTTTAACAACTTATACCTTTTTAAAAGTAAATGTGTGTATGTTTATGTGTGTGTGTGGTTGTGTATGCCAGAGAGTAAATAAAAAGAACACAAATGCTTATTTTGAAAACAATGTATTAGATATGTTAATTATCCAAAGGAGCATTTATCCAAAAAATATTATTTTATGCCAGCTTTCTACCTATGTATGTACACGTCTAAATATTTTTAAATTTCACCCAGAAAACTTTTATTTGCCATGATTTTTTACTCAAACCTGTGAAGAACAATCCTTTTTTTGTTAAACAGCTTATTCTTTACAATAAAGGACATGACACCCTTACAAATGATGTTTGCAAAGTATTTTCAAGCAAAATTAAAGTAGTATAACTCTATCATTAAGATCTCATGCAAGGCAGATGGGTTCCACGTGGTAACAACGTATTGCAGACTACCTTGACATTGATTTGAATGGAACCTCAAGGAACCAGTAAAGATTCCTGTGCTCTTCGTGCCTGTCTCTCACCTCTCCCAGGGCCTTGCTCCATCAATTATTTGCACTCTGTCTTATACATTCTTCACTTCAACCCACAAAAACATCAAGTCTCTCTTATTCTAAAAATTTCCATTCTCTCCAGTTCTATTCAACATACTTCCTCATAATCTCTGCCAAACTTCTTAGAAAATATAGTGCATTTTCATTCATCCTATACCAGTCCTCATTGAGATAGAGAGTTCTAGCTGCCTATCTTGTATCCACACTCCTGTTCTTTGTACCTAACTGCTCCCTGATCAATGCCCACCTGAAATATTTTATTTCCCAGTCTTTCTGACCACTGTTGATCTTCAATGGGTTCTAAGCAGAGGTTAGGTGGACTTTTTTAAAAAAGTGTCATAAACTAAGTTTACAATATTGACATGTACCTTCTTGCCATTAGTTCTTTCTCCTTCCTCCTGTCTGGAATACAGGCGCAGTGGCCAGAGCTCCAGCAACCATCTTGGACAATGAAAAAACCTTCACAATGATAGCCATGGCGAAACACAGTGGAGTAGGAAGATAAAAGAGACTGAGAACCGGATAACCACGGAGTTCCATACCAGCTCTCCTGATACCTTTCATAAAAGAGTGAAATGAGCATCTACCTTTTTGTTTTGCTTCATTATTATTTGGCTGGGTTTTCTTTTAAGTTACCAATAGTCTATTTTTACTTGTACTTTAGCTGCTTTTATGTATTAATATACCATTGAATGCATGTAAATCTTCATATAAGTCATAAACTATGTAAGATTAGATAACACAGTAGACCCCACCCCAATTTACAGGAGCTATTTTACAAGACCCTCTATGGATGCCTGAAACTGTACATAGTACCAAACCCTATATATACTATGTCTCTTCCTATACATACATACTTATGATAAAGTTTAATTTATAAATTAGGCACAGTACTCTTGTGCTTTAGGGCCATTATTAAGTAAAGTAAGAGTTACTTGAGCACAGGGATACAATACTGCAACAATTGATCTGATAACCAAGATAGCTACTAAGTGATAATGGACAATGCCAGACAAAGGGAAGTTAAGCCTCAGGAGGGACAGCATGGGCCATTGCAAGATTTCATCATGCTGCTTAGAATGATGCACAATTTAAGATGTATGCATTGTTTACTTCTAGAATTTTCCATTTAATATTTTCAGACCACAGTTAACTTGGGTAACTGAAACTGTGGAAAACAAAACTGTGCCTAAGGGGGGACTACTGTGTTATTTAAAGCTTTAAACTTTAATTTCAAAAAATATACAACATTTTAAGAAAATATAGTTCAGTGCATATACCACATTGATTTTAATTAGTTGATCTTTTATATACATGTTTATCTATGCAAGAATATGTGTAAGAAGTGTATGGAAGTTCAGTTGTTTTCTGATTTTATGACTTCTGATAAGCTTAGGAATTCCTTAGATAAATAGGAATTATTTACTAATTATTTTTAAGGTCGTGCAGTCAAATAAAATTCACAGAAATGAATCTCAAGTTGATATTAGAGAAAAATGCAATCATTGTTAATATTAAAAATTCCTCAGTAAAAGAAATATATTTTAAGATTTTATGTATACACAAATTATTGTTTTTATTTGAGCCAAACTTAATTGATACACTCGTGTGCCCCTCAACCTCTAAAATCTTTTTTCATCTTTTTCCTCTAACAAAACTCCTCTCTTAAAGGTCTTTAGTTAACTCAAGTTGCCAAATTCAATATTTAAATGCTAAATCCAAGAGCCTCATGTCATTTCTCCTCTACTTTTGATCACACAAACCATTCTTCTTTTTTTTTCCTTCATTGTTCACTCCTGGGTTTTCTCTTACTTCTCAGATCAGTCTCTTTCATTTTCATTAACTCTTTTCTTCTAGCTCCCTGTTAAGTATTAGCTTCCTATAGTCTATGTCCAAGCCCAAGCATTTCTTCTTACTGTATATCTCATACAATGCCTAAACTTAACTTCCTATGATGACAATGCTTCCAAAACTTACATCTTAATCTGGATATTTTGCTTGAGTTCCACATTCATGTTTCATAGTTCTTGTGGCCCCACAAATATATCCTGTCAACAAATTTAGATGGGCGTAAAAGTCACTATCATTCCCTGAGAGTCTGTCACATTTTAGACTCTGCTCTGCTCCATGACTTGGGCAGGGAGGAGCAGTCCTACTGAAAACAGCCCACAATATCCTCACCCAAGAGGAAATGACAAAGATAAAAACCTTGTGCCTCTGAGTGAAAGCTCTCTGTTTCAAGTAAGGAAAGTCCAAATCTACCTGGTTTAAGTGAATAAGGAAACACACTGGCTCATATACCTGTAAATTTCTGGAATAAACTAGGGGCAGTATGGTTTGACCCAGTAGTTTAATCATTGTCTTCAGGAATACTAATTTTTCCTCTCTACTTCTTGGTTTTGTTTTGCACTTTGCTGGCTTCTTTCTCAATTATATTCATCTCAGTGGTAACGAAGATGGGCAATAACATCTATAAGCTTATATTTAACGAATTTAAAATTTTTAGTGGGAAGAAATTTCTTCCCCAATAATTCAAGCAAAACTCAAGGAATCATTCTCGTTGGCTTGGGCTAGGTCACCGTCCCCTAAGTGATCATTAAAACTTTCACTACCTCCCTTCCACCCAAATAAGTGGGCCCACTGACCTGGACCTCTTGATATTGTGATATAATAAGAAACATATAGTTGGGCTTCATCCATAGTTCCTGGCACAAAGCTTCTAAAACCCTTGTATTTTGTTATAATATTTGGTCTTTATGCCCAATTCTGGACACAGAGCTTCTAAAACCCTTGGAAGTTCCTGAGAGATAGGGGTCAGAGGACCATCTTTTGTTATTCATAATAAGCCTCTTTCAACCATACCTGAGTTTCTACTAATAAGATGACTTTTGATGGACTTCCAGATAGCTTCAGCATGAGAGCTTGTTGCTACAGGAATCAACCATTGATTAGAAGGTTGAAACTTTCAGCCCCATCCCCCAGCCTTTGGGGAGATAAGAGGGGCTGGAAATTGAGTTAATTATCAATGATCAATGATCTACTCAGTCATGCCTACATAACGGACATTGCATAAAAACCCTAAACAGTGGAGTCCGTGGTGTGACTGAGCCCTTAAATTGTGGGAGCTGATCCTAATTCCAGGTAGTTAGCATCACAATTGAATTAAATTGTAGGACACTCAATGGTGTCCTACAGTTGGAGAATTGGTTGTTGGTTTGAGGAAAACCCCCATACTTTTGGTATGAGAAGAAGTGTTCTGTGGGTAGAAAGAGATCCTAGTAGCCCACACCTATTTTCCTTTCTCTGCCCTGCAATTCTGCCACTTCAGAGTGCCTTTTTAAAATTTTTACAGTCGCACCCTGGTGGCTGGAATCAGCCAGAGTCTGCAGTGTTATCCAGGCAGGAGCCCATAGTAGAACTTGAGTGGGTCAGATTCCCATTGCTCCCCTTGGGTGTACTCACTGACTCTCTAGCCCATTCATTGTGGTAAACCAGATGCCTGCAGAGTTCCAACAATCACACCTGTAGGGTTATCCTGGGACCTGGAGCCAGCTTCTGGAGCCCACGAGGGTGACCTGATTCTAAGATGGTGGCCTGGTGAGCAGATTATACCCACTGGCTAGTACAGTAATTCTTTTGTGGTATCATGTAAAATTTTATCCTCAGAATGGTTCAGAAATACTGATTTTGGGTGACTCTTACACATGTTGACACAGAGCCTTTTTACCTTGACATATAAGTCTCTCACACGGCATTCTGTATTTTCCATACTTTTTTCACTCTGAGCTTTCTGTCATATAGTTTTTAGTAGTCTATCTTCCAATTCTCTAATCTTTTCTCCTACTCTGTCCAATCTGCTGAAGACCCAACTATTGAGTTATTAATTTTAGTTATTTTGATTTTCTTTTCTAGAATTTATGTGTGATTTTTTCTATAGATTCTAGTTTTTTAGTGAAATTCTCTATCTTGCTATTTTCTCAAATGTATTAATAACAGTTATTTAAAATCTGTGCTTGATAACTCCAATATATAAATTTGATATATTTGATATATTTCTGGTGAATTCTTTCTCTTGCTTTCAGTGACTTGGTCTTGTTTTCTGACACATTCAATAATTTTTGATTAAATGAGAGACATTGTGTATTAAAAAATAAAAACAAAAACAAAAAACAAAGTTTTGAAGATAGTATTCTTTTCATCCAAAAAGGATATATTGTTTTTCTGGCAGGCATTTAGAAGAAGTATGATTATTTGAAGCTGTGTTTAATTCTCTGTAAAGCCTGGTCTATTTTGATTTGACTTTACTTCCAAGGCATAATGTTTCAAAAGACTTAACTAAAAACCAGAGATATTTAACAGGACTCTTACCCAAATAAACTTTCCTAATAATGAGATATAAATATTCTATATACAGTTCATATATATGAAGAATAAAATAAAATGATGGCAGAATTATGAAAAAAACAGAGGCACAAAACTGAAATAATAGAATAAGGAAGATAGTAGACTAAGATCCCTAAACAGTGTTCTGGAGGTGCTTTTGTTTAAGTGAAATTGGAATAAATACAAGGAACAAGGATTTGAAAAACTTCATTGCAGTTCTCTTTTTTTTTTTTTTTTTTTTTTTGGGAGACGGAGTTTCACTCTTGTTGCCCAGGCTGGAGTGCAGTGGCGTGATCTTTGCCCACTGCAACCTCTGCCTCCCGGGTTCAAGCGATTTTCCTGCCTCAGTCTCCAGAGTAGCTGAGATTACAGATGCCCGCCACCACACCTGGCTAATTTTTTGTATTTTTGTAAAGACGGGGTTTCACCATTTTGGCCAGGCTGGCCAGGATGGTCTCAAACTCCTGAACTCAGGTCATCCACCCACCTCAGCCTCCCAAAGTGCTGGGATTACAGACATAAGCACCACACCTGGCCAGTTCTCATTTTTGTTATTAACTTATCTCTGTCCTAGGAGAAAGTCAGTTACTTGAACACAAGATTAGTATTCTAATATTTTGTAAAGTACTGGAATGAATGAATAAATTAAGGAAGTACATGAACGAATGGTAATAAATGCTTTTTCATATATTTTAGGTTTCTCTCTCACACTATACAGATTGTAAAAAGTAAATATTCTTGGGGAGTGGACATAAATTAATACTTCTGTAGAGCTCAAAAGCTTTAATTACTTTCTCTTCATTTCATGTGGTTTATAAAATTATGCAGAATATTTATCATCAACAAGTAATTCATAACATAAAAAAAGATGAGAAATGTCATAAGAGACCCCAAAATTTTTCTATGTTCATGTAAAGGAAAGCCAAAGTCATTTTCCGGCAGTTTATTAAAAGGCTACACATACGTTGAGAACTAAAAGATATATTAAATTTAGGGAAAATAGAACACTTTAGGGCTTTAAGAAAGTAAAATACTAAATAAAATAAAGAATTAGAGTTGAATAATTATTACAAAGTAAAAATCAACAATTCCTAGGAAGAAAAATGCAAAGCTTTAATCATTAATGTTTTTGTAAAATTATAAACTATAAATACTATGACATGATTATTGTGTAAATATTTAAAAGGTCAATCTCTTGTCAATATAAAGTTATTTTTAAAGTTTTTAAATAATTATTTAAAAATTATTTTTATAATTTATGCAAATTTTCCCTCACTCCAAATTCAGAATTTAAAATATTTCAATATAGACTTTTCCTTCTATAGCAGTATTAGACCCTTTGGGGAAGCAAAACTCACAGAATATAATGTAATAAAGTCTTCTTAGTAATTGTTTTCAGTCTGTGTCACTTGCTCATACAGAACCTGAAGTGTGTGTGAGCTTTGGCATTAAGCACTTTCTTTAAACCCTTGAAGCACTATAAGTCTTACAACTCACATCAGGCATGTTTGGTAATGTCAGATAAATTATCCTCCTGAACCACTAAGTAGCACTGCTTATAATTAATGGTGAATCTAAGTAAGCTAAGTGACTCTTTTGCAAGTAAGCTAAACATGTTATTGGAAAACAAAAATCTTAAAAAGAAAAGTTAATATCTTTACACCTTTCTTTTAATTGGATTTGTTTTTCATAACATGTTTACCTGAAATTAACCTGGCAGTCTATGGCCAAGTTTTATTTTGACAATGTCATTAGCCTCAATTTCAGATAATCTTTTCCCATCACCTCATTCTTGTGTGTGTATGTGTGTGTGTGTGTCTACACATAGAACAGAATGTGACTCATGAACAAATATCCACTTAATTACACCAGAAATGAAAAACAGCGTATCTAGGAAAGATCAGGTGGACAACAATATCAACCACAAATTTTGCTATCAGTCTAATCATGAGATTGCTGAAGATTTTAAAGGAGCTGAGAGTTCATACATTGTGCAATGTTTGTCTATACACTGTGTATTTTAAAGGTTTACTATAGGTAACCATATAATGCCATGCACTTTATACACCTCTATTTATAATCATGTGTGTATAATCATACTAAATCTTCATTGAGTATCAGGAATTAAAGTAGTCTCT
Organism: Homo sapiens; assembly: GCF_000001405.40. Classification (NCBI taxonomy): domain Eukaryota; kingdom Metazoa; phylum Chordata; class Mammalia; order Primates; family Hominidae; genus Homo; species Homo sapiens. Next base: position 89,454,109 of record NC_000004.12, on the reverse strand, counting down.
GTCCCTCCAAAAAATATACCATATCAAGATACTACGAACTAAAATATGGGTGGATACATAGATAAATAGATGTAGTCAGACATAATTTTAAGGCAAGTAGGTCTTAAATAAAACTACCTTAACTCAGATATTCTTTTCTTTACCTTTCTCTTCCCTACCCATCTTCATCTTCTCTATACTCCCTGCTATGGCTTAGATTCTGTCTTCTAAAATGATACACTGACTTCCTAACTCCCAGTACTGACGAATGAAACCTTATTCAGAAACAGGGTCTTTGTAGATGTAATCAAGTTAAGGTGAGATCATCCCCAATTAGAGTGGGCCCTAATCCAATGTGTCTGGTGCCCTTAAAAGAGGAGATAACAGACACTAGGAGGAGAACCACCCTATGAAGACACAAAGACACACAGACAGAGAGGAGAGACCACCACATGGTAAGATGGAGGCTGAGATTGGAGTTGTGGTGCGACAAGCCAAGGAACACCTTGGGCTACCAGAAGCTGGAAAAAGTGAAGAGGGATCTCCTTCAGAGGCTTTAGAGAGAGCACAGCCCTATAAAGACCTTGATTTTGGACTTCTAGCCTCCAGAGATGTGAGACTATGAATTTCTGTGGTTTTAAGACATCTAGTTTCTGGAAATTCGTTAAGGCAGCCCTAGAAAATGAATACGTTCCCCCATTCCTTTCAAATAATTTATTTCTTAATTTATGTAAACTGAGCCCTACACAGGTCCTGGGACTGTGCTAATCCTGGGACTACAACAGTGAATTGGAGAGACATGACCCCTTTCTTACAGAAATTACAATTGACTTGGGAAGACAGAAGCTAAATAAGTATACATACTCATGATATATGTGTGACAACTGATAAGAAAGTCCTTAGTGCTTGCTAGAAATCCTACTGTGGTTCCCGGGACCTTAGTAAGTAAGGGACCAGGGGATGCTGGGGAGACAAGATTGCACAGCTGGGAGTCAGACAGATGGGACATTGATTGGGTGGTGCAGATATCTCTGATTGGTCAATGAGTCTGGTTCTGGGAGTGTGGGAAAAAACTAAATAAGAATCAAATGCTGCTATCAGAATTGATCTACCAGCTGCCAACATGAAGAGCCTTTGCTGTGACGAAGCTGAGCAGGATCAGAGAGCAAACACGTGAGAAAGTCCCTTCCCCCTTTTTCAGCTTTCCAGTCTTCCTATGGGTCCTCTGTCAACAGATTCTGACAAGGGGCCAGCAAGCCAAGGATTAATGTGGTCATCATAATTCCAGCTCCAGCCTGGGTGGGTTAGAAGCTGAGAGACAACAACTTAGTAACCTGTGCACTCAATTGTCTAAACATCCTCTCCTCTTATTCCTTCTCCTCATTTTTAATTAATAGGATTTAGTTTTAGAGTACTTTTAGGTTTACAGAAAAATTGAGCAGAAAGTACAGAAAGCTCCTGTACACATACTCTCTATTTGCCTCTTGCCCCCACTTTCCCCTATTATTAACATCTTTCATTAGTGTGGTGTATTTGTTCCAATTGATGAATTGATATTGATATTATTGTTAATGTCAAAAATTTACATAAGGGTTCACTGTGTTGTACAGTTCTATGAGTTTTGACAAATAGGAAATGTCATGTATCCACCATTACAGCATCATACTGAATAGTTTCACTGCCCTAAAAATCTCCAGTGCTCTACCATTTGTCCCTTCCTCCTTCTCTCCTCCAAACCCCAGCAACCACAGACCTTTTACCATCTCTATAGTTTTGTTCTCATTCTCTTTAAAACTCACTCCAATCAAGGTTTTATCTTCAAAACTCCTCTTATCAAAGCCATTGTTGCCAAATCCAAAGTTCAATCTTAAATATCATCTTATTCAATCCATCAGAACATTTGAAACAACTGACCTCTCCCTATTTGTTCAAATCCATTCTTCTTCACCTAGTCTCTGAACACCAATTTCTGGGGTGAACATCTATCTCATAAACAAGTCTAATTTTTGTTGGCTCCTCCTTATCTTGCCAACCTTTAAAGTTTGGAGTGCCTAGATGTCTTCTGACCTTTCTTTAGTCTATACTTGCTCCCAAAATAATGTCATTTAGTTTTAGTCTTTAAATACCATCTATTTTCAGATGACTCAAAAATGTATACCTCTAGCCTGGAACCTCTCTGCTAAACTCTGGATTTTTGTATCTGACTCTCAATTAGATCTCTCTGTTTGGTTCCCCAGTAGTTATCTTGAACTCAGCATGTTCTAAGGGGAATTCTTTATTTCATCACCATCAGCAGCAGCAGCCCCTTTCTACATCCCACCCTTCCAAGAGCTTCTCTCAGTTTTCTTCTTTGTAGTATAGGACCACTCTATTCCATATTATGTATAGTTGCTCAGACCAAAGAATTGGAATAATTCTTGACACTTCTCCCACCTCATATTAACAAATTATGTTGGCTCTATCTTCAAAGTAAATTCAGACTCCAGGCATTCATCAGGCCTTCTACCACCCCTGGGCAGTCACAGTCATACTTTGCAGGACTATTGTAATAGCTACCTAAATAGGCTCCCTGCCCCTACTCTTTCCCCATCGATTCTGTTTCTAACATAGCAGCTAGAGTGATCATTCAAAATATATGTGAATTATGTTTCTCTTCTGCTTAAGCCAACCAACAGATTGGTTGTTTCTCTTCTGATTTAGCCAACCAGTGCCATTACATCTTAACTCAGAGGGAGAACCAAAGGCCTTATCTTGGTTTCCTAGTTGCACTGTACTAACCCATCCCCACTCCAGCCTCATCTCCCCATATTTACCCTTTCATTTGCTTCACTCCGGCCCTTCCTCTTATTTAAGATCAAAATCTGAACTTCTTACCATGGTGTCTACATGTTCTCTGAGTTTTCCTTCTAGTGCTTCCCATGCTCTCTTCCTTCACTTGGTGCCTGCCATATTGGCCTTCTTGCTCTTCCTCAAACATCAAGTCCATCTTACCTCAGGGCCCTTGCACCAACTGCTGCCTCTGCCTGGACTCTCTTTCTCCAGAGAGCTGCACATTTTGTCTCCAATCCTTTCAGGTCTCTGCTCAAATGGCACTTTTATCAGCAAGGCCTTCCTTCTTCATCTTATGCAAAATAACACCCCCACTATTACTCTTCACATTTCTCTATAATGATCAATGCCTTCTGAAGAAGTATTCCCTTGTTTATTTTCCTATCTCGTCCCCATAGGTCTGAGGGGCCAAGAAAAGCTTTCCTGAGGAAGAGGTGCTTCTGCCAATATCAGAGTAGGAGCAGACTGACAAAACATGGGAAGAAGCACATTCCAGGCAGAGGGGTGAGAGAGCATAACGCCCGGGATTTAGAAAAGGGAGACACAGGAAATATCTGTTATAAAGGAGCATGGAAGTCATGCTAAGGATTTTTCATTTTACCCCAAACACAATGGAAGATTTAAGGAGTAAGATAATATGACTAGAATTGCATTTTGAGTAAATGCTCTTAGCTAGTCTGAATATAAGATTGAATGGAAGCCAAGGAAGTACAGGAAAGCCAGTGAGGGCCTCCTGCAGATGCAAGTTTATCACGTGTCAGCTCCTGAGATACACCTACAGTAGTAATAACCACCAATCTCTGGCAGCTTCTAGGTCCAGATTTCTTCTTCTACTTATATTGAGATAGTTATGTTTTTACTTGCTTTGATATTAGATATTTATAGTATCTTAAATGATTTTAAGTCGAGTTAATTTTCCCATGACTCATTTTTAAGTGTGCCATCAAAGTCTATCTATAGTTGGTAAAAAAAATTTCAAACCTCAACTGAGATTTTGAATGTGGGGAGTAGATGAAGAAATCGCCCCAGGATCCCCTCAAGAGCATGTCCTGCTGTTTTAAAGAGAAACCAGTACAAGTGGTGAGAAAAACTATAGCATATATTTCAACTGACAAGCATTTTGCTGTGAATGTATTCATGTCTATAATTCACAAAGAGAACAGTTTTTTCTTAAAGAATAATGATATCCATGAGATGGGGCTCTAATGGGATATTTCAGTGGTAAAACAAACACTTATAAATTTCCCTTTTTTTTTCTAAAAATGAAAGTGACAAAATCATACCTTATGTTTTTGATAATTCTACTTCTACTGCTTTTAACTGACAACTATTTCTGTAATATGTACAGATTTTTGCTTTCAACCTCGTATATACTTTGTTCAGCCCTCTGAATCTGACCTTAGTCTGTCATTTTTTAAAACCACGAAATGGCCTACAGATTATCTGTGAGGGACTGGTTCATAGTAACTGAACCAGTAACTGCCTCATCTAGTAAATCGTTTCATGTTTAGGAGCTTAGCATGTGATATTAAGTGCAGGTTGTTTTGATTTAGTAAGAGGCAAGTTGAATTTTGCCTTATCTTTATGAAGTTGTATGTTAAAATTATAACTGCACATAGAATTCTCCTTATACATAATAGGCATGAAAAATTCTGGGTAATATAATGTTTTGGTTTATTGAGTCTATGTGTATGTGCGTGTGTGTGCGTGCATCCACAAAATTTATCAGGTATAAATAATCTTTTATTCCACACTTAAAACATGAAATTTAAAACTTATGTAACATGAAAAAGTTAACTATGGACATAAACCTGATGTACATGTTAACCAATCTGTGAAGAGTAAGAATACAAGATAATTGACTCAACTGCCAAAACTACACTTATTGAAGTTTAATCTTTTTTTAACATAAATTGGTTAATATATTTTTTAATAATGCTGAGTGTCATCTAAAGGGTGATGAAGAGACTATCTACTCCCTCAACTATTTATCCAGAGCTACTCATTCAGCAGTTATCTGCTTTGTTATGATGCAAAATTTCATTTGAAAAATGTGTTCTGCAGATTTAAATGGTTGAGAGTTACTCGGAAGATTAAATGAGATAATTTATGTAAAAGAAAGTTGCACCATACTCAGTAAATGTTAGCATTTTTCTTCCTTCCTTTTTCCTTTCCACTGCCCATCTCTCTCTCTTTCCCTTTCTCTCTTTTGTCGTTTCATTGGTCACTTTTTCATTCAAGATGTTACCACATCTCAAATAATAATCTTAAATATAAATGAAATGTAAAAGTAGAAATTCTTGATATTGAAAAAAATTTACCCAAACATGGCATTCAAAACCAATAATTTTTGATATAAGATAGTTTACAGATTTTCTTCCCTATGAATAAAATACAGAAAAGATTTGTGATCATTCGAGCTTTCTAAGTGCAAATATTTTGTACAAATCAATGATCACTATATTGTGCCTCCATGTCAAGGTATCACAATAGAATTATGAAAAAGTAATCCTGATTTTGAAAAATTTTTAATTGTAAAAAAATATATTTGACAAGATATACTATTGATACATTGCTAGATAGAAAGGTGGGATATAGAGTATATGTGTCAATAATTTTTACTTCCCAACATTCATTCTCCTTGATATTATTCATACTACTGTATGATCTCCGGAATCATATGGAACATAAGAGGACCCAGATCCTCCTACACCTTCTTGTATTAGTCAGAAAGGGGCACATGTTCTAAGCTGATCTGACTAGAAGCTTACCCTGGCACTTAGACTGTAAATGTCTGGCCAAAAACATGGGATAAGTTGCTGTCGGATCATCTCAGCAGCCACGAAGCAGTGCCAGCAGCACTCAGTAGTGGTGGCAAACTGACATGACCCATCCTGCAGCATAACCTTGGCTACTCTTTCCACCAATTCATCGTCATCTCCCTTCGATCCTGCGCATTTTCCCTGTCTTATTCCCCAGACTTCAAGCCTTCAGGTGAGTATATAGGGCCCCATTTAGTTCCAATAAACTCAAAGGAAATAACTTTCCTTCTTTTCCACACTTCCTTTTTCCCTATAAGATAACCACATTTGGTTTCTATTGTTTGGAATTAATATTTTTGAAACAGAAATTGGGACCCAGAATGAGTCTAACATTCTGAAACTCTAAAATGAGGTCTTGGCTGAGCTAAAAAGATTGGTGGAGGCCAGTGAAACCATTCTCTTCAGTGGTTGGAAGATTGTAGTTATTGTTACATGGTAGCAAAAATAATAATTTTTGTTTTTTCTACCCTTGAGAACTAGATCATGTACATTGAAATGTTAGCATTTAAAGGACTTAGGAGAAAAAAAATAGAATGTTAGAGTGTGTTGACTTTATTGAATTTATATTCAATAAATTCCTGCTTGAGAGAGAGAAAACAGAGTTTATACTAGCATCTAAAAACATGAGGGAAGAAAATAAGACATTGCTTAGAGAAACTCTAAGTTTGACTTCTATTCAGTTGACTTAAGAGTCAGGAATCTTGAAATACTGGAAAGGTAGTTATTAACCGCAAACAAGAATCCTAATAGAGGAAAGGGATGACAACTTAAGATATGACTATTAGTTAGGAGCATGCTGCTACTCTCTTACCTTAATACAGGCCTCTGTAATTATCTCCTATTTATAAGAAAGAAAAAGGCTAATCATTTCTCTCAAGAGTAAGCTGCTCACATACAGCCCACAAAAAGAGAGGATTTTAATGGAAATTTCTTACCCCAGCTTATTGTTTTGGATTGTTGCAAAGTGGCAATAACTAAAGCCATGATCCCAAACTTTATCAAGTACCAGAATCACCTTGAGAGCTTAGTACAACACAAACGGCTGTGCATCACCCCAAGAGTTTCAAAGTAGGTCTGGGACAAGACCCCAGAATGCATTTGTAACAAATTCCCAAGATTCTGCTGCTGGTGCAGGATCCACACTTTGAGAACCATAGCACTAAAGGAACAAGCAAAGCAGTAAGAAACCACGAAAGACACTCTGATGGCCAGAACTTAACTTCAAGATTACAACCCATCAAGATAGCTGACTTTGGCTGCTGATTATGAAACTAATAGAAAACAAATCGCCTGGAAGCCTCTAAACTTTTCATGGAGCTGTATTGCCAAATAAACTCCAAGCTTGTGGTTTCTTAGGCCTTGGATGCAATGTCTATATTTCTTAATTCACTGCAATAGGAAATGAGACCCCAAGCAGCATAGGGAGAGGGGTGGTATACTCAATGCCCATCTTGGAGATGACTCTGAAGGACAGCAGTAGAAAAAAAAAATCCTCCCACAGAGGCAAATCAGTGGTGACCAGATTAGCAAACTAAGGAACTCTTGCCCAGAAGAGCATCCCATTTGCTATGGACCAGTTATCCCTATTTGATGTTTCTTCTTTTCCCAGTGGTAGTTTTGTTTCAGGTATTCTTTTCTTTCTGCATAATTGTATCATCAGATATTGACATGGTTTGGATTTGTGTCCCACCCAAATCTCATGTCAAATTGTAATATTCCCCAGTATTGGAGGAGGGGCCTGGTGGGTGGTGATTGGATCATGGGGGTGGATTTTCCCCTTGTTGTTCTTTTGATAATGAGTGAGTTCTCCTGAGATCTAGTTGTTTAAAGGTGTGTAGCACCTCCCGCTTTGCTCTCCCTTCTTCCTACTCTGGTTATTTAAAGACATGCTTCCTTCCTCTGCTTTCCACCATGATTGTAAGTTTCCTAAGGCCTCTTGGGGAGACGGCCATGCTTCCTATACAGCCTGTGGAACTGTGAGTCAATTAAATCTCTTTTCTTTAAAAATTACTCACTCTCAAGTAATTCTTTATAGCAATACAAGAATAGACTAATATGGAAAATTGGTACCAGGAGTGGGGTGTTGCTATAAAGATACCTGAAAATGTGGAAGTGACTTTGGAATGGTTTGGAGGGCTCAGAAGAAGACAGGAAGATGATGGAAAGTTTGGAACTTCCAAGTCTTGTTAAATTGTTGTGACCAAAATGCTGATAGTAGTATGGAAAACGAAGTCCAGGCTGATGTGGTCTCAGTTGGAGATGAGGAACTTATTGGGAACTTGAGTAAAAGTCATTCTTGTGTCCCTGCTCTAGATATCTGTGGAACTTTGAACTTGAGAGCAGTGATTTAAGGTATCTGGTGGAAGAAATTTCAAGCAGCAAAGCATTCAAATTGTGGTCTCACTGCTTCTAACAGCATATGGTCATATGTGTAAGCAAAGAGATGATCTGAAACTGGAATTTATATTTAAAAAGGTAAGCAGAGCACACACGTTTGACAAATTTGCACCTTGAACATGTGGTAGAAAAGAAAAACTCATTTTCTGAAGAAGAATTCAAACTGGCTGCAGAAATTTGCGTAAGTAAAGAGAAGCAGAATGTTAATAGTCAAGACAATGAGAAAAATGCCTTCAAAACATTTCAGAGACCTTAACAGCAGCCCCTCCCATCAGAGGCCTGGAGGCCTAGGAGGAAAGAACGGTTTTGTGGCCAGGCCCAGGGCCCTGCTGTTCTGTGTAGCCTTGGGACATGGTGCCCTCCATCATGGCTACTCCAGCTCCAGTCATGGCTAAAAGGAGCAATGGTACAGCTCAGGCTGTTGCTTCAGAGAGTGCAAGCTATAAATCTTGGTGGCTTTCACATGGTGTTAAGCCTGCAAAGTATGAGAGTTGAGGCTTGGGAGCCTCCGCCTAGATTTCAGAGGATGTATAGAAATGCCTGAACATATAGGCAGAAGTCTGCTGCAGGTTCAGAGCCCTCATGGAGAACCTCTACTGCGGCAGTGCAGAGAGGAAATGTGGGGTTGGAGTCCCCACACAGAGTCCCCATTGGAGCATTTCCTAGTGGATCTGTGAGAAGAGGGCCACCATCCTCCAGACCCAAGAATAGTAGATCCATCGACAGTTTGCATTGTGCACCTGGAAAAGCTGCAGGCACTCAGTGACAGCCTATGAAAGCAGCCACAGGAGCTGTACCCCACAAAGCTACAGGGGTGGAGCTGCCCAAGATCTTGCAACAGTGTTGTCTGGATGTGAGACATGGAGTCAAAGGAGATTATTTTGGAGCTTTAAGATTTAATGAATACACTGCTAGGTTTCAGACTTGCATGGGGCCTGCAGTTCCTTTGTTTTGGCAAATTTTTCCCTCTTAGAATGAGTGTATTTACCCAATGCCTGTATCTCCATTGTATCTTGGAAGTAACTAACTTGCTTCGATTTTACAGGCTCATAGACAGAAAAGACTTGCCTTGTCTCAGATGAAACTTTGGACTCTGGACTTTTGAGTTAATGCTGAAATGAGTTAAGACTTGGGGGGCTGTTGTGAAGGGAGGATTTTATTTTGCAATGTGAGAAGGGCATGAGATTTGTGAGGGGCTAGGGTGGAATGATATAGTTTGGGTTTTTGTCCCTGCCCAAATCTCATCTCGAATTGTAATCCCTAGTGTTGGAGAAGGGGCCTGGTGGGAGGTGATTGGATAATGGGTGTGGGTTTCCCCCTTGCTGTTCTCATGAGAGTAAGTTCTCACCATATCTGGTTGTTTAAAAATGTGTAGCACCTCCCCCTTAGCTTTCTCTTCTTCCTGCTCTGGCCATGTAAACAAGTGCCTCCTCCTCTTCACTTTCCACCATGATTGTAAGTTTTCTGAGGTCTCCCCAGCCATTCCTCCTATACAGCTTGTGGAAATGTGAGTCAATTAAACCTCTTTTCTTTATAAATTACCCAGTATCAGGTAGTTCTTTATAGCAATGCAAAAATGAACTAATACAGATGTGTTTTATATAGATAATTGTCCATTTAGCCATAAATTAATGAATCGTGAGAAACTATATTTGGACCCAATGAAAAGGAATGAAACTTACTAAAGGTCAACTGCTCCTCCCTTAAGAGATCCAAATTTATTTTCTACTGCCATAAATAAAGTAGGACCTTGAAGTTTTATTATTAGTGTTTTAGAATAACAAGGTTAAAGGCAAAATATTAATTGAAGTTTTGATTCTGGTTTAATGCATCTGGTTATATTTTAGTGTGAATGCCTGATAATTTAGGTTTGGTGGACCCAGCAAGGGGAAAGTTTTGAAGCAAGCCTTGAGTAGTGAACAATCTAACAATCACAATTGTGTGATCTATTGAGATACCCTGATAAGGTCAAGTTAAGGAAAGTTATTTACCACTTCATCTTCCAGGCAAGACACTCCTGGAATAATGCAATCAGTCAAATACAAAAGCCATGTAAATATAGATCATATTCTCCACAAATGTGATATGTAATATATGTGGCTTTGGGTCCCATCAGAGCTCTTAAAATTTGAATTCAGTAACTGGATCAATTTTGGGTTTGTGTTTTTTTGTGGTGGGGTGTGTATATTCCATGTAAAAGGTTATACATTTTTAAGACATGTGTTTAAAGGAGAATATGTATGGCTATTGGGTAGCTTAAGGAGTATTCTGCAGACATTTGTGTTTGTCTCCAGAATCCATTCTGCTTTTCCATCAGTGCCTGATTTCCATTTGTGGATCCATGTAGTTGTAGGGAAGCTCTTTCCACTCCTGAATCCTGTGGACAACGTAACAAAAACGAAGTGATTCACATAGTTTCTTTGCCTCACAGTGACAGGCTCTCATGCTGATTGGTTCAGATAAGTGGCCTAAGTCTGTCTCATCAGACTGAATCTTGGAAGGATTGCTGAGAAGGCTGGCCTGTGGGAAACCAGTTTAAGGACAAAGGAAACAACTCAGAGAAGAGGGCAAAACAGAGAGAATCCCAGGGAAATGCAACTGCAGCTCTGATAACATGATAAACCTGTAGATTATACCACACTTCAAGGCTGCTCGACCTCTAGACTTTCCAATTTAGTGAATTAACAGCTCCACATTACTTTAAGTCAGGTTGAGTCAGATTTTCTTTTACTTGCATCTTGACTGTTTTCAAGCATATTGGTTTTCTATTGCCACTGTAACAAATTACCACAAACTTCGTGGTTAAAAAAATTATTTTCATACAGTTCTGAAGTTCAGAAATACAAAATAAGTCTTAAATAAAAATCCAGGATGCCTGGTGCCTCCTGGAGGCTCCAGGGGAGAATTCATTTCTTGTTTCTTCCAGTATCAAGAAGCTGTTGGCACTCCTTGGTTCATGGCTGCATCACTCCAATCTCTGCTTCTATCATCACATAACCTTCTTCTCTTTTTTTAATCTCCCCTTACTCCCTCTCATGCCTTGTGATTACATTGGAGCCACCCCAATAATCCAAAATAATCTTCTCATATCTATCAGATCTGCAAGAATCTTTTGCCATATAAGATATTCTCAGGTTCTAGGGATTGTACAAGGCATCTTCAAAAGTTCATTAAGTTATGAAACAATTATGCTGGATTGCATTTTTTACACTAAAGTAAACTCATACCAACTTGTTATAACATGTTTAAACATGATCTAGTTGAGGTACTAAGAAGAATAAGACATCAGTTTGAAAAGAGCCCTGTTCGGAGTAATACTTTTGCTAAAATTTAAGTAAGAGCAAAATCAGATTTATGGTGAAACTTTGGTGGAAGAATGGTGAAACCATTGATAATTTTTGAAAAACATATGGAGAAAATGTTCCAAAGAAATCAGTAGTTCACAAATGGATAATTCATTTTAAGAAGGGATGAGACAATATTGAAGATGAAGCTTGCAGTGGCAGATCATCCACATCAATTTGCAAGGAAAAAATTCATCTTGTTGATGCCCTAATCAAAGAGGACTGATGATTAACAGAAGAAATAATAGCCAATACCATAGATATCTCAACTGGTTCAGCTTACAGAGTTCTGACTAAAAAATTAAAGCTGAGCAAAATTTCCACTCAATGGGTGCTAAAATTATTGCACCCAGATCAGCTGCAGACAAAAATAGAGCTTTCAATGGAAAGTTTAAACAACGGGATCAAGATCCTGAAGAATTTCTTTGAAGAACTGTAACAGGAAATAAGGCACTTCAATCCTGAAGACAAAGCACAATCACAGCAATGGCTACCAAGAGATGAAGTGATCCAGTCAAAGCAAAAGTGGACTGGTCAAGAACAAAGGTCACGATACCAGTTTTCTTAGATGCTCAATGTATTTTGCCTGTTGACTTTCTGGAGGTGTGAAGATTGATAACATCTCCTTATTATGAGAGTGTTTGGAGGAAGTTAGCCAAAGCTTTAGCAGAAAAATGACTGGAAATGCTTCACTTAATAGTCCTTCTCCATCATGACAATGCTCCTCCTCTCATCAAACAAGGCCAATTTTTTATGAGAGTTTGATGACAAATCATTAGGCATCCACCTTACAGTTCTGATTTGCCTTCTTCTGAATTGTTTTTTTTTTTCTAATCCTAAAAAATCCTTAAAGGGGCCAAGTGTGGAGGCTCATGCCTATAATCCCAGCACTTTGGGAGGCCAAGGCAGGAGGATCACTTGAATCCAAGAGTTTGAGATAAGCCTGGGCAACAAAGTGAGACCTTGTCTCTACAAAAAAAATTAAATTAGTTGGGTGTGGTGGTGCACACCTGTAGTTCCAGCTACTCAGGAGGCTGAGGCAGGAGAATTGCTTGAGCCCAGGAGGTTGAGGCTGCAGTGAGCAGTGATCATGCCACTGCCCTCTAGCCTGAGTGGCAGAGTGAAACCCTGTGTCAAAAGAAAAAAATCCTGAAAGGGCACCCATTCTTCTTCAGTTAATAATGTAAATACTGTAAAAAAGACTGCAGTCACATGCTTAAATTCCCAGGACTGCCAGTTCTTTAAGAATAGATCAAGGCCGGGCGTGGTGGCTCACGCCTGTAATCCCAGCACTTTGGGAGGCCGAGGCGGGCGGATCACGAGGTCAGGAGATCGAGACCATCCCGGCTAAAACGGTGAAACCCCGTCTCTACTAAAAATACAAAAAATTAGCCGGGCGTAGTGGCGGGCGCCTGTAGTCCCAGCTACTTGGGAGGCTGAGGCAGGAGAATGGCGTGAACCCGGGAGGCGGAGCTTGCAGTGAGCCGAGATCCCGCCACTGCACTCCAGCCTGGGCGACAGAGCGAGACTCCGTCTCAAAAAAAAAAAAAAAAAAAAAAAAAAGAATAGATCAAATGGCCGGTATCATAATTTACAAAAGTGTCTTGAACTTCATGAAGTTTATGTTAAGAAAAAAAGCTCAATTTTTTAAAAATTTTCATCTTTTTCTTTTGTTAAAAAGAAAAAGCCTGTTTATAAGAATGTTTTTTCTCTTCTAATTTCATTTTTCTCCATGAACTTTTTGAAGTCCCCTCATACATGGATATCTATGGGAAGACAGTATTCAGGCTGACACACCAAGTGATACAATTTTTGTAAAGAAGAAAATAAAGAAAGAAGGAAAAAGGAGGACATGCTCCAAACCGTTAATGTCACTTAGTGGTGAGTTTATAGATGAATTTCATTTTTAAATTTTACTCCCTTGTGTTTTTTCCAGCTTTATAAAGACACAAGCACACACAGATGACTTTTTTACAGGAAGAAATAATGAATTTTAATACCTATACAAATATTTAAAAATTGAAATTAATTCTTAATTCAACAAAACTCTATAATCTACAAAGGAAACTTAAATATTATATCACTAAAACTTGTAGAAAGTGCAATTTTGGCCCAAGGTGGTGCAAATAAGGTATCTAAATATTAATATATGGCATGGTGGTTTACTAGGAATTACTAAAATTCCCTGGAAATACCTTCCTCACTCACATTTCTCTATTCTGCTATTTTCAACTGAATTTCCTTTAATATAAGACACTTAATATTAGAAAATAAATTTAGCATAAAATTGCTCCTGGGGGACTAAAAATCTTCATAAAAATGCCTACTAAGTACATCATTAAAAAGCAAATTTGGGGAGTAGAAGAGTTTCTGAGAGATGGGATATATGTGGAAAGGGGTATAAAAACAAAGAGCAAAGATGCTGGAAGCTGTTACTCCAATTACCTTTTCTTCAATGACAAAATCCTCCAAACTCTCAGTCAAGGTCTTGAATGTGGACCTAAAATCCACTTTCTCCTCTCACCTCTGATTCCCATGAGTGTTGGCCAATCCTAAAATATAGCAAACCGGCCTCTGGAGCAGGCCTTGCAGCACAGAGTTGATTGTGTTACCAAAGATTGATTCAGGAGAAAATGAGCCACTTTCAGTGAATGCTGGAAACCATTATTTCTCTTTCTTTATCACATTAGCAGTCTATGGAAGAGGGAAAACAGAAGCAGCATTGACGGCTTCACCCACCATGCCAGAATATCAATAGGCAACTGCTCTCTGCTGACTTTCTTTGTTTTTCACTCATTCTTAGTATTTCCTGTGTCTCTCCTTTGGTCAAGTTATTGTATTCCCTGCGTGTCTCCTATTCTCATTTCTCTTAATCAGGCCAGTGTTATTAGGAGAACTGAACAATAACATGTTCAAAGCCCTAACCAAATGCCACCTCCCTCAAAATCTTCCCTGATCCTTCAACTGGAAATAATCTCCCCTATGAGTAATCGCCAGAACCCTTTATCTTCATTTTCCTTTGGGTAATTATAACTACCTCATCCACTGTTACTTTCACTATGACTACTAATATTACTACTTCTACTACTATTGCTAATGACAATGATATCAATATTTATTAGGTCTTATTATATGTCAGGTGTTTTCTGTGCTTTGCATTTATTAACTCAATCCTATAAGGCAGCCACTGCCTTCATATGGAAACTAAACTTGTGGAAACTAAGCTTGGTCTTTATGGAAACTAAAGTTGTTCTTTCTATGGAAACTAAACTTGTTCTTTATATGGAGCGGTTAAGTAACATGTCAGAGTCTTAAATGGGAGAGCTGGGATCAAACTCAAGCAATTTGTTCCCGGGGTCTGCATTCCTAATGAGTGTACAATACAGCCTATCTTTTCATTATGTTACATTGATGAATAATGCACATGCCTTTTTTCTAAAATCTTTTTGAATTAAAAGTCATGTCTGGATCATCCTGTTTTGACCTACAGTGCCCAGAATAAACATAAGAAATAAGCCTTTCCCGAAAGAACAAATCAGCTTTCCCTCCAGTATTCTTGATATTATGTGTTGTACCTCAGGCAAATATTAGAATATGAAGTACAGTTTTAGTAGACTACCCTGTGTCTTATGATAGGATGATGTAGCTTGGTAGTGTCCCTACTTCCTTAGGAATTCTATGTCGGCTTTCCAATATAGTGGTGTGTAAATTTACTTACTACTTCTGAAACGACCCAAATGCACACACACACACACACACACAGTGTATTTTTCTTTATTTTCTCTGACTTTGTCTTGCTTTCAAGCCCCCAATACCATTGACAGGAGGGGAAAAAAACAAAACAGGCTTGTCAATAAGTAATTCAGTCTTTTCTAGTTTAAATAGCCTCTTTCTGGATAATTCATGTCTTTTGAGTTACTGTCATGGGTTTCAGATGTGATGCCCTTCGCCACCCTCCTCTCAAGGTTTCCTTCCCTTTTGCCAGAGTGATTTAAGGTCCCAGGTGGTGTAAGTGGTGTAGAGTAGAAAGTGTGTATCCAGAACTCGGAGGACCTCTGTTCCTCTGCACTGGCTCCTGAGGCATCCAGAAGTGTGCCTCACATTCAGCTCTATGCTGAGGTGAAGACCTGATGCCCGCTGGCTGCCTCAGCCCTCCCCAGCTCTCAGTAATGACGCTCTGAGGTCTGCCCGTGACTCCAGTTTGTGTGGTCTATCAGTCAGATCTCCGTCCCAAGGTTACTTCGTTTCTTGTCTCAACACTACTTCAAGCCTGTGAACTAGAGCATCTCCTGCGGCCATTTTTACCCCGGCACTCAAAAGCCTCTCGAAGTCATTTGCGATTCTCTGCCACCTTGTGGTTACTCTAAGAAATCTTCATGGTTCTCAGGCCACCCGCTGGGAAAACCAGAAGTCTCCAATTGCCTTGGATTTCCCCAACATGATTTCAGTGCTTCAGAGGCCCTGCCCAGCACCACCGCTTCCCCAGCACTGCCAAGGACAAAGCAAGGACACCCAGAGTAGATTGCTTTGCTTCCCTCTTCCTTTCCGTGGTTTTTAAGCCTCAGCATCAGAAGGACTTTCTACTCCTTCCTGTCTGATGGGGCCTCATAACTGTCTTTCAATTTACAAATGTCTTATAGTAAAACACTATGATATGAATCATATATAGGTGTCTTGATTATATGAAAGGAAATTATTATACTCCAAGAAAACTTTCCTTTCTCTAAAAGTTACGATATCCAAGGCAATTGTTTTTCTGAGTGCTCAAAAAATGTCTAATTTGACATTCAAAGCTGAGCAGTGACTTCTCTATGTTAGGTTCTGTCTATTCTCACCCTGAAACAATCGAAGCCTACTCAATGGATACAGAGACCCAGGACAGTATAATTTATATAACTTATAACAATTAATAATTAATATACAAAAATTAATATAACTTATGGGGAATAAAATAGATGATTTATTTTGAAAATATTCCTGTTATGGAGACACAAATCAAAGTCACACTATGCGACTGGGTGCAGTGGCTCACGCCTGTAATTCCAGCACTTTGGGAGGCCAAGGCGGACGGATCACTTGAGGTCAGGAGTTCAAGACCAGCCTGGCCAACATGGTGAAACCCGGTCTCTACTAAAAATATGAAAATTAGCCAGGCATGGTGGCAGGCACCTGTAATCCCAGGTACTTGGGAGGCTGAGGCAGGAGAATTGCTTGAACCTGGGAGGTGGAGGTTGCAGTGAGCGGAGATCAGGCCACTGCATTCCAGCCTGGGCGACAGAGCAAGACTCTGTCTCAAAAAAAAAAAAAAAAAAAGGAAGTCACACTACATGATCAGGAAATGTAAATCCTTCCTCCCAGTTGTGATAACAAAAATGTTTCCAGATATTGTCAAAATAGCCCAGTTGAGAACCATTGTTTTAGGTCTGAGGATAAATGTCACACCTCAGGGGTGTTTTCTGATATCCCCACCATCACTCACACCCTTGTGCTGTCCTGTCATAGCATGCATCCAAAATCATAATAAAAATTACCTGGGGCCGGGCGCGGTGGCTCATGCCTGTAATCCCAGCACTTTGGGAGGCCGAGGCAGGCAGATTATGAGGTCAGGAGATCGAGACCATCCTGGCTAACATGGTGAAATCCCGTCTCTACTAAAAATACAAAAAATTAGCCGGACTACACACCTGTAGTCCCAGCTACTCAGGAGGCTGAGGCAGGAGAATCACTTGAACCCGGGAGGTGGAGGTTGCAGTGAGCCGAGATCACACCATTGCACTCCAGCCTGGGCAACAGAGTGAGACTCCATCTCAATATATATATATATATATATATATATATATTTGGGGAGATTATTTGTTTACTTTTGGTCTTTTCCACTAGATTGTAAATTTATTGAAGGCAGAAACTACATCTGGGTTTTCCTTTCTTTTCTTTTTTGAATTACTATTTATTAGACAGATTCTCTCAATAAAAGCAATTATGCTTTAATATTTGTGAGCAAATAAATATTTGTTAAATAAATGAGAGTTCACTAAAGAAAAAGATACAAAAATATCATATCTAGCAGTTACAAATCTGAACTTGCCATCTTCTCCTATTTTGAGAATAACACTTAATTGTTAAGGGGCAGAGACGAAAACAAAAGGAAAGAAAAAGGAGGATGAAAGGAAGGAAAAGAGGAAAGGACCAAAAGCAAGCACCCCAGTGAAGTGTGGGGTTTTTCTCACAGGCCCAGGGAACTCTGTGGTGCAGAATAAACAGCACTATGGAGGAGGGAACCATAGCAGTCCTGCATCTAGGCGTGAATATGGCTGCATACTGAAACAGACGTGTTTGAGAGTCCAACTTTCCTAAGGTTGGAACTCTTTTGAATCAAATGTGAGACTTTCCCCAGGCTCCTCCTGCCTTCCTTGTTCCTGACACAGCTACTTTCTGGGAAGTCTTGAAATGTCCCTTAGCATTTCCAACTTTCCTCTAGCTTCTCCCTAAATGTAAAAACTGATTAAGCAATGGCTGACATCATCATACTGTCCTGGAAAATTTGTATTATTTTCTAGAGATGTATGTAGAATCGCTCTGGATGGCTCAGAATAGCAAGAGATGTTGCAGAATGTGCCCAAAAGGTACAATAGCATCTGTAGCAGCCATGCAACAGTTTCTAGTCAACAAATGATGCTGAGCTCTTGGTGTTTTTGTTTGTTTTGTTTTTTAAGTCATTTTAAAATGACAAATGTAATGCTCAATGCAGAGAACTTTGGACATATATGCAATAGAAATAAAGCAGAATAAAATCACCTATTAAATAAATCCAGCGATAACTACTCATTTTTGCGGGTGTGAGCTGTACTTTTATTAGATATTTTTATTACAGTTGTCTAAATATTGCTTAGAAACCCTTTTTTACTTGCTCTCAGATTTCTGCTCTTATTGGTATCAAATTTGAAACATTTATTTATAATTATTTATTGTTATTTAATTATACAATGATGCCTAATGACTAAGTCCCTGGCAGATCAGGGCTGATAAAAAATGCAAACACTCTCTTTATGGCAGCTTAAAATAGTCTAAAGAGTCATTATGACATTTTAATAATGTTTATTCTCAAATACAGTGGTATTGAATTAAACATTTAAAAAGATTCAGAAACAAACAAGAAATCCCAAAGAGCTTTCCTCAGAAGCTAATTTCAGTTCTGCTAACTCAGGCAAAAGATGGTAATTTCTTCAATCGTTTTAAATTCTGCAGTCATGGATTAGAAAAGTTCCCACATGTGTACTCTCATATCTAATATTTCCTAACTCTCTCATCCCCACCTCACCAGCTGCACACAATTGCCACATAAAATTATATTCTTCTTTCATTTACCTAAGACACTGTACATTGTTAATAAAATTGTCATAATAGAAAAACTGAAGCATCCTTAAGTAGTCACCTGTAATACCTTTCTGATTTACAAACTGGAGACCTTATGTAGTTAATTAACCTGGAATAGCTGCCAAACATTTTCTTTGATTGTGAATAACATAGGATCAACTCAACTTGATCTCTATTAGAAAGCACTCAGGCTCCTAAAAGAACCATAGTTTGCATCAACAAATAATTCCTCCTTGAGCTAACTCCAAATAATTTGACAGTAGGACATTATTTAATTTTTAAGGACTAAAAAGGTCTGTTAACCTTGTTTTTACAGTTCAATATTTTAAACAATATGTGTTGCTGTTGTCATTTTTAAATACACTCTTTTCATCATATTTGAGACTTCTGTAACCAAAGGTTTATTTGGTTACGATTTTCTCTTTCCCCTTTTCTCTATTTCAAAATGAACAGCTACTTTGTATCTTATGTAGCTTGTAGCATGAAATTCCACATATGAGTAATTATTTCCCTCCTGCAGGTATTAAAAAGAAATGTTAATCATAATTAAAAGATTACTGGCTTCATTTCCATAAGGCATTCACTCTAAGCAGTTAATTACAGAAGTGAACTCATCATGCATGTGCTTTTAAGTCCCATTTATAAGAAACTGAGCACAGCAAAAATTAGGTATGATAAAATCTTTGTAAAGCAATGCTTTATGTACTTATTCTTTTGCAAGCGCATTTACCCAAACCATCTTATGCAAATTTTGTTCTCAGCCATTAGATTGCTGACTTTTCTTTTTGTCCACTAGAGGTCTGCCATTCCTAACTTGAAAACATGCTGGCCTTTGAGAGTTAGTATACTAAGATCTGGAGCCTGCCTGAATATATCCATCATCTATCTTTCTATTCTTTCATTCACTGATTCATTAATTCACTCAACATTTATTCATCACTGCTGTGTGCCAGTCATGGTGCTACTTACAAAGGACGAGGGGATTGTCAGTTTCTTGCATCTGCCCTATCTTACTACGTTTTGTGCTGCAACAATAGAATACCTAAGACTGGGTGATTTATAAAGAAGAGAAATTTATTTCTTACAGGAGGCTGGAATGCCCAACATCGAGGGGCTTGCATCTGGTGATGGCCTCTTGCTATGAGGAGGTAGGAAAGGACAAACTCATCCTTTTATCAGGAACCCACTCTCGTGATAACCCACTCCAACGATAACAGCATTAATACATTCATAAGGGCAGAACCCTTGTGACCTATTCATCTCTTTAAAGTCTCAGCTCTCAACACTGTGGCACTGGGGATTAAGTTTCCAATACATGAACTTTGGGGGATGCATTCGTACCACAGCCTGCATCTTTCTCTATGTTTCCTTGTATATAAGGCTCTCTACTTCCTCTTACCTGCCCAGGCCCTTGTTCTATCAGGTATCTCTGAACCTCTCTGTATATCTTCATTTTTTGCTTCTCTTATTTGTCTTCCCCACTTGCTCATTAAGCCTTCCATCCTAATATCTTTCTTCCCTCTGATCTTCCTCTGGCTATTACTCTAAGTCTTGCCGCTGCTTCACAGATCATTCTTAACAGGGTTATCAGTGTTTCCACTCTCATCTCCCATTGCTCCTCTCACTGCAATTGGACTCCATGGAAGCTGCCTTAGTAAAACAATTGCCTGCTTGACGCCTTCTTTCTTTCTCGCCACACTGAATCACTTACTGAGTCCTGAGGACCTACCGCCTTAACAATTCCAGCATCTGACCATTTTCCTCCCTGCCTCACCTTCATCCAGGCCCTAATCATTTCTCATTAAATTACACCCATTACTCCCAACTGGCCTCACTGGCAACAACATATTCTCTACCCTCTGCCACAGTGATCTTACTACAGCATAAATCTAAACAAGTCCTCACCCTGCTGAGACCCTTTGATCACTCTGAGCCTTCAGAGAAAGCCCAGATCTCCCCTAAAGGACAAGAGCAGCCAGAGTCACAGGCCACTGCTGATCTCTCCCTTCCCCCAGACCTTTAGCCACACCAGGCCTCCCACTTGTCCCTGCTCGCTGGATTACTGTGGATTTGTGCACGTATTCTTTTCTCTGTGTGGGATTTCATCCTTTAGAGCAGCAGTCCCCAACTTTTTGGCACCAGAGACTGGTTTCTTGGAAGATAGTTTTTTCACTAATGGGGGTGGGGGTAAAATGGTATGGTTTGGGGGTGAAACAGGTCCACCTCAGATCATCAGGCATTAGATTCTCATAAGCAGCATGCAACCTAGATCCCTCACATGTGCAGTTCATAATAGGGTTCGCACCCCTATGAGAATCTAATGCAGCTGCTGATCTGACAGGAGGCGGAGCTGAGGCGGTAATGCTCACTGGCCTGCCGCTCACCTCCTGCTGTGCCACCTGGTTCCTAACAGGCCAGGGTCTATGGCACAGGGTTGGGGACCCCTGCTCTAGAGTACTTTCCTAAAGGGTCCATGAATAATAAATACTTAATCCTCATATGTCTAGAAGTGGCTGTATTTTATTCTCCCTTTTGAATGATAACTTCAATGGGAATAGAATGCTAGCCTGGAAGCTGTTTTTCTACTCTCCTTTGAAGATAAGAGTCAAATGTTTTCTAGCAGTATCGTTGCCTGCGAGAATTCTGTTATTATTCCTTGTAGATAACCTATTTCTTCTGTACTTGGTTTTTCAATTTTCACTTTTTTAAATTGTTCTGAAGTTTCATCCTTATGTATGCATGTAATTTGTATTTAGTTTTGCTGATTAGAAAGCATTGTGATTTTTAAGTCTGAGGAACTCTAGTCATTTTATTCTGGAAAAATTTGAGCTATCACCTTTCCTTAATTTTTTTCTCTTTTCTCCTCCTTTTACTCCAATGCTATCTTACCCATCCCTTACTCTCCCATTCCATGTTTTCGTCTCTTCATCACTCACTCTGATACATTCTGAGTAAGCATCTCAACTCTATCTTCCAATGCACTTGCATTTTCCTTTCCTATTTCTATTTTATTGCTTTAACTCACCTCTCCAATAAGTCTTCCTGAAACCTAAACCTGAATTAAGGTATTTTCTTCTGGGTCAACATAGTTCCATGTACAGGCTAAGACACATTATATGTTATATTGTATTTTATTGACCTGCTTATTTAACTACCTGCTCTATCTCTCCCATTTTAAACTTTCTGTTTTTTGAGGACAGGATATCTTTATATCCTCTGCATTTAATCCTGTCCCTGGAACATATGGGTAGTCTGTAAACAATGAAGGAGTAAAGTTTCTCACCTTCAGCCTCAATTTGCACCTATTTCTGGTGCTTTTTTTTTTAAAAAAAAAAAGTTGGAATCTCACTCTGTTGCCCAGGCTGGAGTGCAGTGGTGCGATCTCGGCTCACTGCAACTTCTGCCTCCTGAGTTCAAGCAATTCTCCTGTCTCAGCCTCCCAGGTAGCTGGGATTACAGGCATGTGCCACCATGCCCAGGTAATTTTTGTATTTTCAGTAGAGACTGGGTGTCACCATGTTGGTCAGGCTAGTCTCAAACTCCTGACCTCAGGTGATCTGCCCACCTTGGCCTCCCAAAGTGCTGAGATTACAGGCATGAGCCACTGCGCCCAGGCTTCTGGTGCTATTAATATGCTATTTTCACTCTATATTTACTTATACTCACACTTCTTCCCCAATAGATTCTGTGAAGGCAAGGACTATATTTATTTTGTGCACTACTCTTATCCCCAGTTCTTAGTACATAAGAAACACCCAAAACCTGTGCCTCCTTGATGATGTGCCTCTCATTACCTTGAGGAATACCCAAAGAGTGGCCTGTGATTTGAAGATATTTGAAATATTATTAGTATGGGGGAGTCACTGAAGGATCTCCATTTTAAAACATAATCTTCCTCTAACTCTTCCCTGACTGCTGATAGGTTAGGTCTCAGTTTTATATTTTCAGCAATTCTCTCCATACCAACCACGTGGACTGACTTTTCATCTCTCTGGGTTTGCCGACAGCAAATTAACATTCTAAATATCTGAGATATACTAATTTTAACCAAAAGGAACAAATTTCAAAAGAGGAAAAATATAGATATTATTAGGGGACATCACTTCACTTCCATGTCTAATGTTTTCTTCTATATGATGGGATGTTTATTGGAGTAACACCACTGACCTCTCCCCATGCCCTCATCACACACTTCTCTATCCCGCCCCAATTGCTCCACCTCCCCCAACTCCAAGAAACAAAACAATGAGTGGTGAATATATGCAGGTGAAAAATGCATGGACAGCACAGTTTCTTTCTCTTTCCTATTCCTGGGAGGGGAAATTCTGCTCTGCCTATTCTGCTTTTGTTGGAAGATATGTCATCGGTCAGTGCTGTTCTGTAGACACATGTATCTATTTGGGGCAGAGGTTCAGTATTAGATAACTGACTTGCTTACAGAAATAAGTATGTCTTTCTACCAGTCCTTTCAGTATTAAGGTGATATTAATATTTTGTGCTCTGCCTGCTGAAACTTAGTTTTGTCTATAAATTGGTTTAAACCTCGGCCAGGCAGGAAGGAGCTATTTATTGGTGCTTTCTCAAAGACACCAGCACATTTCAGCAGAAGGTAGTAGTTCATGTTATGGTGACCCCATGCACTCTTTTACGTCACGGACATAAAATAGCAATGGATCCTGTTTTTTTTTTTTCTTTCTTTGTTGGAGAAAGGGTCTTCCTCTGTTGCCCAGGCTGGAGTCCAATGGTATGATCATGGCTCCCTACAGCCTCAACCTCCTAGGCTCAAGTGATCCTCCCACTTCCAGAATACCCTCCAGAGTAGCTGGGACTACAGGCACGTGCCACAATGCCTGGCTATTTTTCTTTTTTTGTAGAGACAGAGGTCTCACTATGTTGCCCAGGCTGGTCTTGAACTCCTGGACTCAAGCGATCTGTACACCTTGGCCTCCCAAAGTGCTGGGATTACAGACATGAGCTACCAAACCTGGCCTAATTCACTTATTAAACAAATATCTTTTGAGCATCTATATTGTGCTAGACCCTGGCAGTATGTCATTGGACAAAATGGTCAAAATCTCTGTCATCATGAAACTCACAATCTAGTAGAGGTGGAAGGAGGAGATAGAAAAAAAAATAAGTGCTACAGGGAGGACAAAAAAAGAGCAGGTTAAAGGAACTGGGAGTGCCCAGTGGGGAAGTAGGATGAGGTAGAGAGCTAAAGACAGCCTCAATGAGAATATGACATTTGAACATTTGAGGAAAGAGTTGAAAGAAATGTTAGAGTGGGCCAAGCAGACATCTGGAGGAAGAAAATTCCAGACAAGGAAACAGCTCCGAGGCAGGAAGAATGAGGAGGCCGGTGGGCTAGTGAAGAGGGAATGGAGGGCAAGAGAGGGGCAGTTCCTGGGATAACAAGTCAAAGAGGTGATGGGGAGAGGAAAACAGGCCATGTAGAGCAGTGAGGCTGCAGTAACGGTTCTAGCTGCCATTCAGAGTGATAAGGGCTCAAGCATTTACACAGAGGAGCAATGATATCTCACTTATGTTTTCAAAGAATTATTGTTTCTGCTGTGTTGACAATGAACTTAGAAGGAGTGAGTTTAGAAGCAGGAAAACCAGTTAGAAGACTACGGCAACAATCCAAGTGAGATGTGATGGTGTCCTGGAAGATGGTGACAGAAATGGTAAAAAGTTGTCGAATTCTGGATACACTTTGCAGGTCAAGCCAACAAAAATTCCTGATGAGTTGGCTGTTGGATATAACAGTTGTGCTACGAATAATTTCCAGGGTAATTGCCTCTTAGGAAATACTGAAGAAACCTAGTAAAGTCCATCAGTGACTGGTTCTGTGGGGGGCCATATTTCAATAACTAAAAATAGATCTTTTACAATTTAAGCTACTACCACTGTGACAAGGAGGTAAAGTCTAGTCCAGATAGATAACTTGCTTTGACATATTATTTGATGGGGAAATTAAATTAAAATCCTTGTTCTCTAGGTATCAATGAACACTTTTTAGAACACATCATGTGTTTGAATGTATAAAACATTTCTTTAATATGAAAATATTTTGTTAAATCAATATCCAGCTTCATATCCACAATAACTGCTAAAAGAATACCTTCTATGTGCCACATTTAGAGTTTACCAAAGGGAGACAATGCCCCTGACGTTTTGTGAAATTCTGTGCAGATATATCTTGACACATTGTTCAGGAGTGCTGGAAAAAGTCATCATTCCTCTTCTTATTATAGCTTTTAATATAAAAGGTCAAATGAGGATCCATCCTCTAAATAGGAACATGTTAAAGAATTGTTTCTTTAATTTACAGGCCATTTAAGTGACACTTGATGAACTCAACTATGAATGATGATTCTGAAAAGATTGTGAAATAAAATCTTACAGACGTTTCTTAAAAGACTACCAACTTGCTCATACTCTACTATCTAACGTAAGGTCTTAAACCTGCCAATTTACCAAGATAAGTAATAAAATGTTTGATTAATCATCCATCTATATTTTTCTTTTCTTTTCTTTTTTGAGACAGTGTTTCACTGTGTTGCCCAGGCTGGAGTGCAGTGATGCCATCTCAGCTCACTGCAACCTCGGTCCCCCAGGTTCAAGCAATCCTCCTGCCTCAGTCCCCCAAGTAGCTGAGACTACAAGTATGTGCCACCACCCCCAGCTAATTTTTGTATTTTCGTAGAAATGGAGTTTCACAATGTTGCCCAGGCAGATCTCAAACTCCTGGGCTCAAGTGATCTGCCCACCTTGGCCTCCCAAAGTGTTGGGATTACAGCTTGAACCACTGTGCCTGGCCCATCTACGTTTTTCTTAATTATTATTCAAATGGAACAAGGTAAGTCAAAAAGCAACATTGTCCTTATAGTAGTGTCAAAAACATTTGTTGGGTACAGAAGAATAATGCTACTTTTTATTTGCTATTTTCATCAAGTTATCAACATTATAACATGGAGGAAAGTAATCTATACCCACAAATCTGTATGAATAGCATAATCTTAGCTAAAAAATTTTCTCTTCTCCTGCTACAGTTTCCCTCCGTGTCAATTCCACACATTATTTCCCTTTTCCTGCTACCATCTTGTGTTTGAAGAAACATCCAAGTATCAAGGCCTACCTCCAGATAACAAAGTGGATGCCAGCATCTCCCTAGATGAACAGGAAGAATGTCAAGGACCTGCTTTTACAACATAGAAATCTAGGAATTTTTTTCATTCAGAAATTCTATTGTTTTTTCCACTGCCATCTGTAACAAAACAAGGAAATGAGGTTTTAAAAAATCAATCTTAAATGTAAACAGATCATTTGGGCTCCACTTGGCTCCACAGTGTTTTATGTTTACTTTACAGATGTAACCTTTCCAGGCATTGGCCAATTCCGGTGTGATAAATAAAATTATCTTTAAAATTGGAGTATGACATCACCACAAACATGGTATGACGGAAACAAAGATAGAGCCAGTGCCCATTTATCCAGAATGACACAAAATGGATAATTGAATAGTCTCATTAGGTAAGAATTATTGTACATAGATTACCAATTTTCTAAAAAATAGAGTAAAAATAGAATATATTTAAATGATAATAAGTACAAGTTAACCCATCTGGTTCACAACAGTACCTATGCCACACTACTAATTATAAATATCAATTACTGTAATTTAAGAGTAGGAAGTGATGCTAGATACTGGGTTATATCAATGCTAGCTCTCTAATTTGACCTGAAAGTTGTTGATTTCAACAAATTCTTACCATATGATTACATCATTATTATTTGTCTCTTTCTCATAAAAGAAATGTACAAATGTACATTTTTATAAGTCCTATAATTTGAGCTTTTAAAATATTTTATTTCAGAGAAAGGAATGAAAATCACTATAATGATAATCCTCATAGGAATAATAGAGAAAACGGCACATGCTTTTTTCCAAATTACTTCTAATTACTAATCATATAGTACAAGTAAGAATCATGGTTTAAAGTATTCAAAAATTCTCGTTGAAGTTGCAAAAATTATTCAAGCTGTGTAGCCATGTCCTACACTTGCTTTTATATTATAGCAAGCCTAAATCTTCTAATCAAAAGAATTGAATTTGGAGCATAATACATCTGAATGCAAAATATCCTGAAAATACTTTATTCTGCCTTGGGATACTGATCAGGAAGCAGCCTACGTTTTTCAAATCCGAAGATCAATCTTGTCTTTCTTTTGTGCATATGAAAGTTTCAAATTCTGTTTTCAGTATGAAATGATGTTTTGGAATGAACCAAATGCTCTCTGATCATCTGAAATTTTACTAGTCCCCTAAGTAGCAAGAACATTCTCAGTTTCCTCCCTGTCCTTGAAGGAACTATCCCTGATATAGTTTGGATATTTGTCCCCTCCCAGTCTCATGTTTAAATGTTATCCCCAACGTTGGAGGTGGGACCTGGCGGGAGGTGTTTGGGTCATGGGGTGAATCCCTCATGAATGCGTTGGTGCCCCCTCCATAGTAATGAGTAACCATGAGATTTGATTGTTACAAAGAGCTTGGCACCTCCTCCTCTCTTTCTTGCTTCCTCACTTACCATCTGATATGCCTGCTTCCCCTTCACCTTTTGCCATGATTCTAAGTTTCCTGAGGCCCGCACTAGAACCAGATAATGATGCCATGCTTTCTGTACAACCTGCAAAACTGTGAGCCAAATAAACCTCTTTTCTTTATAAATTACCCAGTCTCGGGCATTCCTTTATAGCAAACTATACAATAGCTTTCCAGGAATGCAAGCATTTTATGTGGAGACTTGGCATAGACAAAGGAGTCCAGATAATTATGTCAGGAAGGAAAATTCTGAGACATTTGGAGACCTGAAGCATCCCACTCACCAGGCATCACAGGCATGAACTTGGGGAAGACTTTGTGGGAGTCCACAGTGGACACTGTACCTAGCCCTTCTCATCCCTTTACCAGCATTCTTCATCTTTGGATTGCCATTCTGCTAACAACTAGAACCTATGACTTTCCAGTGTCCACCCTTAAAAACTTCAGTTATCTCACTTGGAAGTGCTTGGTAGCTTAGGCCCCCCACTCGCTAACTACCATGGCTGCCTGGAGCCAATGACTGATTGGTATGAGGGTAAAAATCTTAGCTCTTTTGTCTCAAGGTAAAACAAACCCTGAAATGTAATTTATGCTCCAGAGTTCCCCCACAGGATCAGGCTGAGCCTGAAGCCACACCTGAAATCACACCATTGCTTAGCTTTTTTCCTTTTCTATTCTCTCCTTCCACTCTCTTGCTTGTTTTTCCTGGGGTTACTCCTGTATAAATCACTTGAGCCAGAATCTTTAACTAAGGCTATATCTCTGAGAGACAGCTTGATCTATGACAGAGGCAAAGCTCAGTATCCAAGAACCACAGCATCTCACTTTAGACCAATAGGATCCAAGAAAAAAGTAGACACAGAAATGGCGGATTTCAGACAGGTGACTTTTAGAATCAGGATCTAAGACTGGCAGGCAATGTCAGAGAAGTCTAATGGCCACTATGAAACAGGATTGATATTCAGGAGAAGAACCCCATTTTCCTACAAAGAGAATCCCAACATTAAAACAGAGCCTAAGAAGAGAATGGAATTTTGGCAAGTTACAAGAATCAAGATCTGAGAAGAGGAACAAATACAGTGGACTCGTTATTAAAAAGCATGGCAAACTTAATTCCTTCATGTCTTTTTTTATTTATTCTGCCTGAATATCTACTTTCAGTTTGCATATCACCTACTATTGAACCTGAAAAATTCTGTTTGCTTTTGAAAACATAAACCCAATGCTTCCTCCTCTATAAGCCTTTTTAATATCCATAACACAGGCATAAACATTCTTTCCTCTCTGCCACCTTTACAACAGATACATAACTCTATTATTGCACTTATCACTCAATACTAATATTAGCATCATTTGTATTTCGATTTTTCTCCCTTTCTAGACTGTGGCAGGGCAGCATCTGTCTTATTAATCATTTTCTCCATAGAACCTATCATGATGCCTAAAGCATCTATCATGGCATAGCTCCTAGGATAATGTAGAACTCTGATTACCTAACTTGGGTAAAGCTCAGAGGCAGATTAGAGCTGCTCAAGTACATCTTGTTGAAGCTGGGCTGGGTAATAGATTCAAAGCTGTAATTGGGGAATAAGAGGCACACCTGAGTGGGTGGAGAAATGTGGCAACTATTGTGTGGCAAAAAACCAGACTGAGTTAAAGAACTACTTATTTCTAGGTTCATGCCCTTCCTACCCCCAAATTGAGGAATTACAGAAATATCTTATTTTTTTCTGCTACACAAGAAAGATCAACTAGAAGAACTGACTTACAGTCTGTAGTCTGATCCTCCTAAGTTTCAAAATACTACCAGAATGATCTATCTAAGATTTACATGACCTTCTCATTCTAATTATTAAAATGTTTTAGTGGCCCTCTCCATCATTCATTAAAGTAATTCAATAAATATTCTTAGAGGACTTATAATTATGGCAGGCACTGACAATAAAAGAGTAAGCAAAATGAACATCATCCCTGTCTTCATGGAGGTTATAGTTTAGTACAAGATCCAATTCAAACACACACGATTGCACACACAAAGTACAAATTATCCTAAGCATTTAGAATAAAGTACAAGATGTGTAAGAGAGAAGAACAAAGGATATACACCTTATTTTATTTGTCTTTGAGACACCAGTATCTGAAAAATTACCTGGATCAAAGCCAAAGCTTGTTACAGGTACACTGAACCAAACAGAATTCTTCCTGATTTTCTACTGCAGAACATTAAAACAAATGTCAGGAAAACTGTGCAGAGGACTATTTATCTGACTCAGTTCATTTTTTTAGTTCATTGGAGGTGGGAAGTTTTCAATACTGCTCATGTGGAGATGGATGGATAGATCTTCCAGGCAAAAAGTTCCTGTGCTTCACATGACCCCAAAATTCCCACTATAAAAATATATGTGGAAAATGGATAAAACGGAGAAAGGTCATAAATGACAAGTGAAGATACACATAGAATAATAAGATAAAAATGAAAGGGAAATATAAGGCAAGAAAAAATACACAGAATTATAAAGAGGAGAAGAAAGTTGGAGTAGATATAAAGAAGAAAGTTTCTTCTATTTATCTCCATACACATTAAAATCCTTACCTAGTAGCTGGCAGTCTTTCATCTTCCTCTGCCAACAATGAATAACTAAATCGAATTTCATGTTATAAAATCATTAAACCAGACATGATTTTTATAGCTACCATAACCATGTCTTAGAATTTTTAAAACAAAGGGCCAGGTAAACATTTTAGGTTCTTTGGGTCCTGGAGTCTCTTTTGGAACCATTCAAGTCTGCTGTATATCGGGAAAGGTGCCATCAATCATACATAAACAAATGGGCATGGCTGTGTTCTAATAAATCTATATTTTAAAAAGCAAGCATCCAACCTGTGGGCTGTGGTTTGCCAAATCCTCTCTCAGAGTAAAATGTATTGTTGAATATACACATACATCTAGGCAAAGCGTCATATGTATATTTGGTTTATATAATATGTCTCTCATATGTATAAGGATGTATATTATTCTAGAGTTTGCTATGCATTAAATTATTTATAAAATATGATGCACATTTTAACTATATTGCAATCATTCTTCAATTTTTCTGAGAAAGTAACTGATTCATATATATGTATACAGCAGTCTTTCCTCTTTTATGATCCTCAAATTTTGATAATCAATTACTTTTTATCCTTATTTTTCATAATAATATGGCCTCAATGCAAATGTTATTTTGTAGAAACAGATCCAGCCACCTAATCCTTCAAATTTATTGTTTCCACCATTGGGTGCTGTGCCCAAGAGATAGGCCAGCATGAATCTTGTTTCCTGTGGAAATGCATTGCTGAGTGTTTATTTACATCCTCTTTCCAGGAGACAATGTAGACATTTCCAGAAGACTTGCTTTAATTGGCAACAGTTTATGCCTTTTCTCCAGATAGGTGATTTTAAGAGAAAACATGCACTTAATTGTCTGGAGAAGGGCACACCTGGTTCATCATTATTTTCTGCTTTATCAGTTCTCCCAATTGACAGTACAGCAGATGATTCATTTTCTTTCATTTTATCCAGCTCAGTACATAGTTGCCATGACTTACCTTGGCCCTTCTGCTGGTTTACATGGCAGAACCAAAGGCCAAGCAAAGATACTTTCATGGCAGTAAAGGTGACTGTATAGTCACAGAATGAAAGCCAAAATTGTGTACCATGGAATGGAGAAAGGGAGTTCTGTTTTCTCATTTATGGAAACAGGCACAGAAAAAAATTAATTTATTCTAAAATTGAGGTTTATGTTACGTGGCCATTAAGTCTGAGCTCACAGAAATGAAGTTGACGGCTAAATTATGGTAAAAGTCACTGTTAAATGCTGATCTTATAGCCTTTACTCACCAATCTATGTATGGAGCTATTTCTGTGTATGATGTGTTAATCTGACCCTGTCATCACTACTCATGTGGAACTCCAGATGAAGCCTGAGAAATCAATGGAGGAACTGTACACAGACAGGATTCAGGAAGCTAAGAGAAAGCAGGGCAGGGTTTAGGGCCCCTGGAAAGACAGCAGGACTTGAATTGGGCCTTTGATACTACATCATTTAAGCCTGAGTAGAATGACAGCCAACAACATTCTTGTCCTGTATTTGTAGATTTAAGGTATGTATCCTCTAACCACAAAGTGAACGAGCCCAGGCAGCCTTTTCTTCAACCATGGCAAATAACTGGTTGATCATGTTGTTTAAAAAATAGTATACAAACTAATGAAAGAGAATAGCATGGCCTTGCAATCTCTAAATCCAGCAATCAGACTAAATGCATTACCATTATTTTAGTTTTTAAGTCTCCTTTCTGCTTGCATTAACAGAAATTCAGATTTAGCAAATAAAAACATAGCACATGCAACTAAATTTGAATTTCAAATAAACAACAAGTGATGTTGCAGAAGTATGTCCCTTGCAATATTTGGGACATAGCTATGTTAAGAAATTATTTATATTTTTATCTGAAATTAAAATTTAACTAGGCATCCTGCATTTTAGCTGGTAACTCTAATTCTTAGTAAGGCATGGAAGATGGATAAGAGTAACATTTGTATGGAATATTCATTATTGAATAGGTAAATTGTCACCGAAATCTTCCATGCTATGACTTATCAGAGATCGAATGAGATCAGTTCATTAATTTTTGGTTTCATTTTTTCTTTTTTTTAAGACAGAGTCTCACTCTGTGGCTCAGGCTGGAGTGTAGTGGTACAATTACGGCTCAAGCCATCCTCCCACCTAAGCCTTCTCAGTAACTGGGACCACAGACATGCACCATTATGCCCAGCTAATTTTCTAATTTTTTTGTAGAGATGAGGTCTCACTATGTTGCCCAGCCTGATCTCAAACTCCTGGACTCAAGCAATCCTCCCACCTCAGTCTCCCAAAGTGCTGGGATTACAGGCATGAGCCACCACACTCGGCCCCTCACTGTTTCTTATACAGATACACATACTAATATGAAATAATTAGAGAAGGCCAGACTTAAATAGTAAAATATTCTTAAACAAATGATACCATTTCAGGAAAGGGATCTTATAGGACCTAGTTCAATGACCAGGCACTCAAAAATATTTATTGAAAGAGTCATGTGAGATAAATTGTCCATTGTCATGCAGCTGGCCTGGTTGTTAACTAATTCCAATTGAGGCTGATGGTGTTGTGAATCTTTCCCTTGAAAGAAATGGAGCATTATTATTATTATTATTATTATTATTATTATTATTATTAATTTTAGAGACAGAGTCTCGCTCTGTCACCCAGGCTGGGAGATGGAGAATTATTTAAAGTCCCTTCAGGGTTGGGCAGCAACATAGAATGTAAGATATAATAAAAGGTGATTAGCAAAAGCGTAAAAAACAAACTCTCTTCTTGAATTAACACAAGCTAAAAGCTAATGATAATAACAACAATAATACCTAATATCTTATTGAATGCTTGCCACTGCCCATACATTTGAGTTGCATATTTTGCCTAGCATTTTATATGCATCATCTCTTTTTGTTTTTTAATCTTAAAAGTATTCCTATGAGAAAGATATTCCTACTCTCTCCATTTTATACATAAAGAAACCAGGGGTTAACAAAATTCACACAGAAACAGGGCGGACACTTTAATCTACCTTTCACTACTATTGTAAAAGTCCACACTCTTAGGTGGTATGTACTATCAATCCACAAAAGACCAATTTAATGCATATTTTAAAAATAGGAAAGAAATTAGAATAAAATAATAAGTTACCCAAGTCTTAGAAATCAGAAGACATGTACAAGTATAGGAAACATAAATAAGCCAAATGAAGAATCTACAGTCTGTTTTCTAACCTAATTGGTGATTACTCTGACCATAAGGTGGCTAGAATATTGTGCAAGGGAAGGGAAGAATGTTCTTGCATAGTTTATAAAAGCTCTCAAAGTGAATCAAGTATGCCCTCTTGAACCACTGGTTTAGACAGACGCACCATTCTCGATACAAGTGATTCATTAGGCCACCATATGTTGGGAATATTAATTGAGACATAGAGTTGAATGTGATAGGAATAGCAGTGTTGTCATCAATTACCACTATGGAAATTGGCTTGCATTTGGGTGGCTACCAAGTACTCATTGGGCATGGTTAGAGCACATGTTAGGAAAACATCCTTTTGTAAAAATAGAACACTTTCTTGAAGTTACTAATGGCTTAGTCAGCTACACCATGAAAGTGAGATATAAAAATTTAGACATCCAAAAAGATCAAGACAGGAAAGAAATAAACATCTAGGTATAATAGCATACTTTCTTTTTTACATAGTGTTTAGTTGCTTTGAAATGAAAACTTTAGTGCCTTGCATAATTTTTAACTTTCAAATTTAGAAAGCCCACAAAATAACACCCTTCTTTTCCACTCCTGGATTCAAATTCCACCAAGATCAGAAGGATAGATATTAAAATATCAACTTTATTATAATAAATACATGGTTGGGAAGCAGGCGACTTACAACCACAACAGGCCTCTTCTGTTTTATTTCTGAATTCGACAAATGTGTCCAGCCAGTAATAGGCAACTCTGGACAATCACAGGCCTGACCCTGCAGGTTTGTAATATGTAGGAGCAGAGAAATCAGACTTTCTGCAGGAAAGCTGGATCTAAAAGTGAAAGGGAAGAGAAAGACAAAGGGGCACGCACCTTGAGGGGACAATATAAGACTGAAACGATGCATGGAATCAGAACATACTGAATAACATGTGTCCACCCTTCCTCCTTTCATCTTTCAGGAATGCTGGATTTCAAGGACAAGATTTTGTTGTGTTAAGCTGGATAGTGGATGGAAATACAAATAGGAGAACAAAGAGAGATTAAATTATTTTCTGCAAGGAAAATACTGGAAAGAATTTCTGGGAGTGCCACAAAAGAGCTAGAGCAGCCAAAAGAGGGGGAAAAAGTAGAGGGCTAAAGGGAACAGTGATAGAGACAAAAAGAAATGGTGAAGGGGTAACAGTGGCCACCTGGAGAAAAGAGAAATATATTTAAAGATGATCTTTAGGAAAATGTTCTGAGTTAAGTGTGAAGTGTACATATTTCTGTATCTCTGTGACACCTTCCACAAAATCTAAAATCCACATTATTATCCACAATGTCTTTGGAGAACATTTCCTTTTTTTTCCTT
Organism: Homo sapiens; assembly: GCF_000001405.40. Taxonomy (NCBI): domain Eukaryota; kingdom Metazoa; phylum Chordata; class Mammalia; order Primates; family Hominidae; genus Homo; species Homo sapiens. The sequence goes on along the minus strand of NC_000004.12, from coordinate 89,419,586 downwards.
TTTCTCGGAGTCTCTTTCAGTGTGTGCGTGTGTGTGTGTGTGCGTGTGTTTTAGACACAGCAAGACCAGTGCTGAGTAACAGTGCCCTGCCCCAAGGAGACCCTGTTCAGGCGGAGGGATACAGATGTAAGATTTGGATGGTGAAACGGCAGGAGGTCAAAGGTGATATTCTTTCTACCTTTCTGCATTGGAAGAAAATAAACATCAGTGGAGACAGATGTTCCAAGCTGTAGTTAAGGGTGTAGGGGCAAAGCTATTGTTATGTAGAGATATTGAGTCACAGTAGAAGGAAAGTGAATCCTAAAAGCCTCTAACTTCATGTAAAAGGATTTAGATCATCTCTTAGAAGTTCACAGTATGATCAGGGGATTTTGAAAAGTCTGGAACAACTAACTTCTAAATTATTAGCAATTCAAAAAGAAGTCATCAGGGACTGAATTTTTAAAAGGCTTGCTGAGTAACAGTGAATATTCATCTGAAATTAGTGCAGAGTGATTTAGTGTCACTGTAGCTAAGATATCCCTCATTAGCACTAGCAACTCTAAAAAAAGAACTGAGAGAGTGATAACTTAAGATTAGCTGCAGGAAGGGATGGCAAAAAGGCTGGGGTATGGGTGAGTGCTATGGTCTGAATGTTTGTGGTCTCACAAAATTCCTGTTAAAACTTCATCCCCAGTGCAATAGTATTAAGAGGTAGGATCGTTGGGTGGTGATGAGGTCATGAGATGGAGCCCTTATGAACGAGATTAGTGCCCTTATAAAAGAGCCCAAGGGAGCTTCTTTACCCTTCCACCATGTGAGGACATAGCTAGAAGGGACCATCTATAAGGAGCAGGCCCTCGCCAGCCACTGAATCTGCTGGCATCTTGATTTTGGATTTCACAGCCTCCAGAAGTATGAGAAATAAATTTCTGTTGTTTATAAGTTACCCAGCATATGGTATTTTGTTATTAGCAGGCTGAACAGATTAAGAAGGCCTGCTCTACACTGGGGAGAAATGCACTGGAAAGGTTGTTCATTGGGTTTCTGCAGCATATCTGTTCACAATGAGAAGAAAGAGGATCTTATGAAGAGAACTTGCACCATTTCTTGTGACTTGTATTTATTACATATCAATAAACAGAATGCTTGGGGAAAATCAGTCAGGTACAAGTTTGGCTATCCTTAACTAAATTCTGAGCCCTATTTTTCCCTAAATCAATTGACTATTAAATGTCAGGCATATAGTTCTGTATCAACTTAGGAGATGGAGAGGGATGGGAGGTTGAAAATAGGAGCTAATTCTGAAACGGATTCCTCTGCTTCTGTTCCAGAGTAATTGTTGAATCTTCTTTCTGCTACTTTACAATAGACGTATTGATTAATACATCTTTTAATTTATTTAAAGTCGCATTGTTTAAATCTTGAGAAACATCTTGAAATGAAAAAAAATTCTGCTTATTCATTGCTATTGTTTAGCGTTCCAATTATCTATTGCTGTGTAGAAAACCACCATAAAGCTTAGTGGCTTAAAGTAAAAAGACTTATTTTATTCCCAAATCTGCAGTTTAAGCAGGATTAGGTAGTGATATCTTGGCCTCAACTAGAATGGCTCAAATGCAAGGATCTGGAAACATCAGATGATTTGCTCACTTCCATGTTTGACAGTCAGTATTAGCTGTTAGCCAGGACAATAGCTGGCTTGTCAACCAGAACATATACATGTGGGCCCTCCATGTGGCCTCTGCTTCCTCACAACATGGTGGCTGAATTCTAAGGGCAAGCTTCCCAAGAGTGAGAGAACCACGCAGACGCTGTACGACTTTTTCTGCCTGAACCTCACAAGCATTACTTTCACTGCATTTTATTCACAGGGGTGGTCAAAAAGGTCCACCCAAGGTCAAGAGAGAAGAGTAGAGAAACAGACACACTGTGTCACTCATACACATTCTTTTAATCTACGTGGTCACAAGGCCTTCCTAGTGTCAATGGGAAAGGAAATAGACTCTTCTTCTTGACAGAGGAATGGTAAAGTTCTAGAACACTTTGTCCTGGGAATATTGCTTTGGCCATTTTTGGAAAATACAGTTTGCCACATTTAGCAATCTGCTTTTCAAAAATAGTAAAGTATGAAAAGTAAGATCCAATTTCACTTAATTACAGAGGAAAGAAAATCTAAAAACTTTCTCAAATGGAAGCAGAGAAACGAGTATTATTACCTTTCTTCTGCAAACCACAAATTTCCTGAAGTTTTGCATCAATGGGAATTTTATTCTAGCAGTCAAATGTAGAGTTTGACCCTAGAATTTTATAAGCGCATCTCAGAGCACAATCTGAGGATATAAGTAAAATGTTCTTCTGTTTGAAGCCTATTTTAGAAATAAGAAAGAGATGAATCACTAAATAGCTTATGGTAATGTTTTTATTGATTCATGACTCACCACACGCTCCTACCATTCAGGCAAAAAATAATGTCTTCCTTGTAGGTGATTTGCTCTATTAGACCTCATGGGGAAAAAGAGTTCTTTGCTTTATATCTTACTCTGACAAGCAATGGTTTTTGTCCTGCTTTTGAAAAGTAACTAAGATGCTAACTTGGGAAAGTGCATTAACTTTTCAAGCTCTACCAATTCCATTTATGAAATTATATCTACTCATGCATTATCTTAAAGAGTTAATGCTCTTTATAATTATAAGGAAGTTACTGAGAAAACCTAGGCCTCCCAGTATACACGGGGTGCCATGAGAGACACCATAGATCCATTCTGGGAAGTTATGCTCAGGATTAGAAAGATGGGCCAGAAAACCTCTGAAGTGCCTAAGCATCTTTGCCCAGTATCAAAACCAGAGGATGACTACCTACATCTCAAAATGTCGTACTTTTATTCATACTATTTCCTCTCCACTGAGAGAAACCTACTCCCAGCTCAACCATCATCACTTTCAGGAATCCACTGAAAGCCTCTCCCTCCTTCTCCAAAATTATAATCACTGTAACTTTATCAGAATAATACCAACATCAGATTTAATTACTCATGTATCAAGCCAGCATAGTATTTTATATGCTGTCCCATTTTTTGTTTTGTTTTTCTTAGCACTTAGGCAACATATAGAATTAGCCTTTATTTTTCTCTCCCACTGCATATGTCTCTCTGGCACCCAAAATAAGGCTGGCCAGAAAGAACTGGGCTTTCCAATACTGGCCTCATGAAAGACTCATGTAGGGCACTCTTTAAAAATACCAATTCTAGAACTCACCCCAGACAAATGACCATTGATTAGGAAGAGAATCATTCTACATTAGCCGTTCTTGGAAATCAGACTTGCCCATGTCTGTTCACATAGAAATGTGCAAGAAAGATTATTACTAAAGCTTATGTGTGCTACTCTCAAACAAATGCTGGCAAGACTTAGGAGCACTCCTTCAGGGAATGTACTACTCCTAGCCCAAAATCAGTTGTGCGATAACAAGTGAATGCATAATACATCACACAGCAAGAATATAATATCATAGATAAATTAATATTTTTATATTTTAAGCACTCCATTTCAGACTTTCACATTTATTATAGAGAGTTCAAGCATTTTTCAATATTATTAATGATACATTTTTGACACAAGCATTTCAAATACTGGTCCTTCAAGCTTCCAAACCAATGTAATTGGAGGTATCTAATGTTTCAAAGTTACCTAATTTTTGTAAAGCAATGATCATTTACCCCTTTGTAACTACTTATTTTTAAGAATCCTGTATATGCAAGTTAAAATATATTCAATAAATTATATGTTAATACGGATAAAGTTCAGTAATTCTCATCTATAATCATAGAATTTATTAGCAAATTTGTCTGTAGTAAATCAGCTACATTGATTTTAGTAATTGAGTTTATATAAGTAAATACATGTTTGAATTTCCATATTACATTTATTAACAAAATACAACTTATTCATTTAATATATAAGTATTTCAGATAAGTCTTCTTAGAGGGTTAGAAGATTAAAATGCTTGAAAAAAACTTGAACATCCACTAATTTAAGAAACTGGAGTCAAATGTCTCAAATGTCTTTTGTCCTTTCCATCTTTATTACTAAAATTTTCTTCTGTTTAATATTATCTCTCATGTAAACCATTTTATTATGATTATATCATTTATAAGTATAATTATAATCCTTTAAGCACTCACTCAGTCTTCAGCATGACCACCACAATTTCTGCTTCTACTGCCACTAGAGTAATCTTTCTAAAACCTTAATGTAAGTATGTCACTACACTGATTAAAGCCTTTCAGTGTTTCTCGATTGCCTACAGGCAAAATCTGAACTCATTCATATGGCATTCAAGACCCTTCAAATTCCCTTTCTAGATTTTCCTCCCAGCATCTATCACAAATCCCATTGACCTTAGCCTCATAGGCCTCCCCCACTCACATTACTGTGATTGGCACTCAAGTGCTTTTATTCCTCCTCTTTCTTCCTTAGATCTACCTGGAGAATGCAAACTTACTTTTTGAAACCCTGTGGAAGTGCTACTTTCTCTGTGAAGCTTTCCTTGATCTTTCCTGAAACCATTTCATTTACACATCCATTTCCATGAACTCCTTAGGAACTGAGTCTAGACCATATTTAACTCAAGCTAGTACGGTAGCACCAAAAATTATACAAAGCTTAGTATACAGTGGGTGCTCAGTATTGGTTAAAGCAGTCAACATCATGATTCTCTAGTGTCTCTACAACCAGTCCTTATGATGAGGGATATTTAAAAATCAATTCTTAGCATAAAGTAAATTTAAATTTCAGTAATGATACTGGATACAGTTACAAGTACATTACTGTTGGATATTACCTACAGTTCCCAAGAACCTAAAGACACAGCACTCAAACCAGAGATAACTGCTACTTTTCAAACACACTTGGCTGGCTATTGTTATGAGAATATTTATGGCAAGTAGATTTGGCCAGGAGAATCAAATTACTAGATTCAGGCTAAGTGTGCATTTGGCACTTCAAAAAAGTTCTGTAGTTTATGTGGAACTGTGTTTTCATAGAAAACCAAACTTCCTTCTTTCCTATTTTTCAGACTTATCTCAGAGAGGGTGGGAAATGCCAGAAACATGTACATCAGCAATGAAAATCATCTTTAAAATTGGAGTCAATGGAGGTTTCTTCAAGTCTATTATACTACAAGTATAAAGTCTGTTTGTCAGTTGCCCATTTTGAAATCGCTAGGCCTCAGAATCTTGCATTTGCATGCAGAAAGGACAGTGGAAGCCTTCCCTGCAGGGCTATATCCTCTTTGGTGTATCTTCTAAGGATATCGATTGTTCAGGACTGTCTAATATGAATCCCTCACTAAGTAGGCTAATTAGGAAAAAAACACAAACCAACCACATTACCGTTCTGCATCCATATCAACCCAAAACAATTCTCCCGTCCTCTCATTTGCCAGCGTTCATTCAGTATTCCTTGTGACCATTAGGAATAGGGTCTTGCATCAAAATGTCTCAAGCTTGCCTTGACTTTAAGGGCAGTTAGGTTTAAATGCTTTTTTTTTTTTTTTTGGGGGGGGGGCAGCTTTTTAACCCAGCACAGAATACTATACTATACGGTTTGTGAAAGCTTCACTGGCAATATTAGGGAATGAAGAAAGTTGAATTTACCAGAAGTCACCTCAGAGAATAGTAAGTATAATAAAAGGAATATGTAACAAGCCCCTGGGGGAAATTGGTAGAGAAACCCTGTTCACCCACTAAGAAAAAAAAAGCAGGCTGGAGTAATAGATGATTTTAGAAAGGGGAGACAAATGAGCAGTGGCAGGGCTTCAGTTAGGTTCCCAGGAGCACAGGCATTAGAACTACCTCCCAGGAGACTCGTTCCCTGCCCTTCACTAGAGTAGCAGAACTAAGAGTGCCTGAGTTGGAATCTCTGGGGGTCACATGACCACATAGGAGGAGGAGGGTGCTGGACAATTTAACTTCTCATTGCTTTTATTTCCTTATCTGAAAATAACTGTACATTATGAATAGAAATGTTGAGAAGGTTAAATGTACTCATGCAGTACATAGAACAGTACATATAATAGTACAAATAATAGAATGTTATGATATAGTAGTAAGTTACATATAATAGTATATTACGTATAATAGTACACAGAACACAGCCTGGCACAAGTAGTGCTCAATTAATGACAGATACTTTAAAATTTTCAAGAATATTAGTTTGAAATAGTGCCAAATTAATCTCTAGCCAGGAATGCCCACAAGCTTCTATGTTTATTAAGGCTTGATTTTGGGATTTTAACATTGCCACTTCTATTATATTCTAAATTCTTCAGGCCTGGAGGACGAAGTAACTATAAATAAGTTGTGTAGATCACAAATCTGGAAATCAAATTAAATGTATTTCTTTTCTTGGAAAAGGTCAGCTGATGGAGGTTAGAAAAACATGTCAAAAGCATTTCTTCTTGAGAGTAAATTCCTCTACCCTGTTCCCCATCCCATTTTTTTTTTCTAGAAAACACAGTCCTTCATGAGCTATTGAATTCTATAGGTGCTGAATTGAAAGTCTCAACTCGCTCTGCTAATTCTTCCAGGAGAATTATGTACTAGACACACGCCCCATTGGACAGCCTAGCTTTGCAGGTTGGGGGGCAGGCATCTCTCACTTCGGGGAGCTGTGTCTTTGGTTTCTCAGTAACTCAGAAGACACCCAACCCTATTGTTTGCTTCATTTCTAACGTTACTTCAGCAAAGCTATGATGCTTGTAGAGTTACCCAGTGATGTAAATTGAAAAACACTTGTAAAAATAGGCTCTTGGCAAGCAAGATAATCTACTCACAGGAGCCATTTTACAAAAGTTGAAAATACATCTAAAAACAAGATTATCTGTCTTTTACTTTACAGAATGTAGTATATTTGTCTTTCCACCATTTAGAAGGATCCTCAAAATAAAAAGGAAGGAATATTTGAGAATTAGTTGTACGTTTTATTTTAAAAATAAAATAAAACACTATTGCCTGCCAGATATTTTGTTATGTGCTGAATATACCACAGGGAACAAAATAGACCTGAATCCTAACTTCCTGGAGCTGAATTTATGCATGTAGTTCTCAGATTTAGTGTACATAAAAATATCCAGGAAGCTTGTTTAAAATGTAGGTTCTCAGAACTTGGATTCTAAACACATGTCCCATTGGACAGCCTAGCTTTGTAGGATGGGCGACAGGCATCTCTCACTTTGGGGAGCTGTGTCTTTGGTTTCTCAGTAACTCAGAAGACACCAGATATAACAATATAGTCATGTGTTATACATTACATAATAGCATATTACGTATAATAGTACACAGAACATAGCCTGGCACAAGTTAGTGCTCAATTAATGAGAGCTACTTTAAAATTTTGGATTCTGATTCTAATAATCTGAGAAAAGCCCTGGAATCTATATTTGTCACAGGCAACTCAAGCGATACTAATGAGGGCATCCAAGAACCACGCAGTGAGATCACCAGAGGAGCAGATGACCCAGGCAAATCTTGTTAAGAAGAAAAAGGGTTGTGATGAATATTTCCATAGTGGTAATTTATAATGAAGGGACACAGAGGGTAAGTGTCAGCCTTCCATATCACGTTGCAAGCACAGATAAAGCTTACCTAGAAATGGGGGCGGAAGGATTCCATTTTATAGGGAAATTTTATGTAAGATACAAGCTTTGTGGTTATTTGGGCTCTTTCAGGCACTCAATCTTTCAGCTGTGACCAAGTCTCTCAGGACTCTTCAGGACGAGTTCAGCCTCTTTCCCAAGCCCCCTGATACCCATCCAGCTGTTCAGAACACAAGCCAACTGAATCAACATGAGCTATATTTACCACAAGTGAGAGACTACCAATACTAGAGATAGCAGCAGGGAATTCTGACATCTGGTAGCACCAGATGATTAAGAAAAGCATTTGGCAAATCAGAATAGGTGAAGCTTAGGAAAGACTGCTGCCTTGTGGGATCCAGATTAAGCCAAGCTGGTCAGAGGAGGAACTGTCTCCAATAACAGCAGACTTGCCTGATAATTTACAAAACTGCTTCATAATTCCTCAAGGATCCCATTCTTACACATACCTAAACAAAGCAGTTTACATTGCTGGATACTATTTTATATAAACAAATACGTAAAATTGGATATTCACTCAGATATTTTCTTTTTCCGCCTTAAGATTAAAAAAGAACATTTCTTAGCAATACTATGAAACTCTGAATGGCTTTCATCAGTAAGTTTTCTTTGGGGAATTTTAGTTTACTTACCCTGTTGGGGCAGTTGCCAAAAAACAAAATGTGCCCAGTGGTGGTGTGACATGGAAGGCAGCCTGCTCAAGCCCATCCTCCTGAGCGATCCTTCTAGGAAATTTAGAAATTGCCATATCATTCTCCCGTTGGGCTTATTATACTGATGTCTCTGAAATGATGATGGTACCTCCTATATATGGAGCTCAAACAATCCGGAACAGGAAGAAACTGCATCACAGAAGCCATTAAACAGGTTTCAGAAGCCCAGCTGATAAACAGTTGACATTAAGGTCTGGAAATTCAATCACTGTCTGATAGGAAAGGAAGCAGGGTTGGAGAAGGGGTTTACTGACATGACCTTAGGCTCTGTGCCATTAAGATTTATCTATTCTTCATTCTTTCATGATTCTTTCCATTAGCAAGTGTTTCACAAATGCCCACAATGTGCTCCCTTCGGTGCTTGGTGCTGGGGCTATCAAAAGGAGCAAAGCAATCCCAACACTGCCCTGCTTTTCCTGCATTCCTCAACACTAGCAGACTGTGGGTGGATGATTCAGTACTTAGGAGAATGAAGAAAATGAGTCTGTGATGCCACAATCTCCCTGAAATTTTCTAACTTGTGCAGATATCTTACCTTTTGTCTTTGGGCTAATAACCAGGAATTCACTTCAGGAAGTTACACTAAACCACTTCCATTTTAAAAAAGCAGACTAGAGCCATTAAATAATTATGAAACTATTTAGTATAACTTTAACTGCTTTTACTAAAGGATACTTAATGCCCTTAAAAGCAGTTTCAACCTGAATTTTTCCATTACTCAAATCATTTCCTGAGAGACCGTTAGTAAATTATTAGAAAAGAATATCAAATCTTTCAATTCCGCTACTGTGACCATAATGTGGAATTAATACATTATAAAACATTCTAAATTGTCACTGATAATTTTGAAATGCATGCTATGCAAGAGTGCCTATTTTAAAATATGTCTCATCAATGATGGTTATTTGCCAATTTTAAGAGTTCAATTATTTTGCTGTAGGTCTTGTTTACCTACTTTCCTTGCTGCCTTCCATTGAGAACTCTGTAGAAATTGTTTTCAAAGTTATCTCAATAACAGGGAAGAAAGCGTCTCAATTTGGTCTGCTAACACATTATCTAAGTTCCCTACTATCACAACTCCCAGTTACTAATAACAATAATTACTCTTTGCCGACTTCCAAAAGCATGCCAGGCACTGTGTTAGGTCTTGTAAAAGCATTTACTCATTTTCACATACAGGAGTTCTGTCAACCAGGTTTTCTCCCACTTTTACAGTAAACCAAGGCTTAGAGAGGTTGAGTAATTTGACAACATTTATGTAACAAATAAGCAAAAGTGCCAGAGCCAAGCCAAGTGGAATAAGACTCCTATGTCTGTCCCCACATCCTCCACCATATCCAAATCCACCAACAATTTAATCAACTCTTCTATTAGTTCTCAAGTGTGAGTAATGTTTGTAAGTGTCTCAAAGCCAAAAGAAAAGAAAGACCATGTATTCTCTGTTTGTAGGATATAGAAATAGACATGGCTATAGATAATTAGTCTTTTAATTTTAGTACTCAAATTCTTTACATATTTACTTATTCTTTGGCTATTTGGTCTGTCAAATTCTCTCAAAAGATAAAAGGTTCTTGCTAGTTTGATCTAAAAATGCAAGACTTTTTCAGCTCAGGATTTTTTTTCTTCCTGTTGTTGCTTCCCCTCCATCTGTTCCTCTTTCTCCTTTTAAACTTACTATTATTTGCATATTAAACTCCTGAATCTAGCTACCTTATCTCTTATCTTTTAAATTATGGTTCCCATTTCTTAGTATTCTTTGCTGTATGTTGTGAGGGTGTACATCAATCCGATCTTCTAGATTATTAATTCAGTTCAGCAAGGTCCATTTTCTTTTTGTTTTCATTTCCTCTACTTTTTTTTAATTGCATATTTATTCAACAAATAGCTACTGCACATCTCTAGTGTTCCTGGCACTAATCAAGGGTCTTAGGACATATCAATAAATAAAACAGGTAACTATTCCTACCTATGCAAAGCTTATAATTTAGTGGGGAAAGACAGATATCAACAATAAACATAAAATTAAGTTTATTATTTAACATATTAGTAAGTGGTAAGTGCTAAGGAAGAGAAGAAAAAATAAAAGTAAGGAAAGAGAGACTTTAAAAAATGCAGGAAGGCAGAAGGTTGTATTAAATTGGCAGAGTAGGCCTCACTGGGAGATTGAGACTTGAGTAACGATGTGAAGGAAGTCAGGCAGTTCCCACAGTGATACCTTGGAGGAGAGCTTCCTTGATTGAGAGAACAAGTGAACTGACCTTGACCATAAGGTGGGAAAGTGTCTAATTTGGGTACCAATGTGGCTGGAGAAGAGTGAGTAATGGAAAGCATCAACAGGAGATGAAGTCAGAAAACAAAAAAAGAAATAGCACGGGGAGGCTGGAGTGGATAACTTAGGGCCCTGTGTCCCCTCTAGTGGCTTCTATTCTCAGTGAAATGCTGTTGCAGGATTTTGAGCACAGGAGTCATATGATGTGACATGTTTTAACAGGCTCACTCTCTACTCTGTTGAAAACAGGCTCTCAGGGTCAAGTATTAAAGAGGAAGACCCATAGGGAGGATTTTGCAGTAGTTTAGGTGAAAGATAATGACAGCTGGCACCAGAGTAGTGATACTGGGGAAGGTGAGGCATGGACATATTCTAAGACGGAACACATACAATTCCCTAGCAGACTGACTATGGATTGTGTGAGAGAAAGAGGAATCAAGCATGACTCCCTGGCTTCTGGCCTGAGCAATCAGAAAAACAAAATTGTCATTAACTGAGATATGCAAGTCCATAGGTGGAACAGGTGTTTTGGGGAAGAACAAGACTTCAATTTTACTATGTTAACCAGTTTTTGTTTTTGAGATGGGGGTCTCATTATGTTACCCAGTCTGACTTTGAATTCCTGGGCTCAAGTGGTCCTCCCACCTTGGCCTCCCAAATTGCTGGGATCACAGGTGTGAGCCACCACACCCAGCCAAGACTTCAATTTTAGATGTGCTAAGTTTAAAATGTCTATTGAATATCTAAATGGAGATGTCAAGTTGGCAGTTGGGTATTGTATTAGTTCTCTATTGCTGCTGTAACAAATTACCACTAACTTAATGGTTTAAAACAACACAAATTTATTGTCTTATAGTTCTGTAGGTTAGAAGTCCAACATGGATCTTACCAGGCCAATCTCCAGCTGTGGGCAGGGCTGCATTGCTTTCTGGAGGCCTTAGGAGAGAATCAATTTCCTGCTAATTCAAGTTGTTGGCAGAATTCACTTTTTGCACTTGTAGGACTGAGATTCCTGTCTGCTTGCAGGCTGTCTGCAAAGGGCCATTCCCAACTTCAACAGGTCAGCCACATTCCTGGGTTTGTTACCCTCCTTCTCCAACTTCCAGCCAGGAATAAAAGAATCCTTTCCATGCTTCGCATCTCTCCTGCCTTCTTTCCTGTCCTCTCTCTGACCCACTTCCTCTCTCTTCCACTTCCAGGCTTCAGGACTCATGTGATTAGATTGGGTTTACCTACAAAATGCAGGATAATCTGATGATTTCAAGACCTTCAACCTTAATCACATCTGCAAAGCCCCTTTTGCCATATCAGGTAACATATTCACAAGTTCCACAGATTAGGGTAGGGACATCACTTGGGGAGTTGGGGGACACTCTTCTGCCTACCTCAGATGCATAAGCCTGGAATTCAGGAGAGAGATTTCAGTTGGGATATTAATTTGGGCATAGCTGGCATAAAGAGTTGCATATGGAGGTTACTTTCGATAATGACGATGACAAAGGTTTGAGCTCTGGAAGAAGAAAGTAATCCATCAGAAGAGACTGAGAAAAGACAGAGGGATAAACAAAAGTGTCTTAGTCCATTTGAGCTGCTGCAACAAAAATACCGTAGATTGGGTTGCCTGTAAACAATGGAAATACATTTCTTGCTTTTCTAGAGGCTGGAAGCCCTTGATCAAGATGCCAGCATGGTCGAGGCATTCTGGTGAGGATCCTCTTCCTACAGACAGCTGTTTTCCTATTGTATCCTCACATAGTGGAAAAAGGGTGAGGGCCCTCTCTGGGGTCCCCTTTATAAGGACACAAATCCCATTCCTCAGGGATCCACCCTCATGACCTAATAACCTCCCAAAATTCGCACTTCCTAACATCATGACATTGAAGGTTAGGAGGATTTCAGCGAATGAGCTTTGGTGTAACATTAACATTTGGTCCATTGCAAAGTGAATATGGTTTTCTGGAAACCAAGTGAAGGCATTCTATTTTTTTTTTATTCCAGAAAGTTATTTTTGTTTTCTTTCAGCAATCTTATCTCCTTTAATATCTTCATTATTTTAGCATAATGCACTTCTGTTACCTTAATTAATTCTGTTCTAGTAGCAGCCGTCCAATCTGATATTGTGCTTGGTCTTCCTCCATCAAGTTACTGAGCCCCTTAAAAAAACAGTGTCACTACTTTGCCTCCTGGTGTCAGGGCACGTGGTTACCTCAGCATCTATTCAGATGTGCAAATCCAGAAAGGAATTTTTAGTAATGAAGTAAAAATGAAAGTTTCTTTTCCGGTAGAAAGACAAGTAGACAAACTGGGGTCTCAAGGTGAAAAGGTTACTCTGATTGTGAGGGGAAGGTGGGAGAGGTCTTCGTCTAACCCCAGGAAATGGGCTCAATTTAACCCAACAATGAAATACCCTCTGAGGCTGCCAGCATCTCTGGGATCATTAGCTTTTCCACAGGGATGATGACATCTGAGTGATAATTCTGTTCTAAGCACAGAAGTGAATTAAGTGCCTGGTTGGCTAGGAACTTTCTCTAGAAGGATGGTGGTCTTTGCCTCAGAGTCTGCTGGAAAGGAAAGCCTCCAACAGAGCTCATGGACCTTCATCAACTTGGCCCCACATGAATTCCTTCTTTTTCAGGATACTAAGGAATTTATACACAACTTCAGGTCTGCCACTAAAGCAGCCTAAGTCACTTAAGCAGACAACTGGAAAAGAAAAGAGATCCCAGATAAACATGTATGCTGCCATTCTGTTTGCAATTTTAAAACAGTATCTCTTCTGGTTATTCATTAAAGTGTTCAAAAATGCCTCATACTCAAGTTATTTCTATCAATTCTACCTCACTATGATGTCCACACAACAGGCAGATCCAGGTTTTGTGGGACCTGAAGTCAATATAATAAGGGGAGGAAAAGGGTCTTTAGGAAGAATGATACACAATTATAAATGCAAAATTAAGGTAAAATTTAATATTCATTTAGAATGAGAAAACAAAGAACAATAATTATGGAAGCTTGAAGACTCAGATCCTTATATTCTAAAATATTTAAGGCAATTTATCAAAAATGATTACATAGAAATTCTTCCTATTGGCATCCTGACTCCACTTTCTCATCTAGAACATTCTATAACTCTGAACACTCCCAGCACTCAAAAGCCTAAGCTTCACCTTAAATTCTCCTCTGTAATGTATGAATGCTCTGACCCAATTTTTCCATGATTTGTTGTATTATGAGGGCATTTTCTATCTCAAAGCTTACCATTGCTAGAAGGTTAATTCTACAGAACCAGCTTAAATTATTTTAAATTGTTTGTTCTTTATTTTTGGCATCATTGATGAAAAGGTTATTAATTAGGTTATTAATACCCAGTTGACAGAACATATAGAATTAAACATCCCATAGTATGATAATTTACAAGATGTTTTGTGGGTGTTACCGGCTTATCCATATATGCAACCTCAGAACGGTTTGTCTTATTTATCCTTGAATTTCCAGAACCAAGCAAAGTGCCTGGCATATATGTTAAAATAACTTTTTTAATGAATACTGCAAAGGACTGATTATTCAATATGTATTTATCATTGTCTTATATAATAAGAAAATCACAGAGAATTGAAATAATAGATAGGATATGAACCAATACACAATTTAGAAGAGCTCACTGGGATTCAGCATAAGAGAAACAAGTAGTAAACCATTGCAGAATTTCCTTTAGAATTATGATTAGGGGAAAAGTGAAAATAACTTCTTCCTATGTTTTCTTATTATTAAAATTAGCATTCTCCTAGAATTTCTACTTGAAGGTCTTTGATTTTTCAGCCAAGTGAAAATAAATTGGTATCTTTTATAATCTGTTTATTTCAGTCTTTGTAGTAGTGGGTTTTTTTACTGCAAGATGTAGGCTGTCACCATAGTTGGATCACTGTGCTGTTCTTTTGCTTTTCATATACTAACATTTCTTATATACTCGCACAATATTATTAATAGCAAAATATTGTTAAATTCAGTTTTTCAGGGGAGCTTGTGGGGTACCTAATAATTTTTGCTTTGTAGACACTCAAAAGAAGACAAAAATTAATTATTTTTCCCTCTCCCTTGCACAAGAGCCAGCTCTCTTTGCTCTAAGCGGCATCTCAAAGAAAATGCCTCCTTGGGCTAGGCAGGTAATATAATTGAGTGATGCAGGTCAGGTGTTTGTGAATGGTGATGTGGCGTGGTCTTTCACAATAAGACAGCTGCTATTCAGCTCCACGCCTAGGGGAATACAAGCCCACAGTTTCCACATTCCATATCTTCCAGATTTCCATGAGAAGCCACAAATATGGACATTTAAAAGATGTTGGTAAAGCAATTCAGTTTAATAACAACAATAAAATGTAGAATAAACAAAAGAAAGACATTAATGGGCTTAGTCTGTCCACAGCTGCCAGTTTGTGACATCCAGTTTAATAACTATAATTTTATTAATCCTAGGGAGAGTTAAAATTCATTTTGTTTTTATTATTCTCAAAAAAAATTTTTACTTATATCCTTGGAGAGTTCAGGGGCCTATGAAGAATAGAATCAAATCGTCTCAGAATTAGTGGGTACAAAGACTGGAATTTGAAGGATTTAAGAATAAGAAAGTGGCACAAACCCAGGAAATAATTGTTTTCAGCAAACTGAAAGACATGAGGGCAGGAGGTTTCCAAATGGCAGAGCCTAGAACCCTATTGCCATATTGTTTCCAGGAGTTGACAAAGCTGGCTACACAGATAGATCAATGCCCATTAAATCAATAAAAAGAGGTCGAGTAGCCTGTTTCAGATGGACCATGTCTTAGTCCATTCAGACTGCAATGATGAAATACCTTCAACTAGATAATATATAAACAACAGAATTCATTGCTCATGCTGAGAAGTTCAAGATTAAGGTGCCAGCAGATTCAGTGTCTGATGAGGGCCTGTTTCTCATAGATGGCAACCTCTTGCAATGTTCTCGCATAGCAGAATGGGCAAACAGCCTCTCCAGGCCTCTTTCAGAAGGGCACTAAATCCATTCATGAGGGTTCTGCCCTCATGACCTAGTCACCCTTGGTCACTTACTCAGCAGTTAATGTGAGAAAGAAACCTTTCTAACTTGTACAAACCTCTGAATTTATGGATCTCTATCACTTTAGTCTAGCTTATACCCTAATGAATTCAAGAGGCCCTAGAGTATTTTTAAGAACCGGGCAGAGGACCTCACTACTCAAAAAATAAAAATAAAAAACAACTTCGCCTGAGAAATTCCAAAGGGCAGGAGAATGAGGCCTGTATCATATTTAATTTTATTTAGAAAAAGTACAATCTGATGTTTACATGCCCAAATGTTAAGGAAGAATTCATACTGATTATATGTTTTTGCCACTAAAACTGAGTGTCTTATCTGGGTAGTTCTAGCCTTGAAGCAGTTTCTTTGACCTCCACTGAGGCTGGGGTGCGCGTATTTAGAGTTGTTGCCCACAAGGAGATTGGAAGTCCTTCTGTGATGGATCTATTCCTATATACAAAGAAAGTATCGTATATTTTTAGGCAATAGTAACTTGTTTTAATGTCTAGTGTTAACTATGATTTGGGCTTTGATTACTTTGGACTGTAGCCTAAAATTTTTCTGACAACAGACCTTTAAAAGAAAATAATTTACTGTCTCTCAATAGTAAATTTAGGTACGTGGACTTTTTATATCCACTCACTTCATCATACTTGATGGTTTTTAATACATCTTTTCAAAATAACACTCAAAAAATATTTATATTCAACAGAGAGAGAAAATGCAGATATGAGAAAATAGGTAGAAATCCAATTCAGCAAAGAAACCAGGTGAGGTATGAGAGATCATCTGTATTTATGACTGCCTCAGCTTATTTATTAGATGTATTGTTTACGATGACAAACCTCAAAGGTACAAAGGTCTCCAACACAATATATTAAAATGGACAGCAGCAATCATTTTAAAATATTATATAACCCTTAACAGAGCCAAAAATATTGCAGGCAGTTTTTCTGTTGCACTAAAGCCTAGGGAACATTTCCTTTTATGGAAAAATAAAATCCAGGGCCTGTTTCCTTCTTTAAGATGTGAGATGTCTCCTGGGTTGTATACAGATACATAAAAATATCAGGTAGTTCCTATATTTTAATGAATACACAAATGAATGCCCAAAGCCATGTGCTGAGAGTGATTGCAATCATAAGTAATTTATATCAAGACCTTTTCAACAACTGGACAGTATGCCTTGCATTTTTTGGAAGTCTCCAGTCTCTGTGGTCTGGAGCTAACATAGAAGCCACCTTTTACAGACAGCCCTCATTAATGTCTATGGAATAAATGAACAGGCATATCTATGGAATAAATGAATAAGTGAAGGGAGGAATAAATAAAAACCAGCTTAAATTTCCACATAGTTAAAATATTAACTAACTACATATAGCAGCATGCCTTGGTTGCATTATTTTGTTTACCTATAGTCTTAGCAAAATTCTTCTTCAGAGTTTAGAAGCCACTTTCACACTTGCCAGGGAAAGTATCAGATGTTGATGTATCTTGGACCATAGAGATACAGAGGTAATATGTAACTTGACATTTCCAGAGCTCGGAAATACATGGCAAACTGGAATATATCTTAGAGAGAAAAGTACGGTGTATATTGTGTGTATAATACATAATTGAGCATTCCCTGAACTGGAAAATGCATGGAAACTAGAATACATCATGGAATATACACATAGAGGAGTAGAGTTTGGGATAATATAGACCAGCACTGTCCAATAGAAATATGATGCCAGCCACAGATGCAAACCATGTATGTCATTTAAAATTTTCTAATAGCCACATGTAATATTAATTTTAATGATACATTTTATTTTGATGAATACATCCACATTATTGTACTTCAATATGTAATCAATAACATTTTTAATCAGTTTATACTTTTTGCAAGCTATGTCTTCAAAATCTGGTGTGTATTTTACACTTACAGCACATTTCAATTTGAACTAGGCACACTTTCAGTGCTCAATAGACACATAAGGCCAATGACTAGCAAATTGGGCAGTGTAGATATACACTTTAGCACTTTCCCTTTTATTCTAAGTGACCTCTTTATCAGAGTGGAAGAGAAATACAGTCCTCACTTTGGTATTTTTGTTTTGCTAAAAGTATTGTTAATATCCAAAATATTAAACTCCAGGCATTCCAAAGTCAAATACAAGTCATTTGGAAGTTTTCCACATGTTAATGTTGCACGATCCTTAAAAGTCAAAACCCAGAGAGGGTGGACTACATTAAACAAATGAAATTCAGACCTACAAATTGCAATTAAAAACATGTACAGTGAAACCCCATCTCTACAAAAATTTGCCGGGTGTGGTGGTGCATGCCTGTAGTCCCAGCTACTCAGGTGGCTGGGGTGAGAGGATGGCTTGAGCATGGGGAGGTCAAGGATGCAGGAAGCCATGATCATGCCACTGCACTCCAGCCTGGGCGACAGAGTGAGACCCTGTCTCAAAAAAAAAAAAAAAAAAAAAAAAAAAATATATATATATATATATATATATATTTAATATGTGCACAACTGACTTGCACTTAACTCTATGCTCCTGGATTCCATGACCTGAAGATATGCCCCGGTCTTGACTTCAATCTAGGACGTTGGGCTTTCTGCAGTGTCATAGAGGAGCATGAACCTGGCTTTGAAACCAAATAGGCTTATATTTTATTGGATTAATGCCACCACCTTATCTTTTGTGAAATGGAGCTAATAACACCTAGGGTGGGGCTTTTTCATATCTAAGGGATAATTTATGTTGTTCTCAGTGCCTTTCATTTGCACATCTTGAGTTAAATGCCATCAGCCCTCACCAACCTAACTCCCCTCTTTTGCACCAATACCGTTTCAGGCCATGGGCAGTGCTCTAGGAGGGGTCCCTGGTTGACAGCGGACCTAGCCCTCAACGGCTACCACCAACCCCCATCACACAGGCCACTCTCCTCCCATTCACCAGGATAATGGATAGAACAAGAATGACATATTAAGAGACAATTATCCCATTTCTACTTTGGCTAGACACTTTCCTTCTTTATCTCATTCCTGTGGCTAGTTCTTTGCCATTATTTCTCTTCCTGTTGGCACCTACCTCACTGGGAGGCATGGAATGAAAAGTAGTGAACACAAATCAGTCTATTTTAGATATTAACAATATCCTTTTAAGATACTATAACATAAAGTGTGCTTTAACTACCAAGAAAAATAATTCAATAGAGCATGGTTCAGGAATGTGCCACAGGGGGAGTGGATATCAAATAAATGATAAGTAAGATAAGCCTTACCAGGGAACAGATGTCTTCCATCCAGCAGAGGAAAAGTCCCATCACCACAGGCCTTTAAGGAAATCGGCATAAGAAAGCCTGAGTGTTATACGTAACGATAATGCCCCTATCTTCAGTCATCCTAATTAAGGTTTCAGACACTCCTTAAGACAGAAATTTGCACTCAATATGTATGTGCATGTCTTGTATGTATGCGTGTGTGTGTGTCTGTGTGTGAGTGTATATATTTTAAGTTAAAGTTGGAGTAGAAAGAGAATATGTCAATTTTATATAGCATTTTATAAGTAAATGTTAAATGCGCAGTTTTAAATTAAACTTACTAATAAAATTCTATGGTTTCAGAGTACTTTTAGGTTAGGATTAGAGATGGCTTTTAATGATTTAGGTTTGTCTGGTCTATATGGCATTGGATGCCAGATTGGCCATATTCTAGATCCCTTGTGTTCTACAAATAGTCACGGAGGAAATCAGAGAGTAAAGCTATTTATATGTTGGGAACAGAGGGTCTCCTGGTTGCCGTGGCTGTTCTCTCTGAGGGTAATGTTAACCCTTGCACTAAAAAAGCATTTTGTTTCATTTTAGTCTGTATAAAAATGTGTCTTCTCTGACAAACGAGTCTCAATCAAGATAGATCTGGGAAGGAAAGTAACTGCATGATACTGAATTGGAGCATTTGTCTCTGGCAAGTCCCATGATATAAACTTCTCTTTCTTTTTTTTTGGCTTCATGTCTAATTTAATCTTAAAACCTTAAAATTAATATGACAACATAAATATGGAACAAAGCCAAAACTCAGTGTGAATTTTTCCACTGAAAAGTTTCTCTACTCCTATTCTGAACATAGAGAGGAAGGCAAAAGAATGTCTAAGAGTTAGGGGAAGGCCAAATTTCAGGTATAATTGAATGACTAATGAGAAGTTTTTGTTGCTGATCAAAAATGTAAAACAAAAAAAGTTTCTTAAAGCTCTAACAATCCAAAATGCACTGACTTCCTAAATTATCTCTTCTTACTGTATCTTTAAAAATTTTAGTCAAATACAGTTAAGTCTTATCTAGCCAGTTAGCTTATCTCGGGGTGTCTTATTTTTCTGTATTTGATGTCAAAAGGATCTCGCTATATTACCAGATGCTTTGTTTCAATATTATGCACCAAAGGGAGGGAAAAATGCCCAACCACTTCTATTTTTTCAGTCTTCTTACTTAGCAACCCGTCTCAACTATTTTTCAACCTCACTTAAAGTCTCCAGTTCATAGCCTCTACAGCTTTTCCACTATTTATTACCCTCCTCACATGCTCACCTTTTTCCTTAGCTAGAGCTTAAATTTCATGGTCCATCATTCAAATAATTTATTGCCAAAACCTTAGCTATTCCTCTCGCTAATTTCTGTATCATACTCACTTGGTCAAATCTCAGTCCTAATTAAATTTAGCTAACACACCCAGTCTGAGCTTGAAACCAAGCAGTTTCTCCTGGAAAAAAACACACTCTTACTGACTTTGAATGCATGGTCGCAAAACCCAAAGGGGCATGCAACACTGCTCAAAACCATGTTTATTATGCAATTCTTCTAAATGACTGTTTCACTCACTACTATTATATCTTCAGACCTCCTGCATTCCTTTTCCTCTAACCCTCAATCTGCTGACAAGCTTGCCTCATAATTAACCAAAAAAATAGAAATATCAGACAATAGCTCATGCATCTTTGCCTCTTGAAGCAATCAGCCTACCCTTCTATTAATATGCATGAACTAGCTCTGCTCCTATCCAAGGCCAACTCTTGCACTTGTGTTCTAGAGCCCTCTCCTTTTGTTTTTAAGGACTCTGTTCCTGCAATTACTTCCTATCTTGCATCAGTTTCTGCCTCTCTAATAAATTATTGCCATTTATCTAAAACATGTTGAATATTTCCTCTCTTTAATAAAAAAAACCTCAACCCACTGCAGCTTCTGTCCCATTTCTTAGCTCCTTTCACAGCACAGCTTCTTCCTTAAAGAGCAGTCCAGAAGCACCGGCTTTTGCTTCTCCACCCCATATCCTCTCTTCAGCCTTTCTGCCCCTACCAGTCTACTATGCCTGCTCTAATCAAGGTTACTGATGACCTCTATGTTTATAATGACCACTCTTTTATTTTTGAAAGTGCTTTTATTTTTGGTTACAGAAAAAACGCACTTCCTAGTTTTCCTCTCCCCTCACAGCTCACCCCTTCTGAGTCTCCTTTGCTCTCTTTTTATTCCTTGATAAACGCCAAATGCTGACATCACCCAGCACGGTGCAACTGTCTGGATCCCCCGCTTTTTTTGTCTATCCACACACTGTTTCTTTGTGCCTTCTTCCAAGCTGATCATTTTAGATACCATCAATTAGTGATGATTCTCAAAACTACTCCTCTAGCTTTGCTCTGTTTCTGGAGCTACAGATTTATATGTCTAAATCCTACTCCATATCTAAATAAGTTTTTCTAGTAAATAGCTCAAAACTGACACAGCTCAAAAATGACTATTTATTTGTTTTTTCCACAAACTTCTTTCACTTCAAAATTCCCCAGTAAATGATATGGCCATCTACCCAGTTTCTGGAGTCCGAAACCTAGGCATGCTTCTTCATGCTCCACATTCAATCCATCAAGTCCTGTTGAGTCTACCACCAAAACCCATCCCACATCATCCACTCCTTTCCATATCCATTATCACCCTGTCTCCCCCTAACTGATCTCTTGCTTTTTCCCTTGCTCCTTTATAATCCCCTCTACAATTCTCCATATAGTAGTCAGAGGGGATATGCAATGTAAATCAGATCATGTCATCCCATTCCTTTTTAATCCTTAGTGATTTCCCACCTTCAAAAGAAAACCCAAACTCCTGAGCTGCCTTATAAAGAACCACATGCTTGTCTACCTCTGTGACCTCCTTGACTTTTCTCTCCCTTCCTCCTTGCACCTGCCAACATGAGTCATCCTTAAACATCTCATGTCCACTTTCTGGCTTATGACATTTGCACTTATTTCTTCTATGTGGAAAACTTTTTCCTTGATCTTTTCACACTTGACTTTTCCTTTTTCTTTCAGATCATGTAACTTCTTTGGAGCAGTCCCAACTACTTAATCGAAAGTAGCTGTCCAGTCATCCTATTTTAATTTCCTGCATTATGGTTATCCTTATTTGATTTTTTTGGCTTCAGTCTTTTTTTTTTTTACTTAGTACATTTGTTTGTTTTTCTGTTAGCTGCCTTCTCACTGATGCCAAGAGAAGATAAATTACACGAATTCAAGAACCTTACTTTTCTGTTATCAGCTCTATTACTAACATCTAGAAGAGTGTCTGTTTGGCACAAAGTAGGTTCTCAATAAAATGTGTATGGTATACAAATTGTTGAGTGTCTTAGATATAAGCAAGTTTGAATTAAAATTAATGACAAATTATAGAATACTGTATTATCATTTTAAAAGAAAAATTATCACTTTCTGATTTCATCAATGAGAAAATTAATGATTGGTCATTTTTATTATGAGAAAAATGTGAACAGGCTTGCACTTATGAGGCAGCCTTAGAACACTCTAAAGGACAGTTTCTAGAACCAGTATATGACCCAGAACTTGGCTATGTCTGGGAAACTTAAGTCCATTGCAATATAAATGAGTCAAATTTACTGTCTAGTGACTACGGTTAACAGAAACTACCTTGAGAGATTTTCACCCCACCCCAGATGAAGTACCATGAACTAGACTTACCCTGCCACCTGAATCTATGGGGAAAAAAACAGACAAAATATATAAAGCAGTGTATTTCAGACATAGAACATCAGGAAGTGCAGGACAGTGATTCCTCAGAGATAAAAAAACAAAATAAGTGAGCTCTGCAGTTGCCTCTGCTGACAATTTATGGGGAATTTTTAGCCTGTGGAATAGGGAGGTCACATTTAGGTAAAGCTCATTGGTGACTTTTGAGTTGGAGAGATGGAATTGGGTGTCTGAGAAGATTAAACTACCTGTAGTTCACAGAGAAGAGTACTGGAAAGGAGACTGTTGCCTAGAGAGAGCTCTAGAGACCTGCTGAGGATGCCCCTCAAGTCTTCAGCTACTGACTACTCAACACTTGCACTTGAGAAAATAATCTCAGGCTGGGAAATCACCACAAGAAAGGAGCAGAAGGGAAATCCTGAAGCTCACACAGAGCTGGGAATAATCTGTGTTTGCACCTGCCAGAGAGGAAAACCCTCACAATTCATGGGTATAAGGTAGAATACTCAGAAGGATCTTGCCTCAGTAGTGGGCAGTATTAGCTCTAGACTAAAACCTGCTCTAATCCCACCAAACAAAGCTTGCAAGCAAGTCTCAAATTAGTAAATTAATTCCAAGTAACTTAACTGTATCCCAGAACATAGCTCAAGAATACTCTTACGAATACAAAAAAAAACTATCACCAAACAAAATAAAAATTACAATGTCTGACATCCAATTAAAAATTACCAAGTATATATAGAAACAAGAAAATATAATCCATAATGAGGAAATTAATCATTCAGTAGAAACAGACCAATGTATGGCAAGATGACAGAGTTATTGAAATATTATTCCATATGTTCAAGAAGGTAGAGAAACACTTGTGCATGTTAAATAGAGACACGGATGATAATTTTAAAAGACTCAAATCAAACTTTTAAAGATAAAAAGTGCAGTGTTTGAGGGGGAAAATACACAGGATGGAATTAACAGAAGAGAAGAAAGAATAATGAATTTAAAGACACAGCAATTAGAATTTATCCAAAGTGAAACACCAAGAGAAAAAAAAAAGCCTTTAAAAAGAAAAATAAGCAGAGCCTCTGTTAGCTGTGCTCTGATATATGTGTTATTGGAGTCTTTGAGGCATGAAGTAAGATGAGGCATACTTGAAGAATTAATGGGCCAACAGTTCCCAAATTTGATGAGAACTACACATCCCACATTCAGAAAATGAAATAAATCCCAAGAAACAGAAAAAACTAACTAAAAGAGATTTAAGTCTATAGTAACTCATGAATAAAAGTAAGTTTGTTTCTGTATGCACTTTTATTACAAAAGCAGCTTTGCAAATATGTACAATGGATGGAGAAGATGATGTTATGAATAGTAGCTCTCTCCACAGCACTTCTTTTTTGGTGTGTGCTCAAATTGTTACTTTATTTGCAGTGACATCTAGAAATGTCACAACATAATCATATATTAGTTATAATTAATTTCTTTTTTCTCAAGAATTTTCTTTTCTTTTCTTTATATATATATATATACATATTTTTACTATGCTTTAAGTTCTAGTTACATGTGCACAACGTGCAGGTTTGTTACATATGTATACATCTGCCATGTTGGTGTGCTGCACCCATTAACTCCTCATTTACATTAGGTATATCTCTTAATGCTATCCCTCCCCCCTTCCCCCACCCCAAAACAGGCCCTGGTGTGTGATGTTCCCCTTCCTGTTTCCAAGTGTTCTCATTGTTCAATTCCCACCTATGAGTGAGAACATGTGGTGTTTGGTTTTTTGTCCTTGCGATAGTTTGCTGAGAATGATGGTTTCCAGCTTCATCCATGTCCCTACCAAGGACATGAACTCATCAATTTTTATGGCTGCATAGTATTCCATGGTGTATATGTGCCACATTTTCTTAATCCAGTCTATCATTGGTGGACATTTGGGTTGGTTCCAAGTCTTTGCTATTGTGAGTAGTGCCGCAATAAAAATATGTGTGCATGTGTCTTTATAGCAGCATGATTTATAATCCTTTGGGTATATACCCAGTAATGGGATGGCTGGATCAAATGGTATTTCTAGTTATAGATCCCTGAGGAATTGCCACACTGACTTCCACAATGGTTGAACTAGTTTACAGTCCCACCAACAGTGTAAAAGTGTTCCTATTTCTCCACATCCTCTCCAGCACCTGTTGTTTCCTGACTTTTTAATGATCACCATTCTAACTGGTGTGAGATGATATCTCATTGTGGTTTTGATTTGCATTTCTCTGATGGCCAGTGATGATGAACATTTTTTCATATGTCTGTTGGCTGCATAAATGTCTTCTTTCAAGAAGTGTCTGTTCATATCTTTCACCCACTTTTTGATGGGGTTGTTTGTTTTCTTGTAAATTTGTTTGAGTTCTTTGTAGATTCTGGATATTAGCCCTTTGTCAGATGAGTAGATTGCAAAATTTTTCTCCCATTCTGTAGGTTACCTGTTCACTCTAATGGTAGTTTCTTTTGTTGTGCAGAAGCTCTTTAGTTTAATTAGGTCACATTTGTCAATTTTGGCTTTTGTTGCCATTGCTTTTGGTGTTTTAGACATGAAGTCCTTGTCCATGCCTATGTCCTGAAAGGTATTGCCTAGGTTTTCTTCTAGGGTTTTTATGGTTTTAGGTCTAACATTTAAGTCTTTAATCCATCTTGCATTAATTTTTGTCTAAGGTGTAAGGAAGGGATCCAGTTTCTGCTTTCTACATATGGCTAGTCAGTTTTCCCAGCACCATTTGTTAAATAGGGAATCCTTTCCCCATTGCTTGTTTTTGTCAGGTTTGTCAAAGATCAGATAGTTGTAGATATGTGGTATTATTTCTGAAGGCTCTGTTCTGTTCCATTGATCTATATCTCTGTTTTGGTACCAGTACCATGCTGTTTTGGTTACTGTAGCCTTGTAGTATAGTTTGAAGTCAGGTAGCGTGATGCCTCCAGCTTTGTTCTTTTGGCTTAGGATTGACTTGGCAATGCAGGCTCTTTTTTGGTTCCATATGAACTTTAAAGTAGTTTTTTCCAATTCTGTGAAGAAAGTCTGGTAGCTTGATGGGGATGGCATTGAATCTATAAATTACCTTGGGCAGTAGGGCCATTTTCACGATATTGATTCTTCCTACCCATGAGCATGGAATGTTCTTCCATTTGTTTATGTCCTCTTTTATTTCGTTGAGCAGTGGTTCGTAGTTCTCCTTGAAGAGGTCCTTCACATCCCTTGTAAGTTGGATTCCTAGATATTTTATTCTCTTTGAAGCAATTGTGAATGGGAGTTCACTCATGATTTGCCTCTCTGTTTGTCTGTTATTGGTGTATAAGAATGCTTGTGATTTTTGCACATTGATTTTGTATCCTGAGACTTTGCTGAAGTTGCTTATCAGCTTAAGGAGATTTTGGGCTGAGACTATGGGGTTTTCTAGATATACAATCATGTCATCTGTAAAGAGGGACAATTTGACTTCCTCTTTTCCTAATTGAATACCCTTTATTTCTTTCTCCTGCCTGATTGCCCTGGCCAGAACTTCCAACACTATGTTGAATAGGAGTGGTGAGAGAGGGTATCCCTGTCTTGTGCCAGCTTTCAAAGGGACTGCTTCCAGTTTTTGCCCATTCAGTATGATATTGGCTGTGGGTTTGTCATAAATAGCTCTTATTATTTTGAGATACATCCCATCAATACCTAATTTATTGAGAGTTTTTAGCATGAAGGGCTGTTGAATTTTGTCAAAGGCCTTTTCTGCATCTATGGAAATAAATAATGTGGTTTTTGTCTTTAGTTCTGTTTATATGCTGGATTACGTTTATTGATTTGCATATGTTGAACCAGCCTTGCATCCCAGGGATGAAGCCCACTTGATCATGGTGGATAAGCTTTTTGATGTGCTGCTGGATTCAGTTTGCCAGTATTTTATTGAGGATTTTTGCATTGATGTTCATCAGGGATATTGGTCTAAAATTCTCTTCTTTTGTTGTGTCTCTGCCAGGCTTTGGTATCAGGATGATGCTGGCCTCATAAAATGAGTTAGGGAGGATTCCCTCTTTTTCTATTGATTGGAATAGTTTCAGAAGGAATGGTACTAGCTCCTCCTTGTACCTATGGTAGAATTAGGCTGTGAATCCATCTGGTCCTGGACTTTTTTTGGTTGGTAAGCTATTAATTATTGCCTCAATTTCAGAGGCTGTTATTGGTCTATTAAGAGATTCAACTTCTTCCTGGTTTAGTCTTGGGAGGGTGTATGTGTTGAGGAATTTATCCATTTCTTCTAGATTTTCTAGTTTATTTGTGTAGAGGTGTTTATAGTGTTCTCTGATGGTAGTTTGTATTTCTGTGGGATTGGTGGTGATATCCCCTTTATCATTTTTTATTGCATCTATCTGATTCTTCCCTCTTTTCTTCTTTATTAGTCTTGCTAGCAGTCTATCAATTTTGTTGATCTTTTCAAAAAACCAGCTCCTGGCTTCATTGATTTTTTTTGAAGAGTTTTTTGTGTCTCTATCTCCTTCGGTTCTGCTCTGATCTTAGTTATTTCTTGCCTTCTGCTAGCTTTTGAATGTGTTTGCTCTTGCATCTCTAGTTCTTTTAATTGTGATGTTAGGGTGTCAATTTTAGATCTTTCCTGCTTTTGCTTGTGGGCATTTAGTGCTATAAATTTCCCTCTACACACTGCTTTAAATGTGTCCCAGAGATTCTGGTATGTTGTGTCTTTGTTCTCGTTGGTTTCAAAGAACATCTTTATTTCTGCCTTCATTTTGTTATGTACCCAGTAGTCATTCAGGAGCAGGTTGTTCAGTTTCCATGTAGTTGAGCGGTTTTGAATGAGTTTCTTAGTCCTGAGTTCTAGTTTGATTGCACTGTGGTCTGAGAGACAGTTTGTTATAGTTTCTGTTCTTTTACATTTGCTGAGGAGTGCTTTACTTCCAATTATGTGGTCAATTTTGGAATAGGTGTGGTGTGGTGCTGAGAAGAATGTATATTCTTTTGATGTGGGGTGGATAGTTCTGTAGATGTCTATTAGGTCCACTTGGTGCAGAGCTGAATTCAATTCCTGGATATCCTTGTTAACTTTATGTCTCATTGATCTGTCTAATGTTGACAGTGGGGTGTTAAAGTCTCCCATTATTATTGTGTGGGAGTCTAAGTCTCTTTGTAGGTCTCTAAGGACTTGCTTTATGAATCTGGGTGCTCCTGTATTGGGTGCATATATATTTAGGATAGTTAGCTCTTCTTGTTGAATTGATACCTTTACCATTATGTAATGGCCTTCTTTGTCTCTTTTGATCTTTGTTGGTTTAAAGTCTTTGTATCAGAGACTAGGATTGCAACCCCTGCCTTTTTTTGTTTTCCACTTGCTTGGTAGATCTTCCTCCATCCCTTTATTTTGAGCCTATGTGTGTCTCTGCACGTGAGATGGGTTTCCTGAATACAGCACACTGATGGGTCTTGACTGTTTATCCAGTTTGCCAGTGTGTGTGTTTTAATTGGAGCATTTAGCCCATTTACATTTAAGGTTAATATTGTTATGTGTGAATTTGATCCTGTCATTATGATGTTAGCTGGTTATTTTGCTCATTAGTTGATACAGTTTCTTCCTAGCATCAATGGTTTTTACGATTTGGCATGTTTTTGCAGTGGCTGGTATTGATTGTTCCTTTCCATGTTTAGTGCTTCCTTCAGGAGCTCTTGTAGGGCAGGCCTGGTGGTGACAAAATCTCTCAGCATTTGCTTGTCTGTAAAGGATTTTATTTCTCCTTCACTTATGAAGCTTAGTTTGGCTGGATATGAAATTCTGGGTTGAAAATTCGTTTCTTTAAGAATCTTGAATATTGGCCCCCACTCTCTTCTGCCTTGTAGAGTTTCTGCCGATAGATCAGCTGCTAGTCTGATGGGCTTCCCTTTGCGGGTAACCGAACCTTTCTCTCTGGCTGCCCTTAACATTTTTTCCTTCATTTCAACTTTGGTGAATCTGACAATTATGTGTCCTGGAGTTGCTCTTCTTGAGGAGTATCTTTGTGGCATTCTCTGTATTTCCTGAATTTGAATGTTGGCCTGCCTTGCTAAGTTGGGGAATTTCTCCTGGATAATATCCTGCAGGGTGTTTTCCAACTTGGTTCCATTCTCCTCGTCACTTTCAGCTACACCAATCAGACATAGATTCGGTCTTTTCACATAGTCCCATATTTCTTGGAGGCTTTGTTTGTTTCCTTTTATTGTTTTTTCTCTAAACTTCTCTTATCCCTTCATTTCATTCATTTGATCTTCAATCACTGATACCCTTTCTTCCAGTTGATCGAATTGGCTACTGAAGCTTGTGCATTCGTCACGTAGTTCTCGTGCCATGGTTTTCAGCTCCATCAGGTCCTTTAAGGACTTCTCTGCGTTGGTTATTCTAGTTAGCCATTCGTCTAATGTTTTTTCAAGGTTTTTAACTTCTTTGCGATGGGTTCGAACTTCCTCCTTTAGCTCGGAGAAGTTTGATCATCTGAAGCCTTCTTCTCTCAACTCGCCAAAGTCATTCTCCGTCCAGCTTTGTTCCATTGCTGGTGAGGAGCTGTGTTCCTTTGGAGGAGGAGAGGTGCTCTGATTTTTAGAATTTTCAGTTTTTCTGTTCTGTTTTTTCCCCATCTTTGTGGTTTTATCTACCTTTGGTCTTTGATGATGGTGACGTACATATGGGGTTTTGGTGTGGATGTCCTTTCTGTTTGTTATCTCCACAGCACTTCTAAGACACTTAGCACCATTCCAAGCCTAAGAAGTGTTAAGATTGTTACCTTATACGACTTTATGTCTGTGTTTCATATTGCTTTCAATTGACCAAAATTGTTAAGTTAAAATCTATGAACATGCAAATAGTCTTGCTTTTTGTCACCATCTTCTGTCTGTATTTGCCAATATTTAAAGAAACAATGTCTTATAATAACACTCTCTTTTTTGAAAAACAGCCTTCCATGTAATTCTCTTTTTTCTCTAAGAAGTGTTGGCAGCACAACCTTTTTGTTCTGCAATATTTGGTTCTTTATGCCATCATCAGGAAATAATCAACATTTTCCGGTTTTCAGGAAAGAGAAAATAATCCATGGAGAGTCCATAGAGTGTCATGATCTTTGGGATCTTTTCTTATTCTGACTCATGAAACCCTCACTTAGAACCCAAGTAGCTCGATCTCAGTCACCAAGTATTAATAGGTATGTCATAGACTAAGAGAGACAGCAGCCCTTCAGAAGGAATCACAAATGCCAACAAGCTAGCATGAGAGTGAACAGGGAACAGAAAAGGGGATAGAGGGAGGAGGACTGAGCACAGCTGAAGTCTAATAGAGCGGAATCATTACCAAAGGAGAGGCCAGGATACCATCATGTAATACAAAGAACTTAGAACAAGGGCTTACTATGTGCTGCATGCTTGTATTAACATTTTTAATTTTCACAGTAGCCCCATGAGCTAGGTGTTCTAGTGAGCCTCATTTTATAGATGAAGAAAATAAATCGCAAAAAGATTTAATAAATTGCCCAAGGTTACACAACTAGCAATGGGTGGAGCTGGGATTCAAACCTATGGGGCTTCTGGAATCAAGACACTAGACTGTACCACTTCTTCCTAGAAGAATGTAGTCTCCAGGATTTACATGATGAACAGGCTGGAACAAGGGACTAAGCTGGATAGAGGAGTTCTTGGGGCAAAGTGTCAGGAGCATGTCTATCTCTCCTCCTGCATATGGTTTGTCTTAAAGTGACTCTATTCACCAACCATTAACTGATAAAAGCAACACCAATTAACTGATTCTGCCCTGATCCACTTTTTTAGAGTATCAAACAATAACCAGGACAATGTACCTCTTACTTCTCAATAGGGCATATTTGTAAGCCAGTGACATTTCTTAATAATAGACATGATGATATTAATAATATTGAGCACTTTCATGTGCCAAGAGCTGTGATTCAATTGCACAAAATAGGCTTATTTCTGAGTAACAACTTTGTGTATGTATACTTGATGTACGTGTGTGTGTGCATGCGCACGCATCTTTAATTGATATGGGTTTATTTTCAGAGTTAATTAAAATAGTTCTTCCTTATGGCCAGCAGAAAACTACTGCCAGCACAGAATACACATGAAAGCTAATATATGTAAAATCATAAAATTTCAGCACTACATCATAGGTTTATAAATTTCCCAGAGATGATGCAATTATACTCTTTTATAAGAAGTATGGTTTCTAAACTAGAATTCAAAAAATTTGGCTCTGTAATACAGCATTCTTATTCTACTGGATGGTAGAAATGTAGCCAGAAAAGAAAGAATATTTTATATTTTATAAATTGACAGAAATGAATTTTTGGCAGGTTGAGTCTACAAAGGTTTTAAACGAAATGATATACTTACAAGTCAAAGTGCTACTGTCCTTGTTGGAGTTAGCAGATGGTGACAGGCTCCAGCCTCCCTACCTTTCATTGTCATTTCCTTTTAAGTCCTCTGTTCTCCATCAAGTCATTGCCTGTCAAATGTGCTGCCACATTTTTCCTTTCTTACGCTGAGGCCACCAATGATTGATTGAAGGTTACTAGTGTCTCTACAGCTGCCATTGTCTCCACATTGTTGCTGAAAAGTCCGAGGAAATGACTCTGTATCACTACCTCTTTTACCTGGGCCTCAAGAGTGTTGCCTTGTGTTTTCATTGTCTCAGAGACTTGAAGGAAATCATTGTCTTGTCATGTTGTTCCCACTGGCTTCCGTGTCAGGGCTCAGACACATAGTGCAAATCCCTGGGATTAGTATTGGAAAATTACAAGATGTGTGTGCCATAAAGGGCAAGAACAAAGGACCATGTGGGCCACACACACTCGTAATTACCCCACTGTTTCCACACCAGCCATGGCCTTGAATCTTTCGTGAATTCAACATCTTTCTCAATGGAAGTTCCTTTCTAGGGTGTTTCTCAGACTCGCAGAATAGACTCTGGAAGGTCTGTCCCTCTAGACACTAAATATATACCTACACATGTCTAAATTCTAAAATGAACCTAGCAGAGGTGGAAACAAAAATATGCCACTTACCTACATTTAATCACAAAGCATTTTGCTACAGCTGTTATGTTTTTGACTAGTTCAAAGAATCATGGAAACTTACACACCGGAAAGAAAAAAGTACATGCTTGACATTGTCTTTTCCAACTAAGGCTAAGAAAGATTAAATGTCTACATTGTCTTACGGCTTTTTCTGCAATTCAGAGATTCATCTAAAGAGTTAGAATAAACATACAATTTTGTAAATCACGATATTAATTAAAGATAGCTAAATTCTTTGGAGTACCTCTAAACATATTTCTGATGGTCTGTGACACCTGGACATGAAGAACTACAGCTTTCTTTCAAGTGAAATTTTAATCACCATTGATAAGTCAAAGGATTCATTTTACCATGGAATCTGCAACATTTCCTTATTCTCAATTGTTGGTCCTTCTTATTCCTTCTTAAAGACTCTGCTCTGACCCCTTGGGTTTCTTCCTATATACTGTCTCCTTCAGTGAAATCACCTACTTTTGTGGCTTCTGTTGCCACCAGTCTTCAGATGATCATCAAATCTACATTTCTAACTCTCTTTTCCACTGCTGCCTCATTTTGGTCTCTAAGACATCACTTTTCTGTCCTGTCATCACTCAACCTAAACCAAGCCAAACTTATCTCTCAGGTTTAATAACCAGATTTCCCAATTCTCCTGACTGTGTCCTTAACATCATCATGATCTCAGACTACTATGTTAGGCATCTGGGTGAATGTTCGTTTTTTCACTTTATTTTTTTCTCTCTTCTTCAACTGGTAGTAAATTCTATAGATTCTTCCTTAGATACTTTTCTGTGTTTGTCCTCTCCTCTCAGTTCATATGATTCTCACCCCAATCCATGCTCTCCTCACTTCAATCCAGGCTCCTTCTGTTGTGTCAAAAACAAATGCCCTGAAGCCCTCCCCTTTTCACAAATCCACCTGATACCCTACTTCCTAAAATGTTTCTTTCATTATCCTATTATAAGGATGGGAAAAGAAAAAAAACAAATTTATTGGGCAGCTAACCATGACTTTGGCACTTGACACATGTTACCCCATGAAGTCCTCTCGATTAATAGCATGAGGCAGTTATGAGGATTCCTGTTTCATAGGTGATGGAAGCGAGCATCAGAAAGATTAATAACCTGCTCAAGATCACCCATAGCTAATGATCAGTGGAGCCAATATTTGAACTTGTGCTATCTCAATTCCACTCCGCTGCTTCAATATCTTGTCATGGATCCTCATTATCTAGTGCACTGGTCATCAAGCCTTTATGTTTTGAGTATCTACAGTACATAAGGAAGTACAAGGTATATATAAAAAAAAAAAAAGATCAGGAAGAACAAGATCTTCCCTCCAGGACTTTACAGTCTAGGAGGAAAGGGAATTTGTGAGAATTTTTATGTTTTGTTCCCTGTTGTAACTTCAGCACCCAGAAACATTCAGTATTCACTTCCCAGGTCTGGTGAAACAAATTATCAGAATCAAGGTGGCTTAAAATAACAGAATTGTATTCTCTCATAGTTCTGGAGGCTAGAAGTTCAAAACCAAGGTGTCATCAGGACTGGTTCCTTCTGGAGGCTCTGAGAAAGCAGCTGCTCCAGGCCTCTCTCCCAACTTCTGCTATTCCTTGGCTTGTAGCTCCAACACTTTACTCTCTGCTGCCTTTGACACATGGCCTTCTTCCCTCTGTCCCTCCATGTCTTTGTCTCTCTATGACAAAATCTTCCCTTCCTTATAAGGACACCAGTCATTGGATTTAGGGATGCATCCTAATCCAGTACGATGCATCTCAACTTGATTGCATAGGCAAGGAAGCTATTTTCAAATAAGGTCACATTCCCAGGTTTCAGACGAACATGAATTTGGGGAGGTCATTATTCAACCAGTCTACTACAGTGCCTAACATAATAGCCATTCAATAAATATTTGTTGAATACAGAACTGATACAAAATAGGAAGTGTTATAAGGGAGAAGACATTTTAAAAAATCACATTGGCATTTCTGACTGGTTTTAAAATCTGTCCATAATTTTCGTAACAATCTTACCTCTCACTACACTCTAACACAAAACTTGTCGATTGGTCTGATTTCCTCCCTGACCCTCATATTCCCATTCCTAATCCACTAAATACATACAAGCATGCCTTATTATTGCTCTCTCAAATTCCTTTGCTTATGTTGCTTCCTTAGCTTAGATACTTGCTTCTTCCTCCCAAGCGATCCATCTCCTCTTTATCTTCCAAGGCAAGTTAAAATAGCATAACTTTCATGAAGCTTTTCCATGTATTACCCGTGTCCTCATGTTATGACACCTCCTTCTCTAAACCTTTCATTACAGTTGCATTTTGCTCTGTATCACTTGGAGTTTCAGTTACCTATCAGTGTGGAACAAACTACCCCCAAACTCAGCTTACAAATGCACGTTGCTCTTTGTCATTGTTCTGTATAGTTCTTTGGCTGGTCTCACCTGAGGTCACTCATGTGGCTGCACAAGCATGAGTGTCAGCTGAGCAGAAAGATCCTAGATGACCCCACCCACATGTCTGACAGCCGGTGCTGGTATTGGTTACGGCATCTCCATTTTCCTCCATGGGCCTCTCATCCTCCAGCTAGCTAGACCAACTTCATCCTGTGGAAGTCCCAGGACAGAGTGCTAAGCCAGTTACGGTGGAAACCACAATGCATCTAAACACCTAGGCTCCAGAACTCAACATAACCTCACATCCGCCTTGTTCCATTTGCCAGAATAAATCACAAAACCAGCCTAGACTCAAGGGTCAGGGAAATTAGTCTCCATCTCTTGGTGAGATGAGCAGCAAAGTCACTTTGCAGAGGAAAATGGGAAGAGAAGGGGAGAAAGGGTGTGGTCATCTTTGAAAACAATATACAACACTTAGAAAATAATGACATCTGCATAACCGTCTTTTATTGCTCTCCAAGTACACATGTTTAAACCTAACTGCTTCCCAAGTTGTGATACAAGCTCCTCGAAATCGAAATTCAAAACACATAGCTCTGTTGAAACTCCTTAAATGCTTACTACTGACATGAGCACATTTTATGCTTTGCTAGACACTATTCTAAGTATGTACTGGCATTTTAGCCTAAGTATATTAAGTAATTTAATTCTCACAATGACTACATGAGGTAGATACTATTATTATCCCCCTTTTACAAAGAAGACAGGAGAGGCAGAGTGAAGTTAATTATCTTTCTCAGTTTCTACAGCTACCAACTGAAAGGCTGGTAGTCAAACCCAGGCATTCTGGCTCCAGATTTTAAGCTTTTAACTAATAAGCTTTATTTGTATTGATATTATGATGATATAAAGTATCGTCATTCTATTATATCTATACAAGTATATTTCACTCAAAACTACCTGGAAAATATTTCAGGGTGATTTCTACGATGAATAGACAGAAAAGTCAAATGATGTATTTCCAGATAGACTGGTTTCTATCTAAAATCATGAGCTATTTTTGAAGAAAATATATACAAAGACATCTAATAATCACAGAAATCATACCTGAAGTTAAATCTGCCCTTTCTTTCTCTCATCCTATTCCTCTAAGATCTCCCATCATGATGTGAACACCTGGCCTTTTTTTTGGTGTATTTACAGGACAAACTTCCAGTTAGTAATATCCTCTATGAATAGTGTTTTATCTGGGCTTTGGTCATATCCTCCTGCTGTTCACATTAGCAGATTAGCACATGTCACAAATGAGACCCATACTCATGTGGGCCAGTTAACATGCCTCCATTTCATTTCCCTCTTAATGTGCTTGCCCCTAGTTACAAGCAGGATTAGGTACAAGAGACCATCTATAATTGTTTCTCGGGAAAATAAAAGTGTATGTATTTATGGTAGGTCAGTTTTCATCACCCTCATGTACTAGGTTTGTTTTGTGTTAACTGCTTCAAGTGGCAGGACCTGATGCTATGGATGCCAGAAGCTAAGTGAACCCAGCAATGAAACACTTCTGAATCTTGTTCATTCCTTTGTAGATATTCAGCATAACATATTCTCCTCAAGGAAACAAAACAGTCTTGACCTGCTATATATTTCTCTAATAGATATTCTATTTTTTTTCTGTTGCTTCCAGATACCTGTGATGTCCCCAGTTTTCCTTATGACTTCTTGCCTATAAGCAAGGGTACACATAGTAATAAAATCTAGATAAGATGTTTCATGCACCACATGGAGTACCAGGAGTCTAGACATGGTCTATCTGATATTACTTTAAACCATGGGATAATCATGTAGACAAAACCCTTTTTAAAAAGAGCAGCAAGAATTGGAAGAGCCTTTAGAATTCACAGTAAAATGTAGGTAAAGTTCTCTCTGTAAGTCAAGCATGAACAGGGATTTTGTCTAACTCTCTCAGCATGGTGGAGGTGATGTTCTTAATAAAATCAAGGAGACTTCTTAGAAAATAGTTGTTACGTGGCTAGCACCTGTAATCTCAGCACTTTGGGAGGCCACGGTGGGTGAATCACTTTAGGCCAGGAGTTCGAGACACCAGCCTGGTGAACATGGTGAAACCCCATCTCTACTAAAAATACAAAAATTAGCCAGGTGTGGTGGAACACGCCTGTAGTCCCAACTACTCAGGAGGCTGAGACAGGAGAATTGCTTGAACCTGTGAGGTGGAGGTTGAAGTGAGCCAGGATCATGCCACTGCACTCCAGCCTGGGTGACAGAGGGAGACTCTGTCTCAAAAAAAAAAAAAAGTTGTTATGGGTTGAATTGTGTTGCCCACAAAAGATGTTTAAGTCCTAACTCCTAGCTCCTGTGAATGTGACATTATTTGGAAAGAGGGTCTTTGCATATGATTAAGTTAAATTGTGCTCATTAGAGTGGACCCTATGTCTTTACAAAAAAGGGGAAATTTGGACACAGACACAGACATGCCCAGAGGGAAGATGATATGAACACATAGGAAGAAAATAGCCGTATACAAGCCCAGGGACACTGAAGATTGCCAGTAAACTACCAGAAACTAAGACAGAGGAACGGAACAGATTCTTTCACACAACCCTCAAAAGGAACCAACCCTGCTGACACCTTGATTTCAGACTTTTAACCTCCAGAGCTATGAGACAATAAATTGTATTGTTTAAGCTGCCCAGCTTGCAATCATTTATTATGGCAGCCCCAGGAAACCAATACAATAGTCTTCATACATTCTCTGTTACTTCAGGGCCTATATTAGTCATAGCGAATTGTGGGTAAATTCTGGGACTAGCACCAAGGTGCCAATTATTTAGGAAACAAAGAAATCATTTAACACAAGTAGAATCATTATTTTCCTCTCATTTCCTTCCACCTCTGTATTTGTAAAAGAAATTTCATACTATAGGTTAATATAAGGTTAACCTTAACCTTAACCTTATCTTCATGAAGCCATGGCTCTGGCTCCTGTTTTCAGGAAGGAGAACAATTTTCCACCTGTTTTCATTTAATGAGCATAATTTCATTTAATACTTGTTCTATATTTTATACTCATATAAGAAATATGGAAAACATGTTAAAAATGAGAATAAAATCCTATCTTTAAAGAGTTTATAATTATTTGGGGGTAAGCAGGCACTGATCAAATTAAAAACCAATTAAAGGTAATAGCTAATGGATTTCTAAATTGAGCAGTATAAGAATACTGTGAAATTCAACAATTGTGTAAAAATCACATAGGAAAACTGTCATCTTTTAAAATGGTATACTTAATATGTACAAGCATAATATATAATATTCCCAAAAAGAAATAAACTTAAAATCAGCTTCATTTTAAAGGTTTAACTTGCTCTATCTCTTCACTCTTATCTAACAGGATCTTGAATACAGTAGTGATTTGGTGTCCACGTAGTCTAAATATCCATGAACAATACCTAGAGCAGTGTTCCTGACTCTGGACTTAACCCAGCTGACAAAAATGATTAATTGAAAACAACTAAAACCATAATGTGGAATGTGAACTATATAGTGTTTTCCTTTCCAGTGAATTTATTAAATATTCTATATTATTACTATGTACTAAACCACAAATAATATGCTTTACTAGAAGCTTCTTAAAGGCAGGGAATGTCTTATTTCCACCCATGGTCCAGAGCTTTCAAAAATGTTGATTTAATAAACAACAAATAATAGAATAAAATGTGCTTCTGATATTAACTCTAGACTAAGGAGCACATTTACACTCTTAGCCAATTTTTCTGGTGCAAAACATTTTTTTCTTCTTTTTATGTTTATTGATTTCTATTGATCCTCAGTGTGTGGCCTACATTTCTCTTGTCTCACACCATTCAGTGCTGGGTTATTGATTCCCTGCATCAGTGTTCTTAAAATTATTGGCAGAAAATTCTAAGTCTTAGCTGATGTGCTTATTCAAAGTTTACTTTAAGTACAGAACCATTATCAACTATATTGTGGGGGAGACTCTGGTACACTCCAGCATGTTCAAGTACAAAGTTATTTTGGAGGTATGCTTTTATTTTTGTTTTTGTAACTGCAAGGCAATACCCATCAGTAGATCAAGAAATTAACCCAATAGGTGGAGACCAGCTATTTTGGAAGGTAAAGAGGTGGAGGGAGGGAAAGGAAATGGAGAGAAAGGGAAGGGATGGGAAAGGAAGAGAAGGGAAGGGAAAAGGAAAAAGGAAAGGAAGGGGAAGGAGGAAAAGGAAAGGAAAGGAAAAAAGAAAGGAGCTTATGTATTTCGAACTTAGAACCACAGCCAAAAAAAATTTTTGAAAGAAGGAAGGAAGGAGAGGAAGGAAGGAAGGAAGGAAGGAAGGAAGGAAGGAAGGAAGGAAGAAAGAAAGAAAGAAAGAAAGAAAGAGAGAAAGAGAAAGAAAGAAAAAAAGAAAGAAGAAAGAGAGAGAGAGAGAGAAAGAGAGAAAGAAAGAAAGAAAGAAAGAAAGAAAGAAAGAAAGAAAGAAAGAAAGAAAGAGAAAGAAAGAAAGGCGAGCAAGCAGGCCATCGATATGAAAGGACAGAGGGAGTCTTCCAGTCCAGGGCTCTGGGGAAAGGAAAAGCTTGGCTGGTGATATGATTTGGCTATGTTCCCACCTAAATCTCATCTTGAATTGTAGTTCCCATAATCCCCACATGACATGGGAGGGACCCAGTGGAAGGTAATTGAATCATAGGGGCAGGTTTTTCCTCTGCTGTTCTTGTGATAGTGAATAAGTCTTATGAGAGCTGATGGTTTTATAAAGGGCAGTTCCCCTGCACACGCTCTCTTGCCTGCTGCCATGTAAGATGTGCATTTGCTCCTCCTTCACATTCCACCATGATTGTGAGGCTTCCCCAGCTATGTGGAACTATGAGTCCATTAAACTTCTTTTTCTTTATAAATTACCCAGCCTCTGGTATGTCTTATTAGCAATGTAAGAACAGACTAATACAGCTGGCTAAAGGAAATGAAGGAGACACTGCATGAATGGCTGGAACAGAGACAGATATGGGGAGGGTGAGAGGAGAGGAAGCTGGGGAGATGGAAGTAGTAATACAAGACCTTGCAGGTTATGGTAAGAAATTTGGACTTAATTCTAAATGTAATAGAAGCCATTAAAGGGCTTTTAGCAGGAGAAGGACATGAAAAGGCTCAAATTCTTAAAAGAACACTGTCAATGTGGTGTGGTCAATGAGCTAGAGATTAAAAAAACGTAGTTAAGAAGACACAGGGAGACTGCAGGGGTGATTTCAGTATCCAGGTGAGAGATGATTATGGCTGGACTAGGGCTGTGCTTGAGGAATGGGCAGATGATTTTGGAGATAGACTGACTGGACTTTGTGATGGATTATATTTAGGAAAAAAAAAAGATGGAGGAATCAAGAATGACTCCAAAGGTTCGGATTCAAATGATGACACTTCTGCTGGGCTGCACTAATCATCAGAAACTTCCCTCACAGGGTTGCCTGGAGCCCCAGCTACTCCTAAACAAGGTAAGGGAATGAGGGAGTGGTCAGCAGAAGGAAACTCCATATTTTATTTAATCAAATTACATACACTTTGTTGCATTTGACTTGGCAACTCCAAAGTGAACTGCTGCCAAGTCAAATTTTTATCCAGATAATGAACTGGATCTATTGCTACCACATCTGCTTCCTGTTTGTTGTAAGCAGAGAAGTTATCCAAGGTAGAACAATAGACAACATCATAGAAAGGGAAGCAGCTGGTATTGCCTGCTCCAATAGTGAGAAATCTGAGATGGGAAAGCCATATTTTTTTAAAAGTCAGAGAAGACTAAGATGTAAGATAATGTTACCCTTCTCATTTTTGGAGGGATGTCATTCAGCATTAAGAAGAAAGCAGGAGTCTGAGAGAATGTAATTGATAGAAAGTCAGGGAGATCAAGAACTGTGCCACCTGGAGCACTTCAGAACTCCCTAGGAAGCCAGACTCTCCTGTCTTATTTTAATATCTAGGGGCATCTGTACCAGTCTCCCTAAAGCATAAAGCATCTCTTTTTACAGTGGGGCAATAAAGCATTTAGACAACTGTTCAAAAAGGAGGCCA
Organism: Homo sapiens; assembly: GCF_000001405.40. Taxonomy (NCBI): domain Eukaryota; kingdom Metazoa; phylum Chordata; class Mammalia; order Primates; family Hominidae; genus Homo; species Homo sapiens. Next base: position 89,379,290 of record NC_000004.12, on the reverse strand, counting down.
CTGGATGGTTTCAAGCTTGCGTTTGCTGTACAGCTGAGGAGAAACATTTAGAATGTTCTACTTTTGTCACAATCCCTATATTTGACATCCTCATTTACACATAAAAAAAATTGAGGCTCAGAGAGGTTGAGATATGTGCCGAAGGTTATAAATCTAGTGAATGGTAGAGGTAGAATTTAATCCAGCTTGACCTGATTTTCATGTCCCAATGTTATTAATGAGAATGTGTCTCAAATAAATGAGCCAAGTAGAAAATTGAAGAAAAAAGTAGATCATTAATCAATAAATTTCCTAGTGTTTTTCACCTTAGCAGCCATTTCTGCAACTTTGTTTTAATAGTAATCACTCCTACTTTCTACTCACTAAAAATATACCATAAATATTATTTTCAAAGCACAAATATGAAATACTGAAGAAAAAAATTATCTCCAACAAGCAAAATATAAGAGGATTTCAAAAAGAGGGAGGAAAGGTAGAATTAAAAAATAAAAATATAATTATAATTTTATTTCTCAACATAAGCTCCATTAAGTTTATGACACTTTTGTAAGAGTGATACCAGCCTTTTAGTCCATCCCTATAGAGCTGAGGGTCCTGGGACTTTAACCATGTTGATGCAGGCTTTTTTATATTATTAAAGGAAGAAAAATGTGTGCCTCTTAAATACTTTTTAAGATTAGGGCAGGAAAAAGTTAAAAAAAGCCAATTCAAGACTATAAGGTGAATTCCTAATGATTTCCATCAAAACTCACATAATTGTTCTTGCTTGATGAGAAGAATAAACAGTGACATTGTCATGGTGGAGAAGGACTCTCTGGTATAGCTTTCCCGGGCATTTTTCTGCTAAAGCTTTGGATGATTTCTCAAAACACTCTGATAATGAGCAGGTGTTTTCATTTGGGAGCCCTCAAGAAAGTCAACAAGCAAAGTGCCTTGAGCATCCCAAAAAAGCTGATGCCATGACCTTTGCTCTTGGCTGGTCCCTTTTGCTTTGATGGGACCACTTCCACTTCTTGGTAGCCATTGCTTTGATTGTGCTTTGTCTTCAGGATTGTACTGGTAAAGCCATATTTCATCTCCTGTTACAATTATTTGAAAAAATGCTTCAAGATCTTGAGCCCGCTTGTTTAAAATTTCCATTGAAAGCTCTGCTCTTGTCTGCAGCTTACCTGGGCACAATGCTTTTGGCATCTATTGAGTGGAAAGTCTTCTCACCTTTAATTTTTCAGTCAGAATTGTGTAAGATGAACAACTGAGGTGTCTATGGTGTTGGCTTTTGTTTCCGCTGTTAATCATCAGTCCTCTTCAATTAGGACATAAACAAGCTTAATCTTATCCTTACAAATTATGCGGGTGGCCTGCCACTGTGGACTTCATCTTTGATACCACCTCATCTCTTCCTAAAAGGAGTTATCTATTTGTAAACTGCTGTTTTCTTTGAGTCATTGTTTCCCTAAACTTTTTTAAAGCATCAATGATTTCACCATTCTTCCACCTAAGTTTCACCATAAATTTTATGTTTGTTCTTGCTTTGATTTTAGCAGAATTCACGTTGCTCTGAATGGGACTCTTTTCAAACTTATGTCTTATTCTTGATAGTGCCTCAAACTAGATTCTATTCAGACATATTATAGCAAGTTAGTATAAGTTTATTTTGGTGCAAAAAAAGTTGAAACCTATGCATAATTTTGTCAAAATACACATTTACCTGAACTTTGTGAAGTCCTCTTATGCAATGGTAAAGGAAATATATAAATAGAAAATATATTTTAAATTAGATGACAGCTGGTATTCTTTGACATCTAGATTGAAGAATGAAATGTACATATTGCTTATTTTTAGGACAGCAAGCAATTAATCGCCTCCTTTCCAATAAAAAAAAGTCATGAAAATGAAAGTAAGAAAATTTCAAGATGATGGCTAGGCGCAGTCTATATTTCACTCTAATTATTGGTGTATTTGTTATTTCCTGGACTCACAGTATTCCCTGATGCCTTTGCTTTTGCTCAAGCTATTTATTCTCCCTATAATGCCCATGTTCTCTTTTATCTTTCGTAACTTCATGTACCAAAATTGGACCTATCTGCCATGACTACTGTAGGGGCCAAGGAAAATCTTTCCCTTTGTCCTCTGAAGGTTAGCTGAAAAATCAACTGACAAAAGGCAGATTAATTTGGAAAAGAGCATACAAATTTATTAATATGCACACAGGGGAGAAGCACATAGTGATTGTCCATCCCACAACAAGGTTTAGAAGCTCGTATACCATCTTGAGGTTACAGAAAGAGTGGGAGATGGATTGTAGCAAAACAGGTAGATAAGACCTGGGTAGCAAGGGGGTCTTGTAATGTAAATGAAATCTCACAGGTAGCAGGCTTCAGAAAGAATAGACAGTAAATATTTATTTTAGACCTTTAAAGGTATCAGACTCTCTTACTCCTTCCTAGATCCAGACAAGGGAAATCTTCAGAGAAAGCCTGGCTATATCAGTGCAGATTCTGCATAGATGCAAATCTCCCCTGCAAAAGACAGCTTTGCAGGATGACTTCTGTTTCCTGGCTCCCTAAACAACCATCTCAAAATATGTCAAAAATATATTTTAGGGTAAAATATTTTTATTTCTTTCATTACTCAAATGAGAGTTCTTCCATAGACACTTGCACCAATAACAGATATAAAAGAACATTTTCATTATTTTGTCTACCTTCCCACAACACCTTGCATTATACAGCATTTGTCTTGACTCTTCCTTCTCATGTGAAAGCCTCTTGAGAGCAGAAGTCATATTTTCTGCATCTTTGTGTCCCTTCCCTTTCCTCTGAATGCTAGGCATGCTTCACCATAAAGGGAATACAAAGAGGTCAGTATATGAAATCATCTCATTGTAACAGTGAGAGAAATCTGACATCACTGACTTCATCTTGCTTCTATCCTCACAGGCTAACTGCCTTTGCTTATTCCTACATGTAGGCCAAACTAATCACGGAAAGAGTTTAGATATTTTAACTTTAGAACTAATGACTATTTCTCTTTTGAAAGAGGCCTGTGAGGAGATAAGGAAGTATGCACACAACTAACAATTCTGTTCAAGATTTATAGAAACAAGGTGGACCTGAGAAGCAGTTAACCACAAAGAAGTTTTGCAACCTCTTCACACCACTCCTGATGCCCAGATGTCCATAGACACCAGTTACCTTTTGACTTTAACCCCCTCTTTGTTCCCCCCTCCCCTAACATAAAAGGAGCCTAAAATTCTATTAACTTAATGTGGTTCTTTAGGGCATTAGTCCTATATCTTCTTGGCTTACTAGCTCTCTGAAATAAAGTCACTTTACTTGCCTCAACACCTTGTCGCTCAACCTATTGGCTTTCTTGCAGCAAGGAGTATAAGCTTTGGACTCAACAGCATCATAAGGGCTTAAAACATTCTAAAAACTAGAATGCACAGAAAATTTTTAAAAGATACTTTTGGATTCTCATTGAAACTAGTATCATTGCTCTCCTGCAGAAGTAATATAGCCTTGAGTCTGATAAATTATCCCAAGGTAAATTTAATTTAGTCAATTAATCTTTTCTAGATAAAGAAAAAAAATTGACAGAAAGCCTCTATCGAGGACTCAGAGAATCTCCTGTGGGTCTATGGAAAGATATACACCAAGATAGTCAGAATATAGAACGCTTTCAGTGTCCACTGTTTGTCTTCTGAACAATTTCCCCTTCCTTGCTTTTTCTATTGTCTTTTAAAGAAAAATATCAAAAGCAAAATTAATTGATGGATTATTATTTAAAATAAAGGAGTAAAATAGTAACAAATAAGGGTATAGCAACAACACCTCCAACTTGGTAAACAAAATTGCCATAAGAATCCAACAAGAATCTTTATGGGAATTGGAAACGTTAAATAGGATATATCACATCTTGAATGTCAAATGAAGTTTAATTCAGAATTTATTCATAAGAGAGGATCATGGATAAAGCATTGAAGGCTAACTTCCTTGGTAGAAAGAAACCAGGAACAGATTTTAGAGACTCATAAACCTAATGATAACAGCACTCACAGAATTGGCAAGCACCCTGGGACTACACTACATGGCCAGTGGAAAGGAAAATCAAGTTGAGAATGGAAATGAGAGGAAGTAGAATCATTAGGAATAACAGTAATCATTAACATGCACTGAGCACTTACTATGTGCCAGGCACTGGGCTAAGGGCTTTATTTACATCATTTCATTCTCTTACCACCTAACTTGTCTCCGATTTTATTTTTTTCTCCGAAAGCTTATTCTCTTCATGCCTGAATGATGTTTTAAAATGTAAATATGAGCTTATCGCCCCCTCAAAACCCTCCAAAGCCTTCTAATCCCATCTTCCAAAGCCTTCTAATCACTCAAGATATGGTATATTTTATTTAATGATTTCCAATTCCCATAAAGATGCTTGTTGGATTCTTACAGCAATTTTGTTTACCAAGTTGGAGTAGTTGTTGCCATACCCTTATTTTCTTATTTTCTATTGTTTTACTCCTTTATCTTAAAGAATAATCTGTCAATTAATTTTGCTTTTGACATTTTTCTTTAAAAGGCAGTAAGAAAAACAAGGAAGGGGGAATTGTTCTGAGGACAAGAACATTATAGGGAGAAGAAATAGCTTGAGCAAAGCAAAGGCATCAGATGGCTTACTGGCATGAATGATCCAGCCACCAGCTGACCCCAAGTTCATTTTCTAAAATTTCGCAACCTCAGTGAGACTTCCACACTGTCCTTTCTAAATTATCACATCCATCTCTCTCTTTCTTTCTTTTTTCTCTTTTTTTTTCTTTTTTTTTTTTTTTTGACACAAGGTCTCACTCTCTCACCCAGGCTGGAATGCAGAGGTGTGATCTTGGCTCACTGAAACCTCTGCCTCCTGAGCTCAAGTGATCCTCCCACCTCAGCATCCCAAGTAGCTGGGACCGCAGGTGCACACTACCATGCCTGGATAATTTTGTGTGTGTTTTTTGTAGAGATTTGGTTTCACCATGTTGCTCAGGCTGGTCTCGAACTCCTGGGCTGAAAGCGATCAGCCTGCCTCAGCCTCCCAAAGTGCTGGGATTACAGGTGTGAACCCCCATGCCCGGCCTCATCCATCCCTTTTTCTATCCCCATACTCTACTTAATAGCACTTATCAGTACTTGAGATTATAGTATATAAAATCAATTATTATTCATCATGGTACTTATGTTCTATAAAGTTTCTGTGAATACTGCATTAGCAAACACTGAACCATTGCTCCTAAGAGAAATATAGGGTGAGGTTCCTATGAGTCTCTGGAGACAATATGTTTGTCAACTGATCGATGTATAACCTTGTTTTGTGTGTGTTTCTGTTGAAAGATGTGATTTAATACATATTGTTGATTCATTAACATTGAACTCCTCGCCAACAGCACTATAACTCATACCAGAAAGCAGCTTATCTAACACACATATTCTCTCTGTTTAAGGCACATCACAGCCTTGTTGTGCTTAGGAACACTAGACAGCACTTCAGCACTACTCTCGGGGGGCGGTGTAAACAGCAAAATCAACACAAAGCACAAAAATGTGAAAAATGTTGCACCAAGTAGAACACACAAAAAAGCCCACTTTACATTATGAGGGTTAAAACAAGAATGCAGAGAGCACAGCCTTGACTAACTTCAGCTGAGAATGTGTGCACAGAGTGACTCAAATTTTTTGTCATTCTGCGCCGATGTGTGAAAGACCACAAAGGTGTTATAATTGTTAATTTTGGAGATTACAAGTATACTTTAGCAAGTAGATGAATTAGCAAGCACAGAATCTGCAAATGATGAAGACTGGCTGTATTTATTCATTCATGTTGTATTATGTATCCCCCCTTTTTGATATCTAAGCAAGCTCTATAATAGCAAAGATGTTTTCTGGTTTGCTTTTACTTCAGCATCTAGACCAGCACTGTCCACAAAAAATGTAATGTGTGTGCACCACAAATGTGAGCTACTTATATAATTTTAAATGTTTGAGTAAATACATTAAAAAAGAAACATGAAATTAATTTTCATAACACTAATTTACCATAATATATCCAAAATATTATTTGAACATCTAGTAAGTAGCAAAGTATTAACATAATATTTTACTTCCTTTATTTCAAATCTTTGAAATGCACATATATTTTACACTTATAGCACACTTCAATTTGGACTAGACACATTTTAGGTACTCAATAGCTGCATGTGGTTAGTGGCTTATCATATTAGACAGCACAGGTCTAGAACAATGACTGGTACATACTAAGTCCCCAGTAAACATTGATGAGTGAATTCATTTATTAATTGCTTCTAAATCCCAGACACTGGGCCAAGAAGTTTACATCCTTTACATCACTTAATCCACACAGCCACCCTTCTGTTAGCTAGAGTTATCCTCATTTTACACAGTTAGTAATAGAGATGCACTAAATTGCCCACAGTCACATAGAATTCCAGAACAAGGAAGGGCTTGAATATCCAACCATCTGACCAAATCTAATGTCTCCAAATATGTCTTTGTTAAAAGGCACTAATACAGTTTTACTTACAATATCCATTAAAATATTAGTTGAAACATTTCTGACTATGGGAGGGACTACATGGTTCTAGAAGAATTTCAAGTTTGGCCAAATACAGAGTGCATAACTTACTATTTTAAAAACTAGGTAATGCTAATGAACATAATTATTATATGCCTGAGTGATGAAGCATATTGTCACCCAAGAGCCTATCTATCTGCTCTCTCCATAACTTACCAGAGACTAATTAGAAAGACAGTAGCAGTAGGCTTTGGGGCATGAAGCACCAGGCATCTTGCACTATTGTTGCTGACAACCTGAGATGCTTTGCACTATTGCAGGGAATGACGTGGAAAAAGGCATTGTTATCCTTGGAAACCACATGGTTCCCCCTCATTCTCAAAATCTCTGAAAGACCTTTCACCTTTTTCCTTGTACATGAAACAAACATTACATTTTACACAAATTTATGAAGTAAAAAATACTGCATGACATTTATTGAATGGCAATGTAATAATCAATTCACAATATTTACCTTCTTATGATTCCAAAAACAACTCAGGGCAGCCTAATCAATTAATAAGAATAACCCATCACTGCTTAACACAAACAACTTATTTTTTCTGCTCCAATCCTGCTTGCATAAAAATCTGCAAGATTAATCAGAAGTAATTTATTAGAGAGCAAAAAATGGAGACAAAAGAAGGTTACTCAGTCAGAGCAGCCACAGAATAATAAAGCTCATTTTGTTTCTGTTCAAATTGAAGAGCTCTTGGTATCAGACTAAAAACTGCAAATCATGTTTTCAATTTCCCCGAAGCCAGACTCTGATTACAGCATGTGTTACACCACTGGATTTCCTCGGTTGGCAGAATGTTACACACTCATAGAAAAAGTAACCTGGACACTTCAGTCCATGAAGAGGGCTCCACACTCCAGGCCTCTGCCTCTAAAATAAGCAACATGGAACAGGCGCTGCTACAGACCTTCAAGTGTACTCACTAAGTCATATTTTCCTACAGTGAAAGATCTTTTAAATAGAAAAGACAATCAGCACTGTTTTCCTAATTCACATATTGTTTCTGTGTTGGGTTTTTGTTTTCATTTTGCCTTAAATTGTCTCTCTCTGAATGTGGAATTCCAAAGAAATAAACCATATATGTCTACCAGATATCATCACCAAAGCAACTAGAGCTGAGCCACATGTTCACATTCGGGTTTAAAATATTCTAACATGATGAGAAGAAATGGTCCATCTTCTCCGAGAAGATCATAATGTTTTAGGGAAATATCTAAGAAACAAATGACTGGAGTTGCTGGAATTTCAATGCAAATGAGAGAGGTGTGCATTTAGAAGTGGCGGTGCTGAGAAAAATTTAGTCCAACATAGATTTTATTTTGATTCCATTGGTTTTGGAAAATTTCCCAGTATGAAACTAAAAAACAAGTCCCATGAAATTTGTTTTAAAAATTCAAATATGTATAAGGTGGCAAAATATATGCTATAATGTGACCGTTCAATAGGCAATTTTAGTCAGGACACAGAAAATAGAGCAGAGCCCAACAGGGGAGGAAAACATTGTTCCTTTGGAGGTCAGATAGTGAAAGTGGAAAGGAAGGACAAGCTAGCATGGTTGGAGGCCATAGGGAGGCCTAGAAGAGAAATGAAAACAGACAGCTCTGGAAGGATCAGCATTCCAAACCTGCACCAGCCTTGGCTGCAGAGTCACTGGCTAAATCGGCTACATGCCACAATGCCCAATCTGCATTTCCTTATGTTGATGATATCCCTCATTTAGCAATGTGTGTTCTGATATTCCTCACAAGACCTTCTGTAATATCTTCCCTAAGTCCTCTCTGTCAAAGTTATTGTGATCACCATGCATATAGCTGAGGTTTGAGAAGCTGTGCTGTGAATGTAAAATATACTTCTTTCAGACAAAGACTTTCCTCCATTATTCACTCATTCATTTACTAAATAAATATTTATTTATTTAGTAAGGCACATGTGCCTTCCATGTGCCAGTTACTGTTGGAGGGTCAGGCATACAGAAGTTTATGCCACAAACACAGCTCTTGACATTCTGGCACTTCCTTTCTTGATGGGGAAGACAGATATTAAATAAGACAACACGTAAATAATATAATTCCAGATGATGAAATACCAGTGTCGAGAATCAGATCCAGGCAGTGGTGTAGCTCAGACTGGTTAACTCTTTCAAATTCCTTAGAAGCCTTGAGGTCTCCCACCTTGCTCTAGCATGGATTAGATCTCATTTGATCTAACTTATACAGAGTATCCTGAATGTCGATGCCAACCCTACAAAAGAGTTGACACAAAGTAGCAATAAAATGCAGGGCAAAACTGATGACAGTATGATCAGGGAAGGGGACAGGATGACCAGGAAGCATGCTAAGAAAATAGACAGTGGTGGTGGTAGAGGCTGGAGGTTGTATTTTAAGTAGGGAGGTCAAGGAAGTCTTCTGAGGCACTGATACTTGAGAACAGAAGTCTCATGGTACAAAGCTCTGGAGGAAAACTGATAGAAGCAGAAGACTCTCGAGCCCAGATAGAGTTTCAGGTAGTCAAGGAAATGTAAGAAAGCCAAGGAGTTTAGATTATGATGAGTAAGGAGAATCAGCAAAAGAAGACGAGGTCAGAAGGCAGATCATATAGGATCTTGTACGCCATGGTAAGAAGTGGGGTGTTAATTTTAAATGTAGTGGAATGCCTTAGAGAGCATTAAATTGGAGTAAGTTGATGTGATTCAAAATGGTTAAACTCTTCAGATGAAGATGGCACAAAAAGAGGACAAAACCAACAATCATTTCTCTGTTGTAAGTTGACATCAGCCATGGAAGTAGAGAAAATTAGAAAAGGGAACAGGCAGATTATGCAAAAAGGCGTTGTAGAAAACATTTGAGAATTAACTGAAACCGGTGACCTAGGTCAAGTGATAGAGCAGTATTATGTAGTGCTCAGGGAAGATAATGGACTATCAACATGTCATGAAGTCTGCTGGGTCTTGTCAAACCTCCTGGCCATTGCTCACTCTTGCTGCTTCATGTGGGAGGAAATGCCACCTCCAGAAAAGACTAGAAAAACATCTTTAGTAACTAGGATGTGTTGGGATCAGAAATTGAAATGTTTAGATTGAAAGGCATTGATTCTCTGGTTACCTTCTGTAGCAGCTAGGGTGGAGTTTCCTTGGACCTTCCTTCAAGACATACTGCTGCAAGCTTCTCTCCTGCTGCAGTGCCTTCAGGTCCCCTGCAGAGACCCCTCTCTCTCACCTGCTGTCCCCAGGTAACCCGCAGCCAATGACATGCACGGTAGAGGGACTGAGACCTGCCAATTTCTACCCAATGTAAGACTCCTCTAATGGGTACTTTCTGCTCTAGAGAAACTGCCCAGTGGCTGGCCAAAATGCTCTCAAACCTGGCACCACACTCTGAACATCTTTCTACCCAATTCTCCTCCCACCATCCTTTCCTCTCACAGGATTCAGACCTGAATTGCCCTGTGACAGTTTTTCCTACTCCTGTTGCCGCTCCTCTTTATCTTTCACGGACAAAACTTATAATAAATCTCTCATATCCCTAACTCCATCTTGGCATCTGCTTCTCAGAGAACCTGACATGACACAGAAACTGACACACTGCCACTAAAAGTGGGAAGTGGAATGTGAATTGCAAGCAGAAATGTGGCCTTGTGGTGAAGAGCCTACATGCACTGTCTTTTGTCCCAGTATTTTGACACAATTATTCATACTAATAGGATAGAGGCACAAAGCCAAATGTTCTAGGAGCTACAGGAGCTTTTAGAAAACATGTTTGATGCATTCAAGGGGATATGAGAAAGAAGCACCTCTTAGGGAAAGAAGGAATTCATAGGAAGAGAAAGGCTTAAGATGAAAACAGTTGTGAAACAGGAACTGAATACTATGGGAAAATAATACGAAAATCCCCCAAATACAGCAACAAATTTAAAGTCAGCATTGGTGGCAATCAAAAAACAAAACATTAAAGGTGGAAAGCTGCATTAAATGATATTAACAACCAAATTAATAGATAAAATAAAATAAGAGAAAAAACAGAGAAGCCAACCTATAAATCATGCATGTTACTAAAGACCAAACATGAGAATAGGAAACGTAATAATAGTATATAAGAAAATCATTGCTGAACTGAATGGAAGCCTGTGTAGGTACAATGAAAACTTCCATTGTGTTCCATGGAAAATTAATTTTAATATAGATATATTATAGCAATTTTAATTTCAAGTGTAAAGAAAAAAGGTTAACAATCACCCAACCAAGGGGGGGGGGAAAGAGATTTACCTACAAAGCACAAAAATTAGGCTGGCTTCAACATATGTGGTAGCTAATCACCATATAAAATATAATCACTCTTACTGGTAATTAAATAAATTTGTAGCAAGTAGCAAAGTCTTACGTCTCCTTATGTTTTTAATGATGGAAAGGACTATGTTAAGTATTTTCCAAACTGCTCTTGAAAGTAGATTTTGTGACAAAATATTTTGGATTAATTTGGTTTCATTCATCAACATTTCACTTAATAATTGTACTTCTGGCAATCACATCTAATGAAATAATGTGGAATACAAACCAATATTTAGGCATAAAGATGTTCATTAAGTTGTCCTAGTAAAAATGGAAGCAATGTCAACATCCAAAATAAAGAAAACTTTAAATAAATGATAATACATGATTACAATGGAATACTTTGCAGCTTTTAAAATAATATTCATAAGAAATTTAAATAACAAGGAAATGTTTTAATATTATAATCTAACAATAAGAGAGAAAACAGGACGTAAAGCTATCTAGCTATCTATGTACAGGCCTACTTCAGAGATATTGTTAATTGAGTGCCAGGACACTGCAATAAGGCAAATATTACAATAAAACAAATCACTCAAACTTTTTGGTTTCCCAGTGCATCTGAAAGTTATGTTTACACTATACTATAGCCTATTAACTGTGCAATTTATTATATCTAAAACAACAATGTAAAAATCTTAATTTAAAAATACTTTATTGCTAAAAATTGCTAAAGATCATCTGAGCCTTCAGAAAGTCATAAACTTTTTGCTGGTGGAGGGTCTTGTCTTGATGTTGATGGCTGCTGACTGATCAGGGCGGTGGTTACTGAAGGCTGGGGTAGCTGTGGCAATTTCTTAAAATAAGACAACAATAAAGTTTGCTGCATCCATTGACTCTTCCTTTCATGAAAGATTTCTCTGTAGCTTGTGAGGCTGTTTGATAGCATTTTACCCACAGTAGAACTTCTTTCAAAATGGAGTCAATCCTCTCAAATACTACCACTGCTTTTCCAACAAAGCTTATGTAATATTCTAAAGTCTTTTTCGTCATTTTAACAATGCTCATGGCATCTTCACCCAGAGTAGATTCTATTTCAAGAAACCACTTCCTTTGCTCATCCATAAGAAGCAACCCCTCATTTGTTGAAGTTTTGTCATAAGATTACAGCAATTCAGTCACATCTTCAGGCTCCACTACTAATTCTAGTTCTCTTACTATTTCTACCATATCTGCAGTTACTTCCCCATCTTATGCCCCTCAAAATCATCCATGAGGATTGGAACCAACTTCTTCCAAACTCCTGTTAATGTTGATCTTTTGAGTTCCTCTCATGAATCAGGAATGTTCTGAATGGCAACTAGAATGGTGAATCCTTTCCCGAAGGTTTTCAATGTACTTTGCCCAGATCAAACAGAGGAATCACTCTCTATGGAAGCTATAGGTTTACAAATTGTATTTCTTAAATAAGAGAACCTGAATGTCAAAATTACTTCTTAATCCATGGACTGAAGAATGGATGTTCTGATAGAAGGCATGAAACAGCTTTAATCTTCTTGTACCTCTCCATCAGAGCTCTTGTTTGACCAGGTGCCTTGTCAATGAGCAATAATATTTTGATAGGCATCTTTTTTTTTCTGAGCAGTAAGTCTCAACAGTATGCTTAAAATATTCAGTAACCCACACTATGGACAGATGTGTTGTCACCCACACTTTGTTGTTCCATTTATTGAGCACAGGCAGAGCAAATTATCACATAATTTTAAAGAGCCCTGGGATATTCAGAATGGTAAATGAGCACTGGCTTCAACTTAAAGTCACCAGCTGCATTAGTCCCTAACAAGCTAATCAGCCTGTCCTTGGAAGCTTTGAAGCAAACCAGTGACTTCTTTCTAGCTATAAAAGTCTTGCATGGCATCTACTCCCAATAGAAGACTGTTTTGTCTACATTGAAAGTCTGGTTTTTAGTGTAGCCACCTTCACCAGTGATCTTAACTAGATCTTCTGATAACTTGGCTGCAGCTTCTACATTACCTCTTGCTATTTCACTGGGTACTTTTATGTTATAGAGATGACTTCTTTTATTAATATTCATGAACTAACCCTTACTAGCTTCCAATTTTTCCTCTGCAGCTTCTTTACCTCTCTCAGCCTTCACAGAATTGAAGAGAGTTGGATTCTTGCTCTAGATTAGGCTTTGGCTTAAGAAAATATGGCTGGTTTGATCTTCTATCCAGACACTCAAACTTCTCCATATCAGCAATAAAGTTGTTTTGCTTTCTTATCGTTCTGTGTTCACTGAAATAGCACTTTTAATTTCCTTCAAGGACTTTACCTTTGTATTCACAACTTGACTAACTGTTTGGCACAAGAGACCTAACTTTCACCTATCTCAGCTTTCGACATATCTTGCTCACTAAGCTTACTCATCTCTAGCTTTTGATTTACAGTGCAAGACCTGTGACTCTTCCTTTTGCTTGAACACTTAGAGTTTATGGTAGGGTTATTAATTGGCCTCATTCCAATCTTGTTATGTCTCAGGGAATAGGAAGGCCCAAGGGTTGATGGAGAAGTCAGAACACATACAACATTAATTAATTAAGTTTGCAACTTCATATGGACATGGTTTGTGGTGTCCCAAAACAATTACAATAGTAACACCAAATATCACTGATCATAGATCACCATAACAGATATAAGAATCATGAAAAAGTTTGAAACATTCCAAGAATTACCCAAATGTAACACAGACATAAAGTGAGCACATGCTGTTGGAAAAATGGTGCTGGTAGACTTGCCCATTGTGAGGTTGCCATAAACCTTTGAGTTGTAAAAATTACAGTATCTATGAGGTGCAATAAAGTGAAGTACAATAAAACATGATGTGCCTACATATGTAAGGATATTTGTGAGTGTGTAAGTACATATATATTTTATCAGTGATCATTAATCTTAATTATAGAAAAGCATACATCAGAATGTTATCTGGCATAGGAACACTTAACTTTTTTGTTTCCAAATTTTTATGCTTTTCTGTACTCTCAAATTCTACTTCTAAAACAAGACTGTGCTCATTCCATAATCAAAATTTTAAATTTTGTACTTATTTATTTTTTAAGGTCCTTGGATATTTCAGAAAAGATAATACTGAAGTAGAATTTTCAAAATTATAAGGTAGAGGTTGCAAGCTAGTGACCTGTGAGTTAGATTTAGACTACAGATCTGTTTTCGTTTCATTCATGGTGGGTTTTTGTAAGTTAATTTTGTTCCCAAAATTGAAATGTAGAAAAATTTTTTAATAAAAATCCAGATATCTGTCCTTTCTAGGAAAATGAGAATATCTCATCATGCTTGGCCTGAATGCCCACAGGGCAGCCATCGCTGCTGAGTAGCGGCTGGTCGTCCCTTTAAATGGGGCATGAGCTTGCCTGACCCAGCCTGCTTCCCTCATTCATGTTACCTGCCCTGACCCTCATAGGCTTTTGATTTTGCTAGTAATGCTTTGGAAATGTAAAGCATTATTAACACCACTGTATTCTACATAGAGAATGCCACTTCCTGGCCGCTGACTACCAAGCTCAGCTGTTTGGCAGCCTGGAGTGGAGCACATTCACTGCCATGAGGGCTTTGCGTGTAACAGGTGCGTGCTCCTCATCTCAAGACTTCCAAGCTGCTCTACCGTCTGTCTCTCTTCTCCAATGTCAGTGTTTGTTACATATCATCAACATACCCAATCCTAATCTGTGGCTAAGTCACTCCATCATGGCTGGATTCCATTACTCTTTGCTTCCATTTCTTAACAATGTTTCATTTTTTGTTTCTTAAGCTTCCAATTTCTTCTGAAGTGCTTTTTGATTTTTATGTAGACTGGCTTTTATAGAGCATCCCAGACGACTAAAGCATTTTTCCTTCATGTTAAACTGTCCAATTACACTTTATCTATTTAGTCATTCAACAAAGAGTAACAGTATAGTGTTAGGACATAGCAGTGGAAAGACAGACAAGACCCTGCTGTCTCCACCTCTGGTGCAGTTACATTTTATGGGAAAGGAAGACAGACAACGAAGAAGTGGACAAATTAAATAATTTCAGAGTGGTACACATGCTATGAAAATAAAACAGTATGATATAAACTAAAGACTATTTTATATTAAACGGACAAGGAAGGTCTCTCTGAGATCGTCCCCTCTAAGTTGATGACAAGAAACAGCAAGTCATTGGAAGACCCGGAACGAGAAGATTGCAAGATGAGAGAAGAGCCAGTATGAAGGCAGTAAACTGAGTGCTTGACGAAAAGCCAAAAAGAGAAACAGAAAGAGGTCGCTGTGGCTGAATCACCATGAAAGAGGAGGGGAGGAAGAAATGAGGCCAGTCAGCTGGGCAGGGCCAGTTCAAGAAGGTGGAGCCTTGCAGGTTACTGTCAAGATATTTAGATTTTCTTCTGAATGCAATGAGAAGCCATTGGAGAGTTTGCAGAGAGGCCATTTTGGAGGCTGTCGCGATTGCTCCAGTGAGAAATGATGATGGTTTGGACCAAGGTGGTATTAACGGGACTCTTAAGATTAATGGGATTCTGAATCTTTAGATTTTTATCAGGTATAGTCATTTTTTCCTGAGTCTTCAAATGCTATTTACTCACTACCAAAGAGATTTTTTTTTCTTAGCTATTAGTCTAGAAGTTGGGGAGTTATGAAAGGCTGCATTTTGAAGAGCTTATGTTTCACTGTACTTGAGGGAATAAATTACCACATTTCCTTGACTCTAAGATGCCATTTATTGAAGATGAGCCATTATTTTATGTACTATTAAGAAAAAATGTTACCAGTTAAACTACAATACAAGGTTTGCTTATTATACAAAAATTTTGTTTCACACTTATTGAAAGGGTCCTTTTAGCATTATTTAGACATAGGTTTATTTTTCACATTTCTGTTTTCACTTTTCTCCACATGCAATAAATTTTAATTGCAAAGCTAAAGCACACTGTAATCTTTTTGGAGACATTAGCAATGGCAATTAAAATCAGCATGTGTGATATCAATAATGCACATAACTCAACTGAAGTGGCTATGAAAATACGTAAATCTATTTCTGCATTCATGCACTGAAAGTCAATGATAGCCCATGCTAAGTGCCCCCCTGACCAACAAGGATTGGAAAACACTTTCATTTGTAAGACACATCCTGATCTTGAAGATGTTAAAATATAACTAAAATATGCATCTTATGATTGATGATGCAGTAGTAGTAGAAAATTTTCTTAATAAACAAAAATACAAATAAGGCTGGGATTGAGTCTCTTGACTTATTGCTGCTCCACTCTGCAATTTGTCTTTCCGATAATCATAAAACTTGCATCCACCACAAATTTCAAAAACACACCCACCCACAGACATAGTTACATCATCATATGCACATACTTGTACACATATATTCACATAATAATTTAAAGTTTTCTAAAAATGTGAGGATAGATTGAAAAAATAAATTTTCCAGCCGGGCACGGTGGCTCACGCCTGTAATCCCAGCACTTTGGGAGGCTGAGGCGGGTGGATTGCCTGAGGTCAGTAGTTTGAGACCAGCCTGGCCAACATAGTGAAACCTCATCTCTACTAAAAATACAAAAAAAAAAAAATAGCTGGGCATGGTGGTGGGCTAGCTGTAATCCCAGCTACTAGGGAGGCTGAGGCAGGAGAATCACTTGAACCCAGGAGGCAGAGGTTGCAGTGAGCTGAGATCGTCCCATTGCACTCCAGCTTGGGTTACAGAGCAAGACTTCAACTCAAAAAAAAAAAAAGAAAAAGAAAAAATAAATTTCCCTTCTTCCTCTCTTAGTGCAATAGCTAGTTGAGCCCCCACTTCAATGTTTCACTCCATCATTTATCTGCTCTGGTTCCCAGGGCAGTTTTCTCTCTGGGATTGAGAGGATTATGGTTAAAAAAATTTTTTTTATTAAGAAACAATTCTGTCATTAGGGGCCCAAGCAAGATTTTTGTTTGCTTGTTTTAAGGGAGCTTCCTCCAAAAAAAAGCTAGACATAATAAGAAAAAAGTTTTCCTTGATAGCTAAAGAGAAGTTTGCTGAAAAAAGAAGTCCCATCTACTGTCAGCACAAAGCTCTTCAATGTATATGGGAACATTGTTGTAGATTAAATTACATCCCTGAAAAAGATACTTTCAAATCCTGACCCCCGTGTCTGTGATCATGACCTATTTTGGAAATAGCGTCTTTGCAGATGTAATAAAGTTAAGATAAGGCCATGCTAGATTAAGGTGGATCTTGATTCAATGATTCCTGTCATTGAATTTGGCCACAGAACCAGGGAGAAGGCCATGTGACTACAGAGGCAGAGATAGGAGTGAGGCATCTACTAATCAAGGAGCACAAATGATGGTGGGCACCCACCAGAAGCCAGAAGAGTCAAGGGAGGATTTGCCCAAAGCCTTCAGAGGAAGCATGGCCCTGTTGAAACCTTGATTTTGGATTTCTAGCCTTCACAACCATGAGACAACAATTTTCTGTTGTTTTAAGCCATCTGAATTTGTGGTACTTTGTTAAGGCAGCCCTAGGAAATTAATACAGACTGTAAAGAAAGCTCTTTGCACCCAGGTGAGAAGCCCAGCTTGAGTTCTGGTAGCATGGACCACAGCCCTTCCCATGTGGTCCAGAGGAGTTGGCAGCCATTGAAGACAGTCAACCTAGAATAACAAAGCTACTACACACACTGGAGCACAAGACTTGCAGAGTGACAGGAGGCCGTTTTAATTACGTGATGGGTGACTTGCTACTCCTCTCCCTTCAGAACTGACCTGAAACAGCCTCTTCCCAAAGGCAACTTCATGAACGACCTAATCTAATTTATATTCCCCACTTTATGAATTACTGTCCATTTTCGCACCTGACTTTTTATTTAGGGAGTTCCAAATTGTAACTTTTTTTTTCTTTTTCCTCTTCTAGACTGAACTCCATGAGTGTCTAGTCCACTATAGATCTCTAACACATAGAAAAATGTCTGATAATTGCATGTACTTACAAGGTATTTCTTGAGTGAATGAAGGCACCCATCCTTTGGGAGGATCTATCTGAAAGAGACAAAAGGAAGGATCACTCTTTAGCCCTGTGTCTTGGCAAGTGAAGTTCTGTTAGTTCACAATATAAAGGAGCCTGGAGAATATGCTGATCAGGTCCTGACTGCTTGGACCATTCCTGAAGTCCCTGGAGTTCACACTAATCTGACCCAAATCCTTTAGAAAGACACATATAAAGTGGATCGTGTTTAGCAGTGAGTGCTAAGGGGAGATAGAATAATGCCATGGAATGCCACAAAAAAAGGAAAATCTTTTGAGAACTAAAACATTTGGTACTATAATAATTATCTTCAACTGTAAAAGGCATAAGTGTAGAGAATACAGTTGTTTTGATATTTTTTTCCTGTTTCCTCGGAGGGCAAAACAGATATCAATGAGTAGAAGTTATAAGAAAGCAAAATTGGAAGGAATTTTCAAGCAGCTAGTTGTATGTAGATAATAAAGTTTGTATCATTAGTGATATTTCAGTTGCAGCGAAATAATCTTTTATCAAGGAAAATATTTAAAAAATACAAATATCTAATGAGAGTGAGATGGAGACAGTAGTTGGATTAAATAGTTGCAGAAATCCATTCCAATCATGCAAATTTATGCTTCTATGAAAATGGATACATAAAGCTTAAGTATATTTAGGTTATTTTACTTAAAAGTATGAATAAAATCTGAGTGAGTTTTGTTTTGTTTTGTTTTGTTTTACTTTTATCACATTGTTTTGAAAGCATTGGGGTTTAGTATTAGTCGGCATCTTTTTTTTTTAGTACTTTTCTATTCCTCCACTTATAATATTTGATTACTTGCCTCTGCTAACACAATTTTAATAGAGTTCTTTTGCACTGTGCTGCTTTATTACCAAACATATTAAGAGATACTTACAAAGCACAAAGTTCTTCAGGTTCATTTTAGAGGACACATCCAGGTCAGGAAGTAATCCACTTAATAAATGAAGCCTCACTGTAGTTTAATGACTTACAAACGTGGCTTAGCAAGTCTTAAGTGGGGCAGGGATTACAATCTGTGTCTGCAGATCTGCTCCACAACACAAGCATTCTTTGCTTGGAGAGGAAGGAGTTTGGTTTCCTGATTTGCCAATTTCAGGAGCTTACCAAAATGATGAAGTCTCAGGGAAGAATGGCAGGAAATTTTGATTTATCCATTTAAAGAGAGCACATCTGGAGAATACAGAAAGTAAACCTGTCACTTGGCAAAATAAGGAAATCAAGATGTTCTGAGGAATGATGACATTTCATCTAATACAAACCAAAATTACAGAACAAAAATGACGAATGTCTTAATTATCTTGAAATGGAGAGCATAGTGAATTGTAGGAAAATAATAGATTGAAGATACATTCTTGTCTACATCCACATTATATTTCTTGGATGATGCGCCATTTATATAACCACACACTGGTTGCTGGAGACAGCATTGTAGAAATGGGTTTAATATTACTTGGAATTTTGACATCTAAGATTGGCTAAAAACACAAATCATCATTGAGCTTTCTCATGTCTCAATTTCCATTTAATTGGGAAGGGAGTTAAATCATCTTCACCAAACTATGCCTGTAATTGAATATATAAATAATTGTATGGTGTATGAGGTGCATAGTGCTTTATTAATGGGGAGAGAAAATGGGGGTAGGCAATGGAGGGTCATAGAAATAAAATTTGTAAAAAGCCATCCACAAAGTTTACACTTATTAAAAATTTGATTCATGAATCGTATCCTGGAGGGTTCTTTTTCTTTTCAAACAAAAGTTCCCCTGGCTATTTATGGATTTGGGTTATTTTTAAGTGCTGTCAATATAGAATCACATCCCTAACAGAGACAGCCCCTCAGTGCTGCCCTGAACAGCCACCAGGAAACAATTAATGACGCCGCTCTTACCCATCAGCTAACCCACGGCATCCATTATCTGATTAGTACATTTCAAACAAAATCAAACCTTGGTAATTCCGTCAAAATGATTTATCACATAGAAATGATGCTGAACCTACATGACGTATTTTCATTGTTCCACAGCAATGCAGGTCTGCAGCAGTTAGTACAGCTTTCTAGTAATGATCATGGTAGGCCCATGTCAGTGGTACACAAAAGGTTACTTTGCTGTCATCAATTCCTAAGTGAGTTTCTTAGCTACTTATGATTCTCATAGGGCCGCACAGTAAATCTTGGGGGTTGAAGCCATAGCTGATAAGACTGTTGAGTCATATTTGTGTTTATTTCAAAAGCAATTATAATGATTTATGCTTAGGAAGAAAATATAATAAAGGGAGACTCTCCCAGTTCTCGATCTCCTCACAACCATAAATTTTAATTGCCTGTTTTTTTATTCAAAATGCAATCAAAGAACCTACGTATTTTCTCAAAGCTGAGTGCACATATCAGAATCTAAAATAACATGTTAAAATATTTGCTGAGGCAGATCTTTGTTCTAAATACACAATTCAATAATGTGATTAGGTCAAGTTAATTAGCTAACCACCAGCTCAGAAACAAAACCTTTAGTTGTCAAGTAGATTCTTCTTATGTGAGTACTAAGCTATTGGAGTTATTTAAATTTTTGTTTAGAAATTCAAAATGGTTATTTTAAAGCTTCCACTTTGCTTGAGCCATTTATACTTAGTATAGCAGAAAAATATGTTTTTAAAAATATGATTGATTCATTTAGAGAATTATTATTGAGTGACAGATATTTTACAGGTATTTTTCTCCTTATAGTATTAACAATGAAAATGTAAACACCCTTGAGGTACTCACAATCTAAATACAACAGACTGGAGAAATTCTAGAATAGAGGTATGTCCATTGTCCCACAGGAGCGTAACATTATAAATGAAATAGAAAAGTGTTGAATATAGGCTGCAAATGGAAGGAATGAGCCCTAAGCCTCCATTTGGAGCCTTATATTTAAGGTACCTCTACATACACCCTATTCCAAGAACTCTTAGCGCTCATTGGTCTAACTCCTGGGTACTAGAAATTAGAAAAAAAGAAAAAACAAAAACATTGCATTACAATTCAAAAGCTGAGACTATTTCTCAGCTTAGTTTTGAAAACAGAAAGATGATATTTTGAGAAGGCAAAAAGCACTATAAATTTTGAAACAATAAGTGGAAGATTTTGGAACATTTATCTAGATAATTCGGAGGAGTTAATCTGGTTTTGAAAAAAGGTGGTTTTAGCTATTCAACAGTAAAAATACTTATTGTTCTTAGTCCTGTGGAAAATACAAACTTATGACATGGTTTTTCAGTGCAGAGAACGTATTATCTCACTGAATTCTGATGACAGCACAGAACACAATGGAAATTATGTATCACTCAATTCTCAACTGTTGACTAAACACTTCTAGCTCAAGATGTCTGGCTTTATCTCTTTTCTTTCAAAAAATCATATTACAATGATATAACAAATACTCAGCAATCCTGTCAAGCCGTGAAATGTGTCCTCAGCACAGGAGAACAGAAAGATGTTTCTGATGAGAGTGAACTGATGGAGAAAGGCAACAGTGCTGAATCATTAAGTAATGTTAAATGGAAAGGCCACGGGGGCCTAAAAGAGTAGTTTTCTTGTTGGCTGGGCCAATCTCTTTTCCAGAAGCTGACTCTCAGCAACTGGCCTTCAGCTAAGACCACATTTAGAGCCAATAAAATGGGAGCTCGAGAACAGAGAATCAGGATTGCGCCCCAGGGGACTTCGTGCAGCCATGAGGACATTGGGAAGAGAGAAGCAGGATTGGGCTCCAGGAGACTTAGTGCAGACATGAGGACATTGAAAATAGAGAAGCAGGATTGTGCCCCAGGGGACTTAGTGCACCCATAAGGACACTGAAAATAGAGAAGCAGGATTGTGCCTCAGGGGACTTAGTGCAGCCATGAGGACATAAAGGTCCTGCACTTAGAAAATACATAACAAGTATTCCCTAAAAGAAAGCTAACCTGGCCATGTTTTTGCTACATGCACACACATCTACACGCACATGCACACACACATGCACACATATAGACAAGGAGTGAAGTCTCTTGTTGAATCTGTGTTCACTTCCAGGAAAACATAAACTTTCCTTTGAACACTGAAATATTCTGCTGCCAACAGCAGTCCAAAATATCAACTCTAGGTAGAAAAGACTAATGAATATTCAGCAATCCTTTGAGCAAATGCAATGACATGAAAGAAAGCTAATAAAATTCATAAAAGAACTAATGCCCTAAAGCAACCAAGGAGCATTTGAAAATCAGCAAAACCAGTAACTTCTGAAAGATTCAAAAGGTTAATTCATCCATTAAGAATAAGGCTGCTAAGAGAAAGAAATTATTAAAATGATCAATAAGTGGGAAGAATAGAAAATGAAACACAGTTGAAAAATCAACCTTAGATATTGCCCCAAATAAATAGAAAAAAAACTAAATCATCATAAATATGAAAGAACAGTTAGAAGATGATGCATGAAGCATAGGTCTAAGAATTCAAATGTCCATCAACCGGGTGCTTCTATGAAGGGATTGGAAGGAAAGGGAGAGAGACAGGGGAGACGGAGAGGGAGAGGAAGATGGGATAGGGAGAGAGAGGGAGAGAGGGAGAGGGAGATGGAAGAAAGAAAGGAAAGAAAGAAGAGAGAGAAAGAGGGAGAGAAAGAAAGAAAGAGAGAGGGAGGGAGGGAGAGAGGGAAGGAGGGAGGGAGAGAGAGAGAAAGAAGGAAAGAAAGAAAGAAGAAAGAAAGAAAAAAGAAAGAAAGAAAAGAAAGAAAGAAAAAAGAAAAAAGAAAGAAAGAAGAAAAATAAGAACATATATATTAAAATGTCCTATTCTTCCAAAAATACCCTAGGTCTATAGTTTTAATGGCTCCAACTGCTGTGGTCAATTTTAGACCATCAAGTCAATTCTAAAATGTATATAGGAGAATAAAGGACAAGGAAAATAGAAAATGTTGAAGAAAAACAAAATAGGGGCTTCCCTTTTCAGATAGTAATCATAACAAGGTGGAGTAATTAAGACAATTGTGGTCTAGGACAAGGAAAAACAAACAGTGCTGTGGAACCTGGAAGAGAGCCCAGAAGGCATTTAGGAAAGCTTGATGGATAACTAAAGTGGTACAAATCATTGGGGAAGGAATGAACTAGTCAATAAATGGTGCTGGGGTTATCGATTAGCCATATGGGAATCTACCTCACTTTTTACAAAGATAAAAGCATTCCCACATGAATTAAAAACTTAAATGTAAAAATCAAAACTTTAAAGTAGTGAGTTCAGAAAATATTTGTAGTGAGGATATTAAAAAATAGAAAGTACATATGCTCTACGAGTGAGTGAAAATTGGTTCCACCTCTTTGAAGAGCAATCTGGCTGTATCCATTTAATATCTATTATTAATGATTTCAATGGAAAGTGTGCATATACCCAGCAATTCTATGACTAGATATTTAGCCTCAGAAACCTAAAACATACTCTCAAGAAGACATAACAGGGTTATTTAAACAGCAAAGTAATAAATAAAATGAAGCAAAGTTTAAAACTAAAACCTCAATCAAGAGGAGCATAAATAAATGATGGTAAATTTCAACCAAATTCATAAATTGTAGTTTAATGCCTCAAATACTATATAATAGGTGTAAAAACAAGCTGGAGCTACTTAAAGCAACAAAAATAAATCTCAAAAAAAACAAGCTGCAAAATTGTGTAATAGTATAATACCACTTCTTAAAGCACAAAAATACACAAAACTGGCCGGGTGCAGTGGCTCACACCTGTAATTCCAGCACTTTGGGAGGCCAAGGCAGATGGATCACGAGGTCAAGAGTTTGAGACCAGCCTGGCCAACATAGTGAAACCATGTCTCTACTAAAAATACAAAAATTAGCTGGGCGTGGTGGCGGGGCGCCTGTAATCCCAGCTACTTGGGAGGCTGAGGCAGGAGAATCGCTTGAAACTGGGAGGTGGAGGTTGCAGTGAGCTGAGATTGTGTCACTGCACTCCAGCCTGGGCGACAGTATGAGACTAAGTCTCGAAAAAAACAACAACAACAAAACAAAAACAAAAAAACACAAAACAATGTTGTGTGTGTGTGTGTGTGTGTGTGTGTGTGTTCAAAATACTTAAAACGGCGTGGGAAATAAAGCACAGCACTGCATGGCGACAGGGAGCGGGTAAGGCAGTAGGGCCAAGGAGAGGTACACAGAGGCTTCAACTGTGTCTAATTTTTTTTTCACATGTGTAAGAAATTGATATGGCAAAAATCTCAAGATATGATAAACCTGTTACATAATTACTCAAGTCTGTCTTTTATTTTTCTCAACATTTTTCTGTATGTTTAGAATGTTTCATAATAGCCAAATATTTCACAATTAACAAATACTAAGTACAATATGATTTTAAAATAAACAGTGAGCGAATACATCAGTAAAATTTGTAGTTAATTCCAAATAAGGGTTAATGCAAGATATTTTACAAATTATTTATAATCTGAAGAGTCTAAGTGCCTTTCCTAGAGACACACAGCTGATAAATGGCAGAGCCACAATTTAAACTGAACTTCTCACCAAGGACCTCTCTCCTTTGCTTCAAATACTAGAAGAAAATATAGGAGCTAATTTAGAATACTGGTTGCGGAGGCCATCTTAAATAAGATATAATTCCCCAAAATCATAAAATCAAGCAACATAAACACAATTACAAAATGCAAATAAATCATGGGAAAATACTTGCAACATATATTTTTAAAAGGATTAATATTTAAAATACCTAAGGAGCTTCAACTCAGAGAAAAAGATGACACAATGAGAAAGCAAAACATATGAAGAAGCAATTTACTTTTTAAAAATACCAAGAGACAAAAAAGAAGGAAATACTTCAAAATAAAAAATAATAAAAATAAATAACAAATAATAAAACAATATTAGAGTGGAAGATTTTGAACTGTCCCTCCATGCACTGCTGGCCAGAGTGCAGGGAAACGCTTTTGTATATCATGGTTGAGACTCCAAAACTGTAGGGTAATTTGGCAGGATCTTTCAAAACCATAAACGTGCAAATCTTATGTAGTTCTAAAACAGTTTTCCTACATAAACTCAAAACCGTATGTATAGCGTTGTTTGAAATAATGAAAAATTGGAAGTATGCAGACTACTCATAAATGGAAAATGGCTAAAGTGTAGAGTACCCACATTGTGGAATATAGTGCAGTTATACACAGTTGTATATATTCTCTCTATATAGTTACAATGACCTTTTGGTCAATGAGGAACCACATCTGCAATGGTGCTCTCATTAGATTATAATGGAGCTGAAAAATTCCTAACACCTAGTGACATTGTAGCCATCGAAACATTGTAGCACAAGGCATTAGTCATGTGTTTGTGATAATGCTGGTGTAAATAAACCTACTACACTGTCAATCATATAAAACTATAGCAGTATAGTTATGTACACTATATAGTGCTTGATAATAATATCTGACTGTGTCACTGGTTTATGTATTTACTATACTACTCTTTTTATTGCTATTTTAGCGTGTATTTTACTCCTACTTACTTACAGTTAACTGTAGCGGAGCCTTAGGCTGACCTTTCAGGAGGTACCCAGAGGAAGGCACTGTTATCACAGGAGATGACAGCTCCATGGGTGTTACCATCCCTGAAGACCTTCTGGTGGGACAACATGTGGTGGTAGATGACAGTGACATTGATGATCCTGACCCTGTGTAGGCGTAGACCTGCACACATTAGTGTGTGTTTATGTTTTAGTTTTTAGAGAAAAAAAAATTAAGGTTAAAAAATTTAAAAAGCTTATAGAATAAGATTGTGAAGAAAAAAGTATTTTGGTCAGTTGTACAATTAGTTCTTTTTTTTTTTTTTTTTTTTTTCGAGATGGAGTCTCGCTCTGTCGCCCAGGCTGGAGTGCAGTGGCGCGATCTCGGCTCACTGCAACCTCCGCTTCCCGGGTTCACGCCATTCTTTTGCCTCAGCCTCCCCAGCAGCTGGGACTACAGGCACCAGCAACCATGCCCGGCTAATTTTTTTGTACTTTTAGTAGAGACGGGGTTTCACCGTGTTAGCCAGAATGGTCTCGATCTCCTGACCTCGTGATCTGCCCGCCTCGGCCTCCCAAAGTGCTGGGATTACAGGCTTGAGCCACCGCACCTGGCCAATACGTTCATGTTTTAAGCTAAGTGTTATTGTAAGGGAGTCAAAAAGTTAAAAAATAATTTAAAAGTTTATAAAGTAAAAAGTTATAGTAAGGTAAGGTTAATTTACTATTAAAGAAAAAAATAAGTTTTATAAATTTAGTGTAGCCTAGGTGTACAGTGTTTATATAGTCTACACAGTGTACAGGAATGTCCAAGTCCTTCACATCCACTCACCACTCACTCACTGACTCACCCAGAACAACTTCCAATCCTGCAGGCTCCATTCATGGTAAGTGCCATACACAGATGTGTTATTTTTAATTTTTTATACTACATATTTATGGTACCTTTTCTGTCTTTAAATATGTTTAAGTACATAAATATTTACCATTGTGTTACAATTGCCTGCAGTATTCAACACAGCAGCATGCCATACAGGTTTATATAGCATTTAGCCTAGGCTACACAATCTAGGCTTGTGTAAATACACTCTGTGATGTTCACACAATGACAAAATGTCCTAACAATGAATTGTTAGTGTATGTTCTCAGAACATATCCCTGTGTTAAGTGACACATGACTGCATATCACTTTATATTTTAAAACGATGTATTATATCCAAAAATAATGAGCTATGTTCACTTGTACTGCCATGGAAAGGTCACCAAGAAAAAAGAAAGTTAACTAAAAAAGCATATCAAATAACAATTTATTTAGGATAATTCTATTAACTTTAAAAAGATTAAATTATGTTATACGTAACATAATTATAAAATATAATCATGATGACATACACATTACAATATAATTCACACACACATATGCACACACACATATATACTTAAAAGTTATTTTAAGAAACAGTACTATCAGAAGGGTGATTAGGGGGGTGAAGGGGAAAATAATAAAAGGACTTCAACATTTTACTGCATGTGCTTCTGTACTACGTGAATGTTTTTTATAATGTATGATTTTGAATGACTTTGTAATAAAAAATTATGAAATGTCCAAAAAATAAATTTCATGCTATGATTATTGATAATAAACAAATGCATGCTTAGCATTTCATTTGGCTTTGCCTTTATAGACATAGTGTTAGTAAAAGAAGTATGTGGGAGAATATTAATGAAGCAGTGAGATTTAGTTTGGTTTGATCGTGTGGCTCGTTATAGAATCCACTTTTTATTTTAATTTCCTTGGATATAATTATGTGGGCAAATACATGCTTTTTATGGCAATGTTGATAATCTGTAAACATTATTAAACACTTACACTATACCCTTTAAAGGCGTTACATAAATTATGTCAGCTATTCCTTACGAAAACCTCTTGCAATAGGTACTAATTTTATCCCCATTTTATAGACAAAAACACTAAATTTGGAAAGATCAGGTGCCCTTGGAATTTGAACCCAGGCAGTCAGGCTCTAGGACTTGTTTTTGTAACTGACTACACTCTGTAGCTCCTCAGACTCGAAGTCACATCTTCGTCTTTTTGTCTCTTCTGTACCATGTGTGCTGCCTTTGGAGCAGCTGGATATATTCAAGATTAAATCAGTGTGTTATCAAATCACTTAAATCCTCAAGTTTAAGAGACTCTAACAAAATTCAGAATCAGCTGGCCATACATGATATTACTAATTTACTTGCTGTACCAATAATAATTATTATTTGAATAGGCTGCATGTTACTGAGTTAAGACATGCTGTCAATAGTTATTGTGGTATTCTTTTATTTTATTGACTATTCTGGCAGCCATACTTCACTTAGAGTGACAGTAAGTACTACCTGGCTTGTCTCTTTTGCTACAGTGCATCAATATTGATCCTTTTCCTAGCTCAACATTCTTAACGTGACTGAATATTTACTGCTAGTCTTGACTGAAAGTACGATAAATGATAACATATATCAAATTCTAAAAAGTCACAAATTCTAGAAAAGACAAAAGTGTATTTGATTTAAAAGCTTTTATTTTGAGGGTTTACCTCAATTGGCTTGTGATCTGAGTGTCAGTATCCTTTCTCTTCCATTGTTACTTTCTTCTAGCTTAAGTTGGGAAAGAGGAGGTTTGTCTAGTACTTGTTCCTGAACCATCTTCCTGACAGCTAGCTGCCCATCCTTAGCAGATGTTTCTCCCCACCTGTTTCAGCTTGCCGGGGCCACAGTTCATTCACTGATGGGTGTATCTTGAAGTTCTGAGCTATAATAGGATCTTCACGGATATCAGGAGAGAGGTAAATATGAGGTGCAAAGGAAAACATTTTTAACAGTGCATGTGATCTGATTTTTATTTTTAGTAGTCCAAGAGATAAGCATCAAAAAGATGGCCTTTAACATTCAGTCTTTTGAGTATCTTGCCGCCTTGTTTTCCTGTCCTCAGGTCACCAGCATTGGAAAGAATGGCAGATAACATGTATTCTAAACCATTGTGAGGAAACTCACCCTCTACCCCAAAGTTAGTGTTGTTTTAAAATTTGCTCATATCAGCAGATAACACATGAAAGAGAGTTGTACTCAATAACACATTTCCCAGCATCATGATTATTTAGTTCAGACAAACCTCTGGGCTGGGAAAAGGAAGTTCTAGGTAGTCCAGAGGGCTTTGGTACATTCTGGTATCAAGTGAGGAATCAAGATTTTTGCTGATCTT
This sequence comes from Homo sapiens, assembly GCF_000001405.40. Lineage (NCBI taxonomy): Eukaryota > Metazoa > Chordata > Mammalia > Primates > Hominidae > Homo > Homo sapiens. Next base: position 89,350,536 of record NC_000004.12, on the reverse strand, counting down.
CCAGGAGTACCTGTTGAATTGGACTTACACATCTCTTCCAAAGATAAGCATTTATTCTTATAGAGAGTAGAGTCTAGACCCATATTTTAAAAGAAAAACAATACCCTAAATGCAACATAAGCTGCACGGGCCCAACACACAATAGAAGTCAGGCTTTGCACTATTCAAAAGAACAATATCGGGGGTCTTCCAGTTCCAAAATAGTGTTTTAAATGTAAGCTGGCTTTAGTCCCACTAAAGAAAACCAAAAACAAATATATAGCACCATGATTATCACCAGCAATATCCCAGAACTCGAATATGAGAATGAGTCAGTTCCTGGGGCCACAGAGAAGTTAAAAAATTCTGAGCAGATGGTAAGAGAATCAGATTTTTTGGAAGAACATTCCATGCTCATGGATAGGAAGAATCAATATCGTGAAAATGGCCATACAGCCCAAGGTAATTTATAGATTCAATGCCATCCCCATCAAGCTACCAATGACTTTCTTCACAGTTATTGGAAAAAACTACTTTAAAGTTCATATGGAACCAAAAAAGAGCCTGCACTGCCAAGACAATCCTAAGCCAAAAGAACAAAGCTGGAGGCATCATGCTACCTGACTTCAAACTATACTATAAGGCTACAGTAACCAAAACAGCATGGTACTGGTACCAAAACAGAGATATAGACCAATGGAGCAGAACAGAGCCATCAGAAATCATACCACACATTTACAACCATCTGATCTTTGACAAACCTGACAAAAACAAGAAATGGAGAAAGGGTTCCCTATTTAATAAATGGTGCTGGGAAACTGGCTAGCCATATATAGAAAGCTGAAACTCGATCCCTCCATTACACCTTATACAAAAATTAATTCAAGATGGATTAAAGACTTACATGTTAGACCTAAAACCACAAAAACCCTAGAAGAAAACCTAGGCAATAACATTCAGGACATAGGCATGGGCAAGGATTTCATGTCTAAAACACCAAAAGCAATGGCAACAAAAGCCAAAATTGACAAATGGGATCTAATTAAACTAAAGAGCTTCTGCACAGCAAAAGAAGCTATCATCAGAGTGAACAGGCAACCTACAGAATGGCAGAAAATTTTTTCAATCTACCCATCTGACAAAAGGCTAATATCCAGAATCTACAAAGAACTTAAACAAATTTACAAGAAAAAATCAAACAACCCCATCAAAAAGTGGGCAAAGGCTATAAACAGACACTTCTCCAAAGAAGACATTTATGCAGCCAACAGACACATGAAAAAATGCTCATCATCACTGGCCATCAGAGAAATGCAAATCAAAACCACAATGAGATATCATCTCACACCAGTTAGAGTGGCGATCATTAAAAAGTCAGGAAACAACAGGTGCTGGAGAGGATGTGGAGAAATAGGAACACTTTTACACTGTTCGTGGGATTATAAACTAGTTCAACCATTGTGGAAGACAGTGTGGCGATTCCTCAAGGATCTAGAACTAGAAATACCATTTGATCCAGCCATCCCATTACTGGGTATATACCCAAAGGATTATAAATCATGCTGCTATAAAGACACATGCACACGTATGTTTATTGCAGCACTATTCACAATAGCAAAGACTTGGAACCAACCCAAATGTCCACCAATGATAGACTGGATTAAGAAAATGTGGCACATATACACCATGGAATACTATGCAGCCATAAAAAATGATGAGTTCATGTCCTTTGTAGGGACATGGATGAAGCTGGAAACCATCATTGTGAGCAAACTATTTCAAGGAGAGAAAACCAAACACCACGTGTTCTCACTCATAGGTGGGAATTGAACAATGAGAACACTTGGACACAGGAAGGGGAACATCACACACTGGGGCCTGTTGTGGGTTGTGGGGAGGGGGGAGGGATAGCATTAGGAGATATACCTAATGTAAATGATGAGTTAATGGGTGCAGCACACAAACATGGCAGATGTATACATATGTAACCAACCTGCACATTGTGCACATGTACCCTAAAACTTAAAGTATAATAATAAAAAAAAGAGAATCAGATTGTTTTATATGCATGAAGTCCCTCCCCTAAATCTTCCCAGCACCAAGTGCATAGAAAATTTCCCTTAACTCATGGTTTCTAAACTGGAAAAAGTGAGGTCAAGGTGGAAAACTACCTTCCACACAATCCTGGATTCTTTGACAGGAGACCTGCCCGTGCCTCAAACCATTGGAGGCATCATGAGTTCCTGAAGGAAGACATATCCCTGAGGACAGCCAGAGACAAAGGTGAGAGGTAGGACTACCATTTCCAGCCTTGGAAACTGCTCTGTGACTCAACTAAAGGAGATGCCAAATTAGAGTGACTGTTCAGCAGTATCATGCTGTAGGAAGTATGTTTCACAGTTCTCCTGGGCACGAACTCCTAGACAGCCTTTTCACACTACTGGGATATCCTCTTTTGGACCTCCGCATTCAGGATGCAGAATAGGACTCCTATCATTTACTAGAGCCAAAGCAAACCTGGACTTAAGGCACCATTAGTACTGAAATGGAGGCCATGACCTAGGAGAGAAAAAAAAGAAATTCAGCAGGTAAATTCTAAATAATTCTTAAGCAAACATATCCAATAAAAACCAAACCAAGCCAGACAGGAAGACTGGAATAAATAAATAATCCTTCAGTGCAAAGACATAGATGTACATCTACAAGAAACGATAGCAAAGAGGAAATCATGACCTCCCCAAATAAACAAAGCAATAAACCAGTGACTAACACTAACAAGATAGTGATATATGAGCTCCCTGACACAAGAATTCAAAACAGCAGTTTTAAGAAGACTCAGTGATTTCCAAGATAACACAGAAGAGAAATTTGGAAATTATCATAAAAATTTAACAGAAAGATTAAAATAATTTTAAAAATCAAACTGAAATCCTGGAACTGAGAAATATATTTGCTAAACAGAAAAATTCATTAGAGGCTCTCAACAGCAGACTAGATCTAGAAGAGGAAAGAATCAGTGAATTCGAAGACAAGCTATTTGAAAATACAAAGAAGAAAAAAAGAATAAAAATAAAAGAAGATTGCCTACACAATACAGAAAATTACCTAAAAAAAAATCTAAAAAATATTGGCATTCAAGAGGGAGCCAAGCAACAGCAAGAGATAGAAAGCTTATTTAAAGAAATAATAACTGACAACTTTCCAAAACTCGAGAAAGATACAAATATCTAGGTACAAGAAAGTCAGAGAACACCAAACAGATTTGACCCCAACAAGACTATCCCAAGGCAGACAATGTTTAAACTTTGAGAGTTTAATCATCAAATTCTCAAAGGTCAAGGACAAAGAGAGGGAGGATCCTAAAGGCAGCAAGAGAAAAGAAGCTAATAACATACAAAAGAACTTCAATTCATCTGGCAACAGAGTGCTCAACAGAAATCACATAGGCCAGGAGGGAGTAGAACAACACTTTCAAAATGTTGAAACAAAAACAAAACGGCCATGCAAGAATATCTTATCCAGACAAGCTATCTTTAAAATATAAAGGAGGTATAAAGTCTTTTCTACATAAACAAAAGTTGACAGAACTCATAGAACCAGCCCCATCTTATAAGAAATGCTAAAGGAAGTTCTTCAATCAGAAAGGAAAAAAATCCCTAATATGTAAAAAGAAAACATTTGAAGGTATAAAACCCACTGGAAAACAACATAGACAACCCCAGAATACTCCCATACTGTAATTATGGTGTGAAATCCACTTACAACTCTAGTAAGAAGCCTGTAAGACAAATCTATCAAAAACATTAACTACTGCAACCTATTAAGAAATAGGCAGTAGGCCGGGCGCGGTGGCTCACGCCTGTAATCCCAGCACTTTGGGAGGCCGAGGCGGGCGGATCACGAGGTCAGGAGATCGAGACCATCCCGGCTAAAACGGTGAAACCCCGTCTCTACTAAAAATACAAAAAAAAAAAATTAGCCGGGCGTAGCGGCGGGCGCCTGTAGTCCCAGCTACTTGGGAGGCTGAGGCAGGAGAATGGCGTGAACCCGGGAGGCGGAGCTTGCAGTGAGCCGAGATCCCGCCACTGCACTCCAGCCTGGGCGACAGAGCGAGACTCTGTCTCAAAAAAAAAAAAAAAAAAAAAGAAATAGGCAGTATAAAAATATATAAATTGAGACTGGACACTGTAGCTCATGCCTGTAATTCCAGGACTTTGGGAGGTCAAAGCAGGGGGATTGCTTGAGGCCAGAAGGCCAAGACCTGCCTGGACAACACAGCAAGACCCCATCTCTACAAAACATTAAAACATTAGCCAGATGTGGTGGAACGCACCCACTATAGTGCTAGTGACTCAGGAGACTGAGGTGGGAGAAACACTTGAGCCTTGGAGTTAGAGGCTTCAGTGAGCCATAATCACACCACTGCACTCCAGCCTGGATGACAGAGTGAGACCCTGTCTCAAAAAAAAATGTAAATTGAGATGACAAAAAGTCAAATGGACTGGAGAAGGACTGGGGTGCAGCTAAAGAATAAACTTTGTTGTTGCTTTTTTTTGTATCTTTTTTGTGATCTAAGATAAGCTGTTGTATTAGGCCATTTTTGTGTTGTTATAAATAAATATCTGAGGCCAGGCAATTTATATAGAGAAGAAGTTTAATTGGCTCACAGTTCCACAGACTGTACAGGAAGCACAGTGCTGGCATTTGCTAAGCTTTTGATGAGGGCCTCAGGAAGCCTATCGTCATGGCAGAAGGTGAAGGGGGAGCAGGCATGTCACATGGTGAGAGTAGGAGCAAGAGAAAGAGGGGAGAGGTGCTACATACTTTTAAACAATCAGATCTCACATGAACTCAGAGTAACTCACTCATCACCAAGGGGATGACACTAAGCCATTCATGAGGGATCTGTCCCCATGATCTAGACATCTCCCACCAGGCCTTACCTTCAACACTGGGGATTATATTTCAACATGAGATTTGGAGAGGACAAATATGCAAAACACATCAATTGTCATCTCTTTAAAATAACTTGTTATATCTATGAGATGGTTTCTGTAAGCCACATAGTATTCGCAATGCAAAATTCTATAATAGATACTAAAAATACAAACTAAATAAATTAAAACATACTTAGAAAGAAAATCACTTAACCACAAAAGATTTCAGTATGAAAGAAATGAAGTAAAAGACTCGAGTTACAAAACAACCAGAAAATGAGGAATAAAATAGCAGTAGTAAGTTTTTCTTATCAAAGATAAGTATTGCTTATCGACAGTAACACTGAATATAAATAGAATGAATTCTCCAATTAAAATACATAAAGTGGATGAATGGATTAAGAAAAAAAACCCCAACTATATGGTGCCTACAAGAAACTCACCTCACCTACAAAGACACATGTAACTAAAAGTGAAAGTATGGAAAAAGACATTCCATGCAAGTGGAAACCAAAAAAGAGCAGAAGTAGCTATATTTATATCTGGTAAAATAGACTACAAGTCAAGGGCTAGAAAAAGAGGCAAAGAAAGTAACTACATAATGATAAAAAGATCAATTTAGCAAGAGGATATAACAATTATAAATATGTACGCATCCAACATCAGAGCTCCTAAGTATATAACGCAAACATTAATAGATCTAAAGGGAGAGAAAGACTGCAATACAATATTAGTAAGGGATTTCAACACCTCACTCTCAGTGAGAGACAGATCATCCATACAGAACATCAACAAAGAAACACTGGAGTTAAACTCCATACCAGACCAAAAAGACCTAACTGACCTTTACAGAACATCTTACCCAACTGCTGCAGAGTACACATTCTTTTCATCAGCACATGGAACATTCTCTAGATTAGACAACATTTTAGGCCACAACGTAACTCTGAAAAAATTCAGAAAAGTAGAAATTATATAAAGTATCTTTTCTGACCACATTGGAATAAAAGTAGAAATCAACAACAAGAGGGACCTTAGAAACTACACAAGTGCATGGAAATTCAACAACATGCTTCTGAATGACGAATGAATCAATGAAGACATTAAGAATGAAATGTAAAAAGCCTTTAAACAAATTAAAATGGAAATAAAACATACCAAAATCTATGGGATACAGCAAAAGTGTTATGGGGAGAGTAGTTTATAGCAATAAACACCTACATGAAGAAAGTTGAAATAACTTAAATAAACAACCTAATGATATACCTCAAGGAAATAGAAAAGCAAGCACAAACCAAACCCGAAATTAGGAGAAGGCAAGAAATGATAAATACCAGAACAGAAATAAAAGAAATTGAGACTAAGTAAACAATACAAATCAACAAAGCAAAAAGTTGGTTTTTTGAAAAGATTAAATTGACAAACCTTTAGCTAGACTAAGAAAAAAGGAAAACACCCAAATAAATAAAATCAGAAATGAAAAAGGAGGCGTAAAATCTGAGACCACAGAAATACATAGAACTAATTTCTATTATGAAGAAATATATGCCAACAAATTGGAAAACCTGGAAGAAATGGATAAATTTCTGGACACATACAACCTACCAAGATCAAACCATGAAGAAATTTAAAAACCTTAACAAATCTATAACAAGTAACAAGACTGAAGCTGTAATAAAAACTCTCTCAGCAAAGAAAAGCCCTGGATGTGATGGCTTCACTATTGAATTCTACCAAACACTTAAGAGTTAATAGAAATTCTATTCAAACTCTTCAAAAAAAATTGAGGAGAGAATACTTCCAAATTCATTATATGTGGCCAGCATTACCCTAATACCAAAATCAGACAAAAACACAACGCAAAAGAAAACTACAGGCCAATATCACTGATGAACATAGATGCAAAAATCCTCAACAAAATACTAGCAAACCGATTCAAGAATACATTAAAAAGATCATTCATTATGATCAAGTGGGATTCATCCCAGAGATGCAAGGATGTTTCAACATATGCAAATCAGTAAATGGGATACATCATGTTAACAGAAACAAGAACAAACCTTTATGGTTGTTTCAATAGATGCTGGAAAAACATTTGATGAAATTCAACAACACTTTATGATAAAAACCCTCAACAAACTGGGCATAGAAAAAACATACTGCAAAATAATTAAAGCCACATATGACAAATCCACAGCCAACATAATACTGACAGGGAAAAATTGAAAGTATTTTCTCTAAGATCTGTACAAGACAAGGATGCCCACTTTCACCACTTTTATTCAACATAATACTGGAAGTCCCAGTCAGAGCAATTAGGCAAGAGAAAGAAATAAAGGACATCCAAGCTGGAAAAGAAGTCAAATTAGTCTTGTACACAGACGACATGATCTTATATTTAGAAATATGTGCAGACTCCACAGGAAAACTGTCAGAACTGAAAAATTCAGCAAAGGTACAGGATATAAAATCAACAAAACAAAAATCAGTAGCATTTATATAAACCAATAGCAAACAATCTAAAAATGAAATCAAGAAAGCAATCCAATTACAATAGCTACAAAGAATATAAAATACTTGAAATCAACTTAACCAAAGATGTGAAAGATCTATACAAGAAATACTATAAAACACTGTTGAAAGAAATTGAAGAAGACACAAACAAATGAAAGATATTCCATGCTCATGGAATTGAAAATTAATATTGTTAAAATGACAATACTACCCAAAGTAATTTACCAATTCAATACAATTTCTATCAAAATACCAATGACATTCTTCACAGCAATAGAAACATTAATCCTAAAATTTATATGTCGCAAAAACTACCCTGCCTAGCCATAGCAATTCTGAGAAAAAAGAACAAAGCTGGAAGCTTTGCACTACCTCACTTCAAAATATACTACAAAGCTATAGTAACCAAATCATCATGATACTCACCTAAAAACAGACACATAGACCGATGGAACAGAATAGAAGATAAAGGAAATAATCAACAAAACGAAGAGACAACCCACAGAATGGGGGAGAAATTGGCAAACTAGCCATCTGAAAAGGGATTCATAAATACTCAGAATCTATAAGGAGCTCAAAAAACTCAATAGTAAAAAAAAAATTCAATTATCACATGTACCCCCAAAAATATGTACATCTAATAAGTGTCAATATAAATAAAGTAAATAGAAATTAAAACAAAGAGAAACAAACACTGTATGATCTCACTTATATATGGAATCTAAAATAGTTGACCTTATAGAAGTGGAGAGTGGAATCGTGGTTACTAGTGGCTGGGAGAAAGCTGGGGAAGATGTTGGTCAAAGGATTCAAAATTTCAGTTAGACAAAAGGAGTAAGTTCAAGAAATCTATTGTACAACATGGTAACTATAGTTAATCAATGTATTGTATTCTTGAAAATTGCTGAGATCAATTTTAAGTGTTCTTACAACAACAACAAAAAAGATAACTGAATGTGGTAATGTGTATGTTAATTAGCTCGATTTAGCTATTACACAATGTATACATATTTCAAAACATCATGTTGTACATGATAAATACATATCATTTTTATTTGTCAATTAAAAATAAAAAAATAAATTAATTCGGCTAGGTATGGCTCATGCCTGTAATCCCAGCCAGCGCTTTGGGATGCCAAGATTGGCAGATCACTTGAGGCCAGGAGTTTGAGACCAGCCTAAACAACATGACGAAACCCCATCTCTACAAAAAATACAAAATTAACCAAGTGTGGTGACATGCACCTGTAATCCCAGCTACTCGGGAGACTGAGGCACAAGAATCACCTGAACTCAGGGGGCAGAGATTTCAGTAAGCCAAGATTGCATCACTGCACTCTAGCCTGGGTGACAGAGGGAGACTCGGTCTCAAACAAAATTAAAACTAAAATTAATTAATTAACATAACAATGTTTGTTCTGTCCTCCCCTCTTCTCAGCTTTTGAGTTGTTTATTAAAAGGGCACAAGTGCAAAATCATCCAGCCACTGGTACCTAGAGAAAAAGCACTGACAGTTCCCATTTTTCTATACCTCATCCCATTCCCATTTGCATATTACTCTCTGTAACAGAATGAAAAATAGATATTTATAAGTGTTCTGTACAACCCTGAGGAAGGCAAGGAGAGTGGTCCTTTCTTCTACCTAGAGGAATAAAAGATGGCTTGATCATGTCTTCCTAGTGTATAAAGGATGTGTGCTTTGGTTTGTTTAAATGATTGGCATTTTAAAAATCTATCCTTCTATATGTTGATAAAAATGTTTAATGAATTTTAATCTTTATTTCAAATTTTGTATTAATTCCTCAGATTTGCAGATGAGATAGAATTAAATTTTCAAAATGTCATTTTATGTATCTTTTATATACATAAATATATATCGTTTTATATACATAAATACCTCTCTATGGAATTGAAGTTCAGTTATGAGTTTTGTTCAAGCAATTTTTTCTAACATTAATGTTAAACTCATAGATATTGTCAACGAATAAAGAAGAACAATGACCTAATAACTGAATGGCATTTTTATCCCCTAATTGCTGTAATCTACTCTTCCTCTGAGTTCATCTACTTTCTTAACTTCTAAAACTATTGCTATGCAGATAATTTTCTGTTGGAAATAATATAGGTATATATATTCCCTTTTTTTTTTTCTTGAGACAGGGTCTTACTCTGTCACCCAGGCTGGATCTCCCAGGCTCCTTCCACCTCAGAATTTTGAGTAGCTGGGACTACAGGCACATGCCATCATGCCCAGCTAATATTTTTAGATTATTTGTAGAGATGGAGTCTTGCTATGTTGCCTAGGTTGGTCTCGAACTCCTGGGCTCAAGTGATCCTCCTGCCTCAGCCTCCCAGTGTGCTGGGATTACAGGTATGAGCCACCGCATCCTGCCTCAATTTATAATGCATGATATTTTGGAGATAATTAGAAATGTGTATTTCAGAGCAACTTATTTGCATATCTAAGAAGAGTTGAGGTTTCTAAGCAAAAACTATTATTTACAAATAAACATTTGAGGAAGATAAATCAGGCTAGAAGACAAGCTCTCCATAACTTGAAGATTCTCATGTTCTAGCTACCAAGAAGGAATATGAGTAAGCTCCATGAGTAGGAGTCATTGTTGTGTTTACTCATGTATTCTAACCGCCTAGGAGAGGGCCTGGCACAGAATTGGTTAGCAATAAATACTTGTTGAACTAATGATTTAATTGATTAATTAATTTAAGGTCCATATCTTTTCTTTATATGTAGGGAATTACATTGACACTATTTGCCATTTAGCTTCCATATTAAAGTGTAAGGTCTCATTTGCCGAATTACACATTATATTATCTAGGTCTTTGTCCTTCTTCCCTCATACGTAATTACGGGCAGATATTACAAGACTGGAGGTAAGATCGTTGGGTAGAAAAGGGAGCAATTATAAAATTAGGAGAACTGAAGGCATTATGGTTTGAGGGTTGATTTGGGTACCATAAGAATCCTTTAATGTCTTGAACTTTTGGTATTTTTAACTCAACATTCACTAAGTAATTATAGAAACTTACTGTGTGCCAAGCACCACTTTAGGCACTAAAAGCATAGCAATGATTAACATATATGAAGATTCTTCTTTCATTCATTTGCAGCTGGGAAGCAGGGAGACAGGTCAGTTTTCTTTAAAAAGGATAGAAAGAAAAAGTGATTAATTGATTGATTAGTTGATTTCAGAAGTGATAAATGCCAGAAAGTAAATTTTAAATAGTCTGATGTACTGGAGAATGACAAGTGGAGCACACACATGTATATGTACACGCACACACAAGAAAGGGAAGTCAGGGGCTTCTTGAGGTAAAGCAGCATCTGAGATCTGAATGATGATGATGCCAGCAGTAGGAAGACATGGAAAATGTTTTCCATGCAGAGAGTGAGTAACCTCAAAGGCTCCCGGACAGAAACAATCCTGGCAGGTTAAAGGATCTGATCCTATGCCAGCATAATCAGAGGATATCAGGCCAGAAAAGATGAAGTAGTAGAGAATGAGATCAGAAATGAAGGGCATGTAGCCATGGAAATATTGTATTCCCAGTTCATTGGGAAGCCACTGAATATTTTAAAATTGGAAAGTAACACAGTCTGACATTTTTAAGAAGATCATATTAGTTATTTGTTTTGTTTTCCTGTTGGTGGTGTATCCTCTGCCTAGAAAATATCTTCAGCTCTAGAGACTTAAAGAGATGAGCCCAAGCCAAGAGAAAAGAAGAGCTGAGAAAAGACACTTGGGAGAGTTCCTTACTAGTTGAGAATTCCTAAGAATCATCAACAGGGCTTGTTTAAAATACAGATTCCTAGAACCTACTTCTAGGAGATTCTGATTCAGGGAGTCTCAAGCAAAACCAGGAATTTGCATTTTAATTAACAATTACCCCAGGTAATTCAGATGTAACTGGCTGACAGATCACTTTGGTTCAGGAATTAATATTAGTTGAAAAGAAAAGATTTAAGAGTCTTTTAGGTCGACCAACCCAGTTCAACGTTAGAAGAAAATAGCAAGAATTTTGGGAAGGTGCTTTGTCTGGAAAACAGCTATACCCCTGACTAGAACTGGATCTCTGATGGAAGTAAGTTTTTACATCTTCCTTCAAGAAAGAGAGAAATAAAGAAAGAAAGAGAGAGAACAGGAGGGATACACACTTGGTGTGAATAAGGTCCAACCTTACCTGATGTTTTAACAGGACATCAAAATAAAACGACATCCAACACATTTTATTAAATGACTTCATTTCCTAATCTGCCCCACATAGCCCATACTTCAATCCTTGACCCAATTCCCTTCAAATTGTGCTTACATTTGCACTGCTCATTAAACTCTTGCTTTTTCTCCCTGAATCACAGCTAGTCTCATCTCTCGTGGTTACAAATCTTTGATTCCGGCTCTTGCATCTCTCTTTCAGCTGCACACAAAAAAAGCTACTGTGGATAATGAGCACCCTGACTCTTTCCAGTTTTCATACTGGCTCTTCTGACTCTTTTATACTTGAGGGGAGATAAAATGATAATAATAAGCCATTTTACACATGTGGTTGGGGATCACTTCCCTTTAAAACTGTACCCATTTCATTCTGCAACCTTGGTGGCAGAAATTGAAACTTGTCTCTTGACTCCCAAGAAAATAGATAGGGCTGGGCATGAGGCTCATTGTAGAATTCCATGTACTCACAATATGTGGTTTAAAAGAATGCTGTCCTGAGCACATTGCTTCAAGAGGGGATTATGAAATATTTTTCTACCCAAGGTATGAAGATGTTATGCTTTAACTTTCACATTTAAATCTATAATTCATCCAAAATTGATTTGGGGTGTGGTGTGAGATAGAGATCAGCTAAATAGCCAATTAGCCCAGCACCACTTATTGAATAAAAAGTATTCTTCTGCCTATTGTACTTCTATCATTATCATATCATATCATAGTCACTATCATCGTTATCATCATCTTCATTATTTGTTTATTAAACCTATCTTCTCCACTAAACCAAGACAGCTTTGAATAAGACCGTGTTTTGTTTACCAGTTTTCCTTTGTACATAACACAACTGCCAGTTAAAAGTCTATGATCAATGAGATGTTTATTTGATAACTATGTCATGTCAGTCTAAAATAGAGGTGGAGATCATGTAAGAAATCACATGATTATTTTCAAAGTGCTGGCATCTTGTCTAGTATATCATTTCAAAGGTATTAACAGAGTGTGGCAGACAGTGAAACACTTTTGAAGATCTGCAGAGAACAGGAAAACTGCTAAAAGACTGGCAATAGCCTTGTTTTGATTTTTTTACCGCATTCTTGTAGTTTGATGTGGATTCTCAGAAATACAATCAAATGAATTTTAAGAACATAAAGAATGGAGTAAAGAATTCTAGGAGCTTAACTGAGAACAAGTCATGACAGACTCAATTTAATTGTTCTTTTATAACACATTTAATTTGGTAAAGTAGGAAAAATATAGTTTATGTATTTTAGAAACGCACTTGATATGCCCTCTCCTGATATCCTAGTGAAATAATAACTGTGACTCCTGGACAATAAGTTTCTTTGAGGACAGAAACCATGACTTTTTACCTATGTACTCTGCCTAGCCTCTAATACACTATAATAACTCACTGTTTATAAGTGATTTATAATACAGTTAAGATTATTCTTTTACAGCACAGTGCCTCTGTTGAGCATAAACTTGGAATCAGAACCTGCCTGTTTGATGAACTAGTAACCTAATTTATTTGCACGATTTGATGAGCATGGGGGTTTTTATTTGGGGCTGAAATAGAATGGAGAAGTTGAAGAAGAAATAAAGAAGAAAGATGGAGGAACAGGACTGCGTAAGACAAGATGACTCAGATCTATCTCTCTCTGGCTTGAGGAGCTAAATTGATGCCCTGATGATGAGGGGAATTAAGGTCAGAAGGGTCAGGAGATGTTTTCATGAAATACACCTGAGGCTGTGGGCATAAATGTTACTGCACTGGGTCCTCCCAACTTTGTCATTGCTCACTGAGGGGGCTTTGGCAGTCTGTGGGCTCAGAGAAGCCACCTTGGGGGATTCCTATAAAGAATACCAGCAGCAGAGGTCGTGGTGATGTGACTCAGTGAAGAACACGAGCCACCAGGTGACACACCCTGACATCCCAGAAATAACTACTGGTGACTTTGCCAGGGGATGGAAGAAGACCTTCAGTATCAAAGGCAGAGGCTAAGTCACTATAACTTGGAAAACAATGTTAGCATGACTTCATTTTAACATGCTACTAAGACTTAACGGAAATTCTATAACGTGTAAGTACTAAATGAACGTATATAAAAGTAGTGATTTATTAAAATCCTAATCAATCTCAAATTCTTGGCATGCAATACTTTATTTAAACTTTTATAACCTTACTAAGTTTTATTAGCAATAAATTTAGTTTATTTTTTATTTTTTATTTGTTTTTTTGTTATTTATTTTTTTGTTTATTTTTTATTTATTTGTTTTTGTCTATCTGTTTTTCTGGATAAACATTGTAAGCATTTGCAAAGTTGATTTTTAATCCCATCTGAATATTTGTTGGAATTATGTTTGTGTATATATTTATTTAGAAGAAAAAAAATTGGCATATACAGAATCCTCATATATAGAGGAAGCCATGTTTCTCCGATTCTCTTCTAGGTATATTGCCTATTCATTTAAAAAAAATTAGTTAGCTTCATATAAACCTTATGGTTCTTGATACGTTTATTTCTATCTTATTTCAAGTATTTTGCCAATACCGTGAATGAGCTCATCTTTCATTATATTTTCTAAATGGGAATTTTTGGAATAACCCACATTTATTGTTACATGATTTTCATACATATAATTTTACTAAACTTTTTTATCATAATACTTTTTGACTTTAGTCACATGTATTTTCTAGGTATATCTTCCTACCTACAAATAAAAAAAATGTTGTCTTCACTTTTACAAAACTTATGCACAACTTACTTCTATTTAAGTCTTACTACCTTAACCAGAACTTGCAGAACATTGATAAATGATTGTGTGACTGTGAGCAGAATCATCTATTTTTAAACCCTTCCATGTGGTAAAATGGAAAGAATTTAGAGGCTTCCTAACTCCCTTATAATTAAATTGAAGACAAGAGGAGAAACAATCCTAAAAGAAGGATGGAAGGTGAGAGGGAAGCAAGCATGTTTATGAATCTACATATGGGAAACTGAGAAAGAAGCTATAAGAGGCAAGCTGGGATCCAACGGCATTAGCATGAGTGAGTCTACCATACTCTTCCCTGCAACCAGGTCTTGGAAGAAAGAAGTAAAGAATGAATGTGAATGTTAGATACAACATCGTTGGTGAGATATAAAGGCAAGGTGGCAGGTGGAGGGAAGGGAGGGAGTGGGCCATAAAAAGCAAATTTTGTCTTCCTCACAATCTCACCTGGGATTAAGATTGAAATCATATGACAGTTTGTATGGTGCTGATTTTCAATGTTAGCCAGAGCAACGAGTTCATATATTTGATGTCTGTATTTCCATTCTGAAGTAAACAAAATTTCTTTGTCACCATCTTATGCATAATCAATTTAACCGTTCTTCTGAGGAATTTGTGATAAGAATAAAGATGAGGTCTTAGAGTCAAAGTAACAAGTATTTGGAGAGAGATGGAATGATGTTTTTCCACAAGAATTGTCTGAATTTTTAAAATAGAACCAATGTATTGGCAGAATTGGCTGGAAGAGGAGAGTTAATTAGAATTGACTACCTACCTAATCACATTGAGATGTCAAACTTGCAGATGGAACCAGTACCCTAGATTCTGATGAGGTTGAGATTTCTCTTCTGACAGAGAAAAGGCTTTGAAGGTTCAGGAAGATGCTCCCCACAATTGATACATTCCCAGCTGATGATGGAAATCTCTTGATAGAAAATGCTGTTTTCCAGTCAGATGCTTTTCTTTCAGAGAATTAAATTTTAGAGAGCAGGGGGTGGGGTACCAGGAACAACGAGTGGAAAGACCGTGTCCTTGGAAGCAAAACGTCAGCTCAAATCATAGCCTACCCCTTATCACACTGTATTGTTTGAGCAGTAACAAAACTCTACAAACCTTCGTTTACTCACCAGTAAAATAAAACTATGCATATAATAGGTGGTTGCAAAGATGAAGTTTATATATATTTCATGGCCTGACACCTGGCACTTTTAAAGGAAATTTTAAATGTTTGTTCTCCTTCATTATTATTTGTGTAGCATTTTGAAATATATTATTACTTTAATTACTGCCCCTTTTTTCATCTTTGCTCATGATCTTTCTCTTTTTAGCCAGCAGTGCCTATTGCCTCAGAGAAGTTTAGTATCTTTATAGCTGGGATGCACGCAGAAGCTAAAAATCTATGTTCATTTCTAGACTTCCAAAATAGGCACTTGAAGTCCATCTCAGGAACAATAGCCCTGAAATCTGGGCTTTTGAATGTAACTACTCAGTCTTTGAGATAGAAAAGAATGTTCTAAATCCCAAAAGCTTCTTTTTAAACATTAGGGAACAAAGCTTGAAGGCCTGACCACATTGTTTTCACTCTAAATCATAGGCCAGAAAAGAGGAAGAATATATGGTACAAGTGCATGTCCTACAGTGAGGGGATTATAACAGTTAAAACATACATATTTTGTATTCCAAGTAGTTTACATATATGAACTCATTCATCCTTACAGCAATCTTTTGTACAGATAAGAAAACTGAAGCTCAGAGAGGTTAAGTAATTTACTCAAGATTACACAGCTTGTAATTCATGGTGTTGGTATTGGACCACTTTGATTTATCTCCATTTTGTGCTCTTAAAAATTACACCACAGTGCTATAAAAGCTGGTCCTGAAGTTGGGAGGAGGTGCTTGGAGAGTGTCAGTAGGAATAAGACTGGTCTGCCTTCCGAGATCCAAACACTTGGAGGGGGTAGATCAACAAATTTCCTGACATGTTTAGAAATTCCAAAGCAAAGGAGGCTGGGTCAAGATGGCCTCACACTTATAGAATGTTCCATGTGGTGCCAGTCTCTTTCTTGGGCATCATGTTGTGATTACTTTGCTGTATTAAGGAAATGTTTCTGATTCTCACTGTGTCTGATTCCAGGGACAGAAACTAAGTGCACAAGCTGACTTCAGAGCAGAGGTCACTTTCTTCATTCGTTCAACTGCCCTCTCTGCTTTGGAATCCTATTTTATATACTTCTCACAAGTCTGACACCTCTGTTCAATGTGTCTTGTCATTCTTGGCTAATAAAATTGGTCTTATGCCAAGTCAAGCATTCTCTCAAAACCTGGTTGTCCCATCTCATCACGTCTTCCTTTCGTCACTGAATGAAGTGCAGCCCTGTTTAATAAAAAAAAAATAGATGACTTCACAAAGGTCCTTAGGCCCACCTCCACCCCCACCAAGCACACATGCACGCACACATCCCAACACTGGTGGGTGCACTGGCGTGGGGTGTTTGTTCTGAAAGGGGCCTTGGAGTCGCGTGCCCTCTGCTCCCCACACTTCACATGCCCGTGATGCCAGTGGGGCATCCTGAATGTCACTGAGGCATCCAGTGCTTCTGAAATTCAGAAATGGACAGAGGTGTTCTGAAATGCTCCTGCTCAGGGAACACTGGCCAGGACATTTCTGGGGTCTGGACACTGAGAATGCAGAATAAGCTGCCTCAGGCTGGGGTCCAGGGCCCCTTGTGTCAGCACTCAATGTTCACTGATCAAGAGGCATAGAGAAGGCCAGGTAAGATCCACAGGGCCTGAAGCATATAGAATTTTAGGAGGCCACTTTAAGAAAAAAGTATACAAAATGATCAATATCATTCTAAGAATGAAAGTGAATATTTATTTATTTATTTTGAGATGGAGTCTCTGTTGCCCAAGCTGGAGTGCAGTGGCACCATCTCGGCTCACTGCAACCTTTGCATCCCAGGATCAAGCAATTCTCCTGCCTCAGCCACCCGAGTAACTGAGATTACAGGCATGTGCCACCATATCCGGCTAGTTTTTGTATTTTTGGTAGAGACAGGGTTTCACCATGTTGGCCAGACTGGCCTCGAACTCCTGGCCTCAAGCACTTCTCCCACCTCAGCCTCCCAGAGTGCTGAGATTACAGGCCTGAGCCACTGTGCCTGGCCAAAAGTGAATTTTTTTTTAATAGAGAAAAAAATATAAGAAAGCTTACAAATACTACAAGTCTCACAAAATCTAGATAACATTTTTATTAATTATTTGTTTATACCTTAGTAAGACATTTTTCCTACATTTTGGACTGCATACTCTTTGATCACCTCTTCATAGGATAATTGTTTTGTAATATTTTCTATAGAGAGGATAAAAAGGTAGATAATTCACATTTTCCTCAAGTATGCTTGATTGACTTTTTATTATTGATAATTGGAAAGCATAAAACCCATGACTTCATGCACAGATGTACCTGTGTCCTACAAACACAGAAATTCTAAGTTCTATTTTGCATAATTTCCATCAGAAAAAATATATGTATGCATGACATTTACAAGTATATATGCTACATTATTCAGTATATTCCTGGCCTGAGGAAACTTCTGTATGTCCAGTTGTCAGTGAGAATTGAATCCTCTGTTTACTATTTCACCCCTCTGATGACTGGAGGAAACTTCTATAGGCTTTTCCCAAGCCTTTTTCTCCTCCACTCCCAACACACTTCTGGTGCCAGGCATTCTAGGCAGTATATCATGATAGCACTCCAGCCCTGCACATTGTAAGTGGGTACAGCAAGTGACAAGAATATTTTTGGAAGCCATTACTACCAAAGGTTGTCCAGCATATAACTTAACCATTTGTGGAAGTGACTCCAAACCATATAAATACATCACACTAAATACAAACTGAGGTTTGTCACCTTCCCCTTAGATGACCAATATTCTTACGGCCACTCCAAAGCCACTTTATATGGCAGACAGCTTTAGTGGAGGGGAAGTCAAGTGGCAGGCAACAGTGTCTCAATCAATTGCTGTTGAAGTGTTTTACTTTCATTAACGTGACAAAAACTATGACCATAGGAATCCATCATTAAGGCCCTTTCTAAGAGCTCAGAGGAAGGCCTGCAAAGGAGAAGCTCTGAAGTTTGAGCTTCATTAACTACATAGCAAATTCAACCCTGGGCATGAGACATCTCAGGGAATAGAAAGGACAAGACAACAGAGGGAGGACTAGGAGCCTTCCCCCTCGCCTCTCCATTCAGGGTCTAGATCTCATCCTGGGGAAGGGAAGGAAGCAGAAACACTGACTCACCCTGGAAAAGAGGAAGATTTAAACCGAAAATGACTGAGAAAACTTGAACGGGCAACTTAAAGTTTTTCCTCATTCTTGACCAGAATCAGAGGTCTTATGGGTAAGGTGAGTTCAGGTACAGAAAATAAAACTATATTTCTGCATTTCTAAGCAATAATTTTAAGTAACCACCCCACTACATATGAAAATTAAATGACTGAAACAGGAAAAGCCAAAGAATATAACCCCCGTTTTAACAGAATTGTGAGTTAATATGAACACTTAAAAAAGGAACAGATAACAGCTTGGATAGCTTTAAATAACTTTCTGTGATAACTTCTAAATCCCCAAGGTTCTGTGTAACTTTGACAAAGACATGGACCCAGAATTAATTGATCTTATCTTGGTTTCACTATGGCACTGGCTGATGATGGCAAGGTCTGGAAATAACACCTGGTGTCTGCAAGGAAGCTAACCCCTATGTCAACCCTTCTCTCTGGGTTTGCGAGGAAGAGAGACAGTTGCAGCAGGAACAAATTACTCCACCAAAAGATAATGTAAGACAGTAAATTTGGTTGATCACTGCTCTGGGCTAGATTGTGTCCCTGCAAAATTCATATGGTAAAGTCCTAACCCCCAGGATCTCAAAATGTGACTATATTTCGAGATAAGTTTTTAAAAGAGGCAAATAGTTTAAAACAAGGTCATATGGGTGGGCCTTAGTCTAACAAGACTGATGTCTTTATAAGAAGAGGAGATTAGGGATGCAGACAGGCACAGAGGGAAGACCAGGTGAAGGCACAAGGAGAGGACAGACCAAGGAGGAAGACCTGGAAAGAAACCAATCCTACTGTCACCTTGATCTCAGATTTCTAGCCTGTAGAAGTGTAAGGAAACACATTTCTGTTGTTTCACTACCCAGTCTGTGGTACTTTGTTAGGGAAGCCTAGTAAACTAATACAACCCCTAACTGAGGTCTGGGTAAAATGGAAGATTCATTTTATGCCCATAAATAACCATGATTTTATAAAAGTTTTAAAAAATAGTCTCTTGTTCATATCTACCATATCTACCAATTTGTTTCTTCATATCAGCCAATCCTCTCTGGGCATTGATAAGACCTTTTTTAAAAAAGGAAAATGTCCTAAAAATTAATATGTCACAATAAGACTCATATCCCTGCTGTTGTGTGTTGTAAGCACACACTGAGGATCCTGGGGACTAGTAACGACTTCTGTGCAAAAAATTATTATTTCTCTGTGATGTTTCTTGGTTTCTCTTGCAAGGGGAATTTAATATTTTTGCCCTTGAATTAAATAGCTGAGCCTATATTTGGGATGGGGTGTGGTTGACTGAATAATGCCCTCCCACCAAAGATGACCAGATTGTAATCCCCAGAACCTGTGGATGTTACCTAACGTGATAAAGAGATTTGCAGATGGGCTTAAATTAAGGATGTTGAGATGGGAGATTATGCTGGACTGTCATTACGATATAATCACAAGGGTCCTTGTAAGTGAAAGAGGCAGGAGAGTCTGAGTAGGAGATGTGATGATGGAAGCAGAGCTCAACAGAGAAAGGGATTTGAAGGTGCAGATAAGGGGATGGAGTGGGCAGGAAGTGCTGTGGATGGAGTGGGCAGGAAGGGGCCACAGCCAATGAATACAGCTGGAAAAGGCAAGGAAGTCAATTTTTCTCTTCGAGCCTCCAGAAGGAGCACAGCCCTGCCAACTCATTTTAGACTTCTGACTCCTGAACTGTGAGATAATAACTCTGTGTTGCTTTGAGCCACCAAATTTGTGAAAACTTATTACAGTCATAGGAACTAACATTCAGTGTGTACTACAGGGTCCCCACAGGCCTGAGCCTTTTCTTGACCCTGAGAACATCAGGATAAGGACAGGAAGTGTGTCAAGACCTCCAGTTCCACTCTCTACCGGAATATGGATTAAATTGTGCCATTATCTGCCCAATAACTAGCCCCCTTGGGGAGAATCCTGAGCGAATCTCGCAGCACTTGAATCCACAGCACTTCCTGCCCACCCCGTCCCCTGATCTGCATGGGCCTAATCTCCACACAGACTCCATCTTGATGCCCACTCCAGCAGCCTGCTACCCAGACCATGCCTCAGGCCCTAGCAATCCTACTTTTAAGTAGGAGAAACCATTCTGTAAGAACTGGAATTGAGAAGAGAGATATATAGTTTCAGAATCATATGCTTCTTGGTTGATAAAATAAAACTGGATTTTGATGAACAGCAGCAGTGACAGAACACCTCAGAAGGACGTGAATTTCATGTCAGCAACATTGCCAGTCCAACCTCACTTTAAGGCCTTTGGTTTATGTGAAAGTAAAATTAACCTCAATCAGCATTGCTCTGTTTAAGACCTTTGGGGTTTTCCTTAGAGCTGAATCAGTAAATAAAGGCCTAATGGCTTCAGAGCAAATTGATAAAAATTTTATTTCAAGTCTGACAATTAGAGCAAGGCCATTATAAGTAGCTTAATTACCCTCAAGGAAACAGATATAGAAGTGTGGTGAGTTCAAACTGTTCTTCAGGAATGAGAAAAGCTGAGATTCATTAAAATAATAACCATGATGATAATGATAGCTGTCATTCGTTGAACACCAACTACAATGCCAGACACAGAAGTGCATTCCTTACAAGCATCATCTCGAGTCCTTGCAAAAACTCCAAAAGGTAATTGATATTATCTTTACTTTACATATGAGAAACTTGAGATTAAATACTTTGCTTGAAGTTGAACAGATAGATAATGGAAGGGTGTGTAATATTTACGTGACAGATAAAATCACTTTGTTTTATTCACATGATAATTTATAATGTGCATTTTTCTAAAGACTACCTACTACTTCTGTTTTCTCTTACTTCTGCAACTTATATTTTTATCTTCAGATATTACATCTCTATGTGATGTTTCCCCAAAATTCCAAGAAGCAATGGTAGACATCTGTTGTTCTTGCCTGTTTAGCATTCACACCCACTTTAGGTAACAAATAGCACCTCTATGCACCCTCAATCCAGATGACTAAAATGGGTCTACCCCATCTTCTGGCTCCAGACCTGGGAATTTTGGTTAGGATTTTGAGTCTGGATTTTGACTGGTTCTAGCCAATCAAAGAACTGTATTACCCTGGCACAAGGTGACTGTTTCCAAGATGATCCTATAACCTTGCAGGGTAAAAGAATTGTTCCCCAAACTTTTGATGGAACGCACAAGAAAAGAACCTTTCTTTCCACTGGAGTTAATTGAATTATGAGGCAAAAGCCTACAGACAAAGAGATAACCTACCTGAATTTGTAACTAGCACAGAGAAAAGGAGCACCAAGTGATGAAAAGAGGCAAATTCCTGAAGATCTGTTTGAGCCCCTGGATCAACCTGTGCCTGAAGCCACCTAGACTTCTTCATTTAATGACCTAATAAATATCTATTTTTTTCTTTATCTCAATATATTAATCAAAAAATTCTAACATGGAGCATACTTTCCCTTTGAAGATGGAGGAAGTGGGCCATGAGTCAAAGAATGTGTGTCCTCTAGAAGCTAAGAATGACTTTCAGCAGGCAGGAAGAAAATGAGAACCTCAGTCCTCCAACCACAAGGAACTGAATTCTGCCAACAACCTGAGAACAATATTCTCCCCTGGAGCCTCCAAAAAGAAACAGACTGCTGGTATCTTGATTTTAGTCTAATGAGACCCACACCAGAATTCTGACCAACAAAATATAAAATAATAAATTTGTGTTGTTCCAAGTCACTACATATGTAGTAATTTGTTACAGAAGAAATAAAAAATTAATATGAATTCTAATCATTATATTTGTCTTGGAGAGTCTGGAGACTCAGACAGTACCTCCCAGAGTTCTTTAGGAAAGATTATCTGGGCTTTGGGGAAGGAAACTTTGAGCCTGAACTTCAGGTTGATGATGTTAGCACACTCACATCAAAAGGGAGGCTAGGAGGAGAGGCTGCAGATGTATAATATAGAGAAGGTAGGGATCTTAGGCTGTCAAAATATGGCAAACATGTGCTCATTTTGTGTTGCTGAGCAATCACCGGCGAGGAATATGTTTGCTGTGTTACTCTTGGGCTTTGGCAATCATGTTCAAAATTCCTAATGTGGTATTAGTAAAGATAAAGCAGAAAATTTGACCCTTGGAGGTCCAGAAAGCATTAATTGGTAATGGAAATACTTCCCTCCAACATTGTTGGTACCAACAGCAGAAGTTCTGACAGCAAGTCAAAGTACTGATAGGGAGAGAGAGCAACAAGACTACTGAATGGAAGTAGCAGCAGCAGCAATAACAGTGACTGGCGGGGGTGATCTAAGTAGCAGCCACTGAGAAAGAACACAGGGTCCCCAGGGCTCTCTCAGTGAGAGAGAAAGAAAGGAGAGTGCTAGGATCTCCATGAGAATTCTGGGGAAAGGACCGGAAAATCAAGGAAATAACTATTGCAATTATTGTAGAAATTGTAAGTGTTCCCAAGTGCCCCACAGTCTAGCAATATAAGGGTTACCAGGCACACTAGTTTATATCCACTGAGACTTCTCAGAATGTTCTAAATGAGCTTATGCCCCTTTCTTCAAAGGTGTTTTTGCCCTCCGGATGATGCCTCAGAGGCCCTATTAAGGTCCCTCAGTCAAGGCTCATGATAATTCTTTTATACTGCAGTAGCCAAACACCAAGGTTTAAAACACATGACTCACTTGGCTGATTTGACACAACGCAGAGAAGACCTAGGTACTTCTGGCAAGATATTCCTTCCACTTCTCCATTTACCTGGCTTCTGATGTCTTCTGAAGCAAATTAATCAGGGATTCTGAAGAGATTTAATCATAAATCTCTGAAGAAAGTACTTGAGAAAAAGAAATGAAGCTTATAAAGTGGAAATCTTCAGAAATATATTCTTTTCTTCATTCAAGGACAGTTACATTTATTACTAAAGCACCCAAGTCAGCTTTCTTTCTTAAGTAAATCACTATTTCTTTTCTTTCTTTTTTTGTAATAAGTTTATACTTTTAAAACAAAAGGTGATGTCTTTAGAAAGTTTATATTTTTGAAACCCTAAGAATAATTGAATTATTGATTTAACTTTTTAAGAATACCAGAACGCTATTTAAAGATACTTCTGGCCCCAGTGTGTGATCACAAGCCTGTCGGGGGGTTGGGGGCAAGGGGAGGGAGAGCATTAGGACAAATACCTAATGCATATGGGGCTTAAAACCTAGATGATGGGTTGATAGGTGAAGCAAACCACCATGGCACATGTATACCTATGTAACAAACCTGCATGTTCTGCATATGTATCCCAGACTTAAAGTAAAATAAATAAATAAAAAGAGCTTACAAATGAAATGCTCCTAGTTTTTCATTGTGCCATCAGCTTCAGCTCTTATTTTATGTAATTAGTCTGTAAGCTCCATGAGGACAGTTTTATTCATTGCTGTTATCTTCTAGAATTGTCAAATATGTGAAGGGGAAGTGGATAAACATTAGCATCAAATATAGCAACTTGAACAGGGATTGGCAAGAGGCTAAATATATTGGATAAACATATTGAAGGAATGGCCCTTGCATTAAGAAAAAATTCCAAGAAAAAATTTTAAAAACCATCTTTCACCAAAGCATTTAATAGGAGAAGCCCTTTCTATATCAACCTTCCTATCATTAATAATGACTACGAAATCTCACTGGGCCCCTGGATGTGTTTTATGTACTTATAAACAGTAAAGCATTATCAAGAAAAAAATAAAGACACTTCTAGCTATTCATACTTTGATATTGCATGTGTCAAGACAGAAACAACAGAGAATTAATAATTGTGTTAGAAACAACAAGAATTCCTTGGGGCCAAACATACTGTGTACTGAGGAATCGTAAGGAATTCATAAGGATAAATACTATGTTTTTAAAAGTCATAGCCTATCAGTTTTATTCACACATTCTTCTTCTTATTCATACACAGCTACAATGCCTCTACCCATTAATGACTCAATTGAGCTGATTGCAGATAATCTATAAAATGGAAGCTAGTGGCCTCTCGATATACACAACTTGGAAGAAAGTATTCTAGTTCATATTTCTTACAGCAGCCTGAGCTTGGGAAATTTTGAAGAAGACAACTGAAAAGAGTTTTTTCTGCAAAGCTATACTTAGTTTTATTTGTTTATCTTCCTT
The DNA here is from genome assembly GCF_000001405.40 of Homo sapiens. Classification (NCBI taxonomy): domain Eukaryota; kingdom Metazoa; phylum Chordata; class Mammalia; order Primates; family Hominidae; genus Homo; species Homo sapiens. Next base: position 89,325,619 of record NC_000004.12, on the reverse strand, counting down.
GCTACTTAATTGAAATGTGAACAGAAGATAATTCGATTTCTTCTATACCAATAGATGTCTACTAAACAGAAAACAATGACATGTCCTTCCTAACCCGCAGGGTTCTCTGAGCTGGGAGGGGCAGTTAATTGCATTCATACATATTACGCAGTGGTAAATAGCAATGCACCACCTTTCTTTGATCACTAAGATTAATTGTTCTTGTGATTCTAAGAAGTAGCAATCAATAAGACTAATAATATATAGTAACCCAATATGGGATTTTCTGCTCTCTGTTTTTCTTAACAAATAAAGGCTAGAATTTAAAGTAACATTAAACAATGTTGCTCATTAAGCTCTTGCAGTAGAGACAGATAAGACACAATTCTGCAGTGCAATTCTGTTCTTCTGTGAATTGTTTTGATTCCTGGGTTTATAAGAAGTCCTCTTATATGATATCAGGAGACTGATTTTTAAAATATTTTAGGAGTCATCATCTTCTTACCAGCCAGCCTTTCTTTCTACTTGTGAAGAGCTGCTAACAAAAACAAAAACAAAAACAAAAAATAAAACTAACATAGAACAACAAAAAACAGGAATTTAGATTTCATGAAATCTTCTAATTTCAGCTTTGGTTGACTAATGGTGGACAGAGTGTCTAAGATGACTCAGAGAATTCAAGAAGTGGAAAGGACATTGACATCATCTGCCCTGTGCATTCTCCCCCACATCCCACAGACCTACTCTCTGGGCAAAGAATTTGCCTCGTTTGCTCTTCACTGAACTTCATTACAAAAGAGGAAGTCAAGGCCCAGAGAGTATGAGGTGACTATCATCACTCCACTGACTATTAAGAGAACAGGACTCCTAACTTCCTGTCCAATTTTCATTTCCTGCATTTAGGGTCCCTGGAGGACGTGAAGGGTCAGATCAAGAATACAAATAATGATGTTGATATAATGTTAGGGCTAGAAGGAATGTAGACATCTAGTCCAACTCCCATATTTTTTGGGTGAAAAATATGAGACTCAGATAGACTGTGATTTGTCTGAGATCAGATGCCTTGTCAGAGGAAAAGCAGAACCCAGTGGTACTGTCCCCCGACCACCATCACCGTCAGTGGTCAACAGGCTCTATGCAGTGCGACCTGAAAAAGTGAGGCCAGCTCCAGGGACCTCACTGTCTCTGTCATTTTCTTGTGTTTCATAGACTTCTGTGTAGGTGACTTTCTCCAAATGGAGTAAGGCAAACTATTTCAAAAGTCCAAATAATGAAAATCTGCAAGACATTCCTAAATTCCTTAACTTAATAATGTCATACAATTGGCCTTTGGAAAGAAACACAGTAACCTGCCTGTCATGTCCCCATGCCTATGGTACTTGAAGGAACAAAGCCATCTTCTGCCCTAACTTGGGGTTAACCTCACAGTTACATTGTAGATATCCCAACAGAAAATAGAAGTTATGAGGTGCCATTGGAGTACAGCTCCAGTAGGACACTTTTTAGTTAAAATAGAAAACATGTCTCTGAGGAGAGGCAATTGTTTAGTGGATCAAGAGAGGCAGACTGTTGCTTTTAGTTGTGAATTTTATTTAACCTATATTCTACATTTTCAATAGGAAGAACAGTGAAATACACATCACTAGACTCTCAAAGTTGGCAGGGCATTTGGGAGCCTTGGTGAGAAAAATATTAAGCAGATTTAATGGGGATAGCTTTCTAATTGTGTACTAAAGACTACCCTGTCAGAGCCAAGCTCTTTAGACTCCCCCCAACATTTACTTGACACCCCAGGATAAGTATATGTTTGCCACAATGCCTCTGGAAATTTTAACTATTTCTTAATTCATTTACAAGCCCTGGTCTCTGCAAAGCAAAGAATAATAACAATAACTGCTATTAAATGAGTTCCACCTATATGCTAGGCACTGGGCTATGTGCTATTTCCAGTCTCGCAAGAAACCTACACAATAGGTCTTATGATGCACCCTTTATAGGTGATAAGTCTGAGAAGTCCAGAATTTGCCCAAAGTCACACAGGTAAGGTAACTTCCTGTTACCTTCCACTTGTGTTTCAATTGATTCAGGGGATCTTTACAGATTTCTCCTCTCTTCTAACTCTATTCTGGTTTACAGTCCCCATCTTCTGGCTACATTATACCTAAATTGAAGGTTTGGAAATGATGTCCGCCCTCAGAGAAATTGCTGTTGCTCTGGCCTTGGAGATAGCTTGCTTTCTTTACGTTGTTCAGGTTGAAATAACGAAGAGCTGGGGAAGTTGTGCGTTTCACTTAAGCTGCAGCCTACATTTTCAAGAAGAAATACAGCAAAATCCACATTCCTAGATTCTGCAGCTCAGCAGGGCATATGGGGACCCTGATGAGATAAGCATTTGAGTGGGTTGAAGAAGATGTTTGAGCAAAGGAAAACTTAGAGATTGAAGCTTGACACTTCTTAATCAGAATAATATTCAAATCCAAAAAAAGTGGAGCAAAAATAAGTACTAACTTTGGGATAGAGTGGGAGAAGGAAACAATAAGATTAAAAAGGTTTTAGAAATACTAAGTAAGATAGAAGGAATGTAGGAGGTGATGAGGGTAATAGTGTGGTTGGCAGGGTGGAGTTTTGGTATAATTTTAAGTGTATACCTAATAAGATTTAAACATGAGCTGTCAGAGGAGTAGTTTCTAGGTTAGAATAAGGTGTATACAGAGACTCAGGATCAGAGATTTATTACTGTCTCTTAACTCCTTTTAAAATATTACATAATTATGTTGACTCCCTCTGCAATAGAAATTGACCTAACCTTCACAATAACATAGAAGTTAATCTTGTCCAGGGTTATTCAACAATCTTGTAACATTGATATATTGCCCAAGAGAAATTAGGCCTTATGTTTTTAGTGAGATTAATAATTGAGTTGGTTCATATATTAAATCAGTAAAGAAATATTATTTCTGAATCCAGTGCCTTTTCTCTCTGGTTCTAGTGATGCATTAAACTGTTATCTTTACCCTTACAGGAGTGGGCCTATTGACTCTCAAAGGCAATTATAGATTGGAATGGACTAAAAGGTAAAGAGTACGTGCTTTGTAACCTATGAGTGAAAATGTATAATGTCTGTTTCCTGGGTCTCAACTATTAAGCAACATATTAAAAAATATTGTTACTGTTCACTCTAACCTTTACAGGCTTCATTACTATTGTAACTATAGATTTTTTGTCTGTTTGTTTGTTTTGAGACAGGGTCTCATTTTGTCGCCCAGGCTGGAGTGCAGTGACACCATCACTGCTCACTGCAGCCTTGACCTCCCAGGCTCAAGCAATCCTTTCATCTCAGCCTCCTGGGTAGCTGGGATGACAGGCGTGTGCCACCACATCTGGCTAATTTTATTTTTAACTTTCTTATTTCTTGTAGAGACAAGGTTTCACCATATTACCCAGGCTGGTCTGGAACCCCCAGGCTCAAGCAATCCACTCGCCTCAGCCTCCCAAAGTGCTGGAATTACAGGTGTGAGCCACTGCACCCAGCCTATCATTATAGTTTTTAAACTATGCATAGTTGTCAACAATGCTCTGAAATTGATATTTATTATAGAGTGATAGCTGATTAGATAGATAGATAGATAGATAGATAGATAGATAGATAGATAGATATGGATAGGCAGGCAAATACATGCATGTATTTGTGTAAGTCTCTGTGATATGTGCATATTTTATTCTTTTGATCAAATTTTGATTAACTAAGATATATCTAGATTTTAGAATTTTTAAATACTCATCTCCAGGCTCATATCGGGCTATTTGTCATCTTTAGAAGTTTTTAGTATTAAAATCTCTTGTGAATTACAAAATTAGCCCATATTGCAACAATTAGGAAAAAATATTCAAAAGAGAAAACAAATAAACACTCTTGCCCCTGTATCCCTCCATGCCTACCTACCAACCATCCCTACTCTGAGACAACCTTTCTTGTCTTTTTACTTCTTTGCATAGTAATCAGCTCAGGTTTGGGTTAAGTCCATTTTTCTCAATGCCCTGATAATTTAAATGCTATTTTGTAGCCATTTTGTGACAGAAACATGTTACCTCACATGTCCCAAAGGTTTACATGTATGCCCATAAAGTTCTGAAATTGAACAGCAAAGAGGTCCCTTTACACTCTAGGAAGCCCTATGAAGCTTCAATTTCTGTCACAAGAACAATAGAATATAGGAGGAAACAGGTGCATCGGTTTTAAGTCTTCCTCTGACAACATAGAGGATGAGGAGACCAATCCTTCCCATGGTTAAAATCTGGAGAGGGTTCTGAAAGAGACAAATTTTATAAATCCTTTGATCTCATTGGATCTTAACCTCTGTGGGTTAATAATGTCATTCAACCAGTCCAGAATAAAACATGTATTTCTTAACACTGCAAAGTAAGGTTACTCTGCACTCATTTTTATATTAGCAGGGGTTTTTTTTAGATAAAAGTTGAAAAATACTACTCCATGCCACATAGATTTTCCTTTCCTTCCTGTTATTGATTATTTAGTTGCTAGACAATACACTCACAATCATTAAAAGTGCTACAGAAAATCAGTATTATTTTACTCTTATCCCTTTGCATAATTTTCTCATTGCATTTCCGAGCCATTTCCGAGCTTTTCGCCCACTGTGAAGACTCTCCTTTAATAAGCCCTGAAGCATCTATTTGTGCAGAGGCTTCTAAAGGTGCAGGTAAATATCTTCTAAATAACTTTGTGCTCTACATGAAATACCTACAGGAAAGCCTAGAGATGACTACAGACAGTGAGATATTTGGCCAGATATTTAGAGAACGTACTTCACACAAGCAACAGTTACTGAGTTCAGTTGAGGATGCGAGGTAAATATGACTGGATTCCTGTCCTCAGGGGCTCACATCTATTGTTCTTGGCTTATGGAGAGTTCATCAATGAGGTAGCACTTGATATAAGTGGGGATTAAGGGTGAGTTGAGAAAGAATCAGGAAGACAATTCATATTTAAGAAAGTAATATGGACAGGAGGTAACATGGCTGGGCATTATCACATAAATTAGCAGTTGGCAAATATTTTCCGTACAGAGGGCAAGATAGAAAATATTTTAGTCTTTGCAGTCTCTGTCATAACTACTCAACTCTGGTGTGTTCTAATTAAACTTCACTGACAAAAACAGGTGGCAGCTGGAGTTGGCCTGAGGGCCACAGTCTATTCACCCCAACATAAATTATCACAATTTCAAACTTAGATGTCTGTTTAGAGGGTGATGCCATTAATAAAAAAGAAAACAGAAAGTAAGATAGGCTTCCTGAGGAAAAAAAAAATGGGTTTTAAATTAGTAAATATTTTATTTAATATGAAAAATATTTCCTGAGCACTTCTAGGCATGAAATCCAGTGTCAAGGATAAGGAAGTAGACAAATTCTGAGCTCCACTCTAATGGAATTTGCAATCTATCATACAATGTGGTAAGATTATAAGATTATATCATACTGCCACAGTTTTAAGGACATATTGTGTCCTAGAATAAGCAAGCCATGAACAGGGACTCAACAAATTGCCTACATTCAAATCACTTTAGTCTACAAAGCCACTCATGATTCAGTGAGTTGGGGTGAGTAGGGCAGGTAGAAAAAGATGGCAGTGAGTGCTGGCAAAGTGAGGATAGGAGGACTTGATGAATTTTGAAGCATGTAGTTGGGAATGTGATGAGTAATCCAGGCAGATCAAGGCTAAATTTTTATCAGTGGTGAAAGTCATACTTATCCCCTTCAGTGGAGTAGGGGAAGTTGGAACAGGGCATAAAACTTTAAGTGCAACAATATCGTGGGGATATGGATGTTTTCGGTAAGCAAGTCATCTACTTTAAACAGGGTGTGTTCTGTGTTCCAAAAATTACCATTGTAGAAAGAGAAAAGGATGTACCACTATGGTTTCCAGATATTAGTGTTCAATCAGAAGAGTTTTCCTATGTCAATTTTGTGGTTTTGATGAAGGAAGGGAATATAACTATTCCATTCCTAGAGAAGTTGAGAGAAAACGAGAAATGTTATTATAATTATCTAGCGCAATGATTTTCAGTATTTGAAAAATATATACACTCAGAAAATATAATTAAAAATAGAGATAATATTTCCCCCATGTTCATATATATGAACAAAAATTGCATGTAAATCCAGAGAATCAAAAATTTATTAAAAACTATCTATTAATTCCCTAAAAATTTGTGTATGAGAGTTTGAGAAACTCCACCCACAGTATGTCAACTGGTTTTCATAGTTATCTCAGTTGATCTTCAGACAACAGACAACAGTTGACAGAGGTACCATTATCACTGCTGTGGAAAGATGAAGAAACCAGGGGTCACAGAGACTAAAGAATTTGCTGGAGATCACCAGACAACAATGTAATAGAACTGAATCTCTGAACACCCTGCTCCCACAGCATAATGGAACTCACACATGCCTTCATGCTCTAGTGGTCTACCTGCAATCTGTGAGAAAGAGAATGGAATCATTCTTCTATAAAACAATTTGTCCGAAGCTTTCCCAAAAAGAAAATACTTTCTTTGGTCTTAAATATTGAAAAAGTGTGGTAGCCTAAACACCATGCTCCCTTTCCCCAAAGATATCCATATTCCAATCCCCAGAGCCTGTGAATATGTTATTTTCCATTGCAAAAGACACTTTGCAAATGTGATTAAGTTAGTGATCTTGTGCTGAGGTTATCTGGGATTATTCCAGTGAGCCTGAATAAAATCCCAAGGCTTCTTTATGAGAAGGACACAGGAAGGTCAGACAGAGGAGAGGGTAATCTGATTATAGAAGCAGAGATTGGAGTGATGTAGTCACCAGCCAAGGAATACCAGCAGCCTCTAAAAGCTGGAAGAGACAAAGCGCAGGTGCTTTCCTGGGGCCTCCTGAAGGAACCAGCCTTGCCAAACCCTCGATTTTAGTACCATAGGCCTCATTCCAGAACTGTGAGAGAATAAATTTGTGCTATTTTTAGCCACTAAGCTAGTGGTAATTTCTAACTATGGTAATTGGAAACTAATACAAAAAGTGAAACCAAACCAAGTCATATTATTTAATATAATCAAACGCCTTTTTTTTCTGAGCTCTACAAGAGCAGGGAGTTTTGTATTCCAAGTACCTAGAAGAGTGCCAGAAACAGAGTACATGCGCAATAAAAATAAAATAAAGCACCAAATGCTTGATAGTGCCATGGCACTTCATTTTAAATTTGCCAAAGACTGTTGGGCGTGGTGGCTCATGCCTGTCATCCCAGCAATTTGGAAGGCTGAGGCAGGCGTATCACCTGAGGTCAGGAGTTTGAGACCAGTCTGACCAACATGGAGAAACCCCGTGTCTAGTAAAAATACAAAATTAGCCGAGCATGGTGACGCATGCCTGTAATCCCAGCTACTCAGGAGGCTGAGGCAGGAGAATTTCTTGAACCCGGGAGGCAGAGGTTGCAGTGAGCCAAGATCACACCATTGCACTCCAGTCTGGGCAAAAGAGCAAAACTCCGTCTCAAAAAAAAAAAAAAAAAAAACTGCCAAAGACAGGCAGATTTAAAATGCAGCTAGGGACCATTTCTACAGGGAGAAAAAAGAAATCTTATAAAATATTGTTGGGATCTTAGCCACGTGTCTGCACCCAAAAGATGAAGAGGCAGGGAAAGCATTATGCAAATTTTAAGGTGAATTTATTAATTAATGAGCCAAATTCTTCAATACACAAGTGCTTTCCTCATATCATCTTTTTTTACTTATAAAGGAAGTGATCCAAGTTCAGTTCTGTCTAATAGATAACTATATTTTTCTTTTTCTGATTTGTTCTGATCATTCCTGCTATTCTTGTTGGAACTGGACAGGAAAAGAATCGGGTAGAGGCAGCTGTGGGCGGAGGCTGCATCTGAGGACCCTCGCACCCTGGAAGTTGATGTCTGTACCTCTCTGCATCACTAAAACAAAGTAGGATGACCATCCCTCTTCTCTTTAAAACAAAAACTTTCAAATTGATCTTCTGTGGCCACTTTGCTTCTCTAGGGTTGTCTAATCTGGGGGATATAGGATAAAGAATGAAAAAAACAATAAACTCAAGTGTCAGCTTTATTAAACACTTCTTTTTAAACCGTAATTATTCCAAAGCTTTATTAGTGAGAGCCCCCACATCTTGGTGACTTAGTGTAATTAACTGCATTTTGTGCTTATACAAAGTGCAATGTAAATATTCCTAGTTAAGTGATCAGAGACCCAGGACTCCCCAGGGCCTTTGAGTCTTCTGTGGGATCCTGTGCATCTGGCTAGCAAACAGAAGAAAGAATCACGCACAACATTTATATGAGTAAGTCTGAAAGTGATGCATTCCATTAGGCAGAAATCTTTCATGTGTCTATACACCTAACTGCAAGGCATGCTGAGAAATACAGTATAGCTACCTAATTAGGAAGTAGAAAAAATAGCTTTGGTAAATTCAAAGACTTTACATAAGCTAGCCACTTCTGCCAACTCATTTCCTGTTATTCGTCTACTCATTTAGGTTGCTCCAGACACTTTGGCCTCTTTGCTGATCCTTAAGCATACCAAGCCATGGTCCTGCCTCAGAGCTTTTATACAGGCTGTTCGTAGTATCTGCAATGCTCTTCCTCACTAGACAGTCACATGGTTTGCCCCCTAACTTCATTCAGGTGTCTGCTCAAAACCGCCTCTTCAGAGAGGATTTCCTTAACCTTTCACCCCTCAATTTAAAATAGCACCCTGTCACTTTCCAGGCCCTGACCCTGCTTTTTTTCTTTTATGACATTTATTACTCTCTGACATTGTGGCATACATTTATTTGTATATTCAACTTTTATCTGTTTGCCACACTAGAGTTTAACTTCCAAAAGGTCAGAGATTTTTTACTGTTTCATTAATCATCATGTTTGCAGCACCTAGAACCTATTGCCCAGTACATAATAAAACACTCAGTAGGCATTTTATTTAATGAATTATGTTTCTTAATAAGCACTTCAAATATGTGCACATTACAATGAATGATTCTATTTTCTGATGACCCAATCTTGAGCAGAGCCTGAATTACCCACTCTCGAAATTATCTCCTGTTCATTCCACTTCCTCACCTCACTAACCCATTTTTATCTTACATTTAAATCCTCATTTCAAGGATCCTCTCTTTTCCCAAAACTCTAGCTGCCCTGTGCCCTATAGAGTCTCATGCATAACTCATGCTTGTTTGGAAATCTGCTACAAGACCAGGGCAAAGCTACATATTACTCAACTTTGTGTCTTCAGTGCCTAATATACTGTGTCTGGCATACTGTAGAATCTTAACAAATGTTTGCTAGTTAGAACTTTTCAATAATTTTTAAGGCTTCTTCTTGCTGCAGGAAATCAAGAAAAAAAATTATGCAAACTTCCCTAAGCAGTTTCAGTGCAAAACATTATTTCCTCCATCATCTTCTGAATCACAAGAATGCAAACAAAATTAATCCTTGAATCATGTATAATTAAAACAATGGCTATTAGAGCTGGAATATTTGTTTTAAAGAAGCAATGTGAGTGTGTGTTAAAATTGTTAAGGGTTATATATGTACATTGTAGTACATTGGGATTCTTTGAATAGTTGATGTACACAACTTATTTATATTATTTTTATAGATTTTAGAACATAGCCTTATTTTAAATGACTGCAGAGATTTTAGTATTTGTTTCTATGAAACAGTGTTAGTTTTTAAACTCTGAATTATTTTATTACTGTATTCATGATCAGAGAAGACAGGCCTAATTACAACACTATTGCTATAGGGAAAAACAACCCACTTCATACTGATATGCATTGTGATTCAACTTCTACAAACATGGAGATTTCCTATAGTAAATGGATAATTAGAGAGACAAGCCATTCCTGGAAATAACAAATTGAAATGATTTTCAATTAAATGATTAGAAGAATTAAGTGTTTTTGTTAACTAGACAAGGCTTTTTTGTATTTATCTTTCATGTGTATAAAAGATTTCCATAAAATCTGGCAGCATTTAGACAAATGTAATCTTATCAGAGACACCTTCAGTCTATATAAAATAAAACATATTATTTTTGTATCTAGATTTATGGATCCCTATATACATATATATATTTTCTGTGTAATAAGCAACAGAAAAAATAGGATATAGAGAACCATTTTTTTGAGGTTCCAAATTTCTTTGAGGTACCATTCTAGAAGATTTATTGGGTAAATCAGACTTTCCATCTTCTGCAATCTAGGAGGCACCGCGTTTGCAGAGTATAATTCAAGTCATACTGATTGAGTGGTCCAATTTCATTATAACCAGACAAACTTAACCAATCTGGGGCAAACTGAACACATTCATCAATCCATAAACATTATGCTTATGACATGAGTTCATTCATTAACTCAGTCATTAACTGATATAATGGTGGTGCTGAATGCCAAATCACTGTTTATTCTTGCATTGTTCTAGAACTATATTTTAGTTTTAATTTATTTTGCTTTATTTTTCTCTTGTTATGTGATACCACGTTTCTACCAGAAATATTTATAGTTCTGCATTGGAAAAATAATAACCTATTTAATATATGGCAGATTAGACTTGTCAAGAAGAAAGAACAAGAGGCCAACTGGTTGGCTCATGGGCTATTTTAGGTAGGGTCCCTTGGGGATGTAGTACCTGTGTGAGATTAACACAGGCCAGGTGTTTAGTTGTGTGGTTTGCCAAAGTCAATTCTATCAGTTCACTCCAAGTGTGATCACACTCTGGGAAAATTATTTGGACTGGAAAAACCTATAAGAGAAGGACACGAAAACCAGAGAATCAATTTATTTATATAAGTTGACATTTTGGCAGGATAAGTGTCATTGATCAAGTAATACACCAGGGAAACTGAGTTAGAGATTAAAAGGTTGCTCAGTAAGCTCAGCCTAAGTGTAATGGTAGTTAAGAATTCTTAAAAAGTATTCTTTCAGGCTAAACTAGTTGTTCAAATAATATTTTCAAGCAGCTTTATTGAGATATAACTCACATACTATACAATTCACCCTTCTAATATGTACAATTCATTGTTTTAGTTCATCCACAGGGTTGTGAAACCATTACCGTAGTCTAATTTTAGAACATTTCATCACCCCAAAAAAATCTCATACCCATTAGAAGTCAGCTCCCATTCCCTCTTTTCCCCAGCCTTACTGCCCTAGGCAAACACTAATTTACTTTCTGTCCAATCGATCTGCCTATTCTGGATATTTTATATTAATGGAATTCTGCAGTATGTGGTCTTTTGCGACTGGCTTTTTTTTTAACTTAGTGTAGTGATTTCAAGGTTCATCCATGCTGTAGCATGTATCAATACTTTGTTTCTTTTATTTCTGAACAAAATTCCATTTTATAAATATGCGACATTTTACTTATCCATCCATCCATCAGTTGGTAAATATTTGAGTTGGTTATACTGTGTGGATATCACTTATAATGTTGCCATGAACATTTATATAGAAGTTTTTGTATGGACATATGTTTTCATTTCTCAAGGGTATATACTCAGGATTGAATTCCTTGGTCATATGGTAACTAAAGTAGCTTCACCATTCTTCATGCCCATGAGTAATTTGTGAGTGTTCAGTTTCCCCATATCCTCACTAGCACTTGCTATTTTCTGGTTTTTGATAATAGACATCTTAATGGGTATAAGGTGGTACTTTAATAAACTTTATTATGGTTTTGATTTGCATTTCTCTGATGGCTAATGATGTTGAGCATCACTTTATGTGCTTATTGGCCATTTTTATGTCTTCTTTACAGAAATGTCTGTGGTCCATTTTCAAACTGGAGCATATATTAATATCATTATTATATTAATATAATATCATTATTTCACTTTTTTGCCAAATATTATATATATACATATATATATACCGCATTTTATGTATATGTGTATTTATGTATATATATACATACCGCATTTTATGTTTCCATTCATCAGTTGATGTCCTGAATAGAATAAAAAGTCAGTGGAAAGACAAATGTGCTCTTGTCTTGAGCTGGGGCATCCATCTTCTCCTCGCTTTGGACATCAGTACTCCTGGTTCTTGGACCTTTGGGTTTGGACTGGAACTATACCACCAGCTTTCCTGGGCCTCCAACTTACAGATGGCAGCCTCCATATTCACGTGAGCCATCAACATCATACCTCTCTTTCATTATATCTATATACCTCCTAGTGGTTCTGTTTCTCCGCAGAACCCTGAATAACACAAGTGACTATGAAGAAAGGGAATTTCAGGAGGAGTTAGGGTGGGGCACAAATAACGAATTCATGTTGTTGTGGAACAATATATTAGTGTGTTATAAAAACTATAATTGCAGGAATGGAACATGTAAAATTAGGAGCCGCAAAAGATGAGGCAGTAGGACAAGGAGTGATTCGAGTATCTATTATCCAATCAGTCGAACAAGCCTATGTTAAGAGTATTCCAGATGGAGACAATCTAAACACTCAACAATAGGGCATTGATTAAACATACAATGGAATACTAAGTACGACCAAAAATTGATGCTGGAGAAGCCTTATTTAGTAACAAAGAGAAAGGGGTGGAGAGAGAAGAAGGGGAGGAAGGAAAGAAGAAAGGGAATAAGTGGGGAAGGGAGGCAGAGAGGAAGGAAGGAGTGAGGGAGGGAGCACAGGAGGGAGAAAAGAGGGAAGAAACAGGAGCCTGACTTATATGCTTGCCATGATCTTCCAGAAATCCAGACACACTCAGGTAATATCAAAATGGACCTTAATGTTAGCCTTCAGTGTTTCTCCACTGATTCTCTGGGGGAAGACACTGCTATGGGATGATCCTACAACCTGCCTTCCTTCTCTCTTACCAACACAAGCTCAGTTTTAATTGAGGCAGCAAGATGTCTAGCCTAGGAAAAGCAAGATGAGACCATGGCTGCATGCTAGATGCTTATTTCCACAGCCTCCTTGAGTGATCTAGTGACCACATTCTGGCCAATGGCTCAAGGGAAAGCAATGAGTTCTAGAAAATATATTTTTCCTGCATGAAAAAAAATATAAATATATATGTATAAAAGCTGTTGTCTTCACTGAGGTTCTGTTTTTCCGGCCTTGTGTGCAGTTTGTAAAGATATGATTTTTAGAAAGATGGCAGCCTTCTTGTAGTCATTCAGCAACAAATCTATTTTGAGTCCAGTACTGGGCAGAAGGCAGGGATATAAAGGAATTAAAAGTGATGGTCCCTGTGCCCAGAAAGCCTGTAATACCAAGTGTCAAGATGTGCACACACAAATTAACTTGAAAAAATTACAAAGCAACTTACAGTATTACTCAGTGCCAAATAACAGAACCAATGGCAGCCCTCCAGAATCCACTGTTGGTAACTCTGTCCTGCCAATTCTTCTTGCCAATCCAGTTAAACTGATGAAGTTTTTAGGAAAGATGTGACATTTAGAGAAGATTCTAGTCTCAAATTCTTATATTTTTAAAATTCATTGCTGCTCCTGTTTAAACACCACTAACACTTTCACTTGGAAAGGAAACACACTGTCCAAAAAGCACTGGGCTGGACACTGGATCTTAGTCTTGGTAAAGCCACTAAATAGCTGTAGGACATTGTAAAGGTTCACTTAAATGTCTGGGATTTGGGTTCCCTAATTTGCAAACTGAGAGTAACAATTCAGTAACAAATATTTACTGAGCATTTAATAAGTGTTGGACACTGTTTTAGGCAATAGAAATACAGCAGTGAACAAAAGAGCCAAAGATCTCTATCCCACTGAAGGTAGATGTACAATAAGCAAATGTATACCAATCAAGCTGTAGTACTAAGTTCAACAGAAAACCATAAAGCAGGGTAAGGGGGATGGAAAGTATGCCAGGTAAGTGTTGAGGGGAGCTACTAATTTATATAGAATGGTCAAGAAAGTCTCTTTGATAAGAGGCTTGCATTTCCTTTCCCATATTGGGTGTGTGTGTGTGTGTGTGTGTGTGTGTGTATGCACTCCCACGTGCACTGGCCTGCTTGTCTAGGGGGAGAGAAGAGGAGGTCAAATGACTGAAAATAGTAAAAAGCACTTAGTAAATTACTTGGCACTGTGTGAACATAATGTATTATTACCATTGTTATTACTGTGGATTAAGCCTAAACTCCTTAGCTTGACATTTAAGATCCTTACAACACAACCTTCCAACCTACATTTCTAGTTTTGTCTCCATTCTCCTGGATAAACCTAACTTGCAAATGAAATGTTCACTTCATCTAATTCACTTGGCAATTAATAATATACCAGCTCAAGTTGCTTCTATTGTTTCTTCTGTTTAAATCCTTTGTGATTTCATTTTTTATAAATTCTGTGTTCCCAATGAAATGACAAACTTCCGTATATCAGTCTTTCTACAAATGCTTTGAGTACAAAAGGCATTCAATAGCATTTATTGATTTCGTTTGATGGACTGATTTAATGTGTATCATCACTCTGAAAACCATCACCCTGTTTAGAATTTGGTGTTGTACTCAATTCTGCATGAGTTTTGAATCACCTTATTCATCACGGAACTGTGTACTGTTTGAGTAGCAGAATTTTTAAAACCTTTGTATTGCTAAAGAGGTCCTTTAATTGTATTTAGGATGTCCCTCAAGGATCATCTCAGTGTCAGTCAGACCAAAAGCAGCTGTACATCTTATATGTCTTTTTCATGAGCATAATCCAATGTGTCCTTTTCATGATTTTTTCATGACTTTGAGGTATTTCTTGTCAATACTGATTTGTTATTGTTGTCTCTTGAATAACTTCCCTGTGAATTTTTAAGCTATAAAAACTTCCCAGCAGTCTGAGAAATGAAACAGAGGAGAAGGATGAATAAGGTCTAGTAGAAACTACAGAATAAGTACTAAATGTGGTTTTGATAGGCAGAATAATGACCCTCTCCAATGATATCTACACCCTGGGACCTATGAATATATTACCTTACATGGCAAAGGGACTTCACAGATGTGATTAAGAACATTGAAATGGGGAGATTACTCTGGGTTATCCAGGTGGACCCCATGTCATTACAGGGGTCCTTCCAGGAGGGATGCAGGAGGATCAGAGTTGGAGGAGATGAGGCAAGAGAAGTAGAGGTTAGAGTTCTCCAACCAAGGAATGCAGGCAGCCTCTAGAAGCCAGAAAAGACAAGGAGGGAACAGGTGATTCCCCTCAGTCTCCAGAAAGAGTGCACAGCCCCTGCGGGCCTTTGATTTCAACTCTAAAAGATCCATTTTCAGATGTCTGACTTCCAGAACTGTTAGCTAATAAATTTGTATTTTATTCAGTTGGTGATACTTTGTTGGCAGCAACAGGAAATGAATACAGTAAGATAGTACAAACAGACCTAGACAGAACTAGAGATAGGTCACAACCTAGTCCCTACCACACATATAATATATTAAATGTATAATCTCAGGAAAGTCACCCTATCTCAGTTTCCTTTCCTGTAGAGTGAAATTATATCTGCCTTACTGTGTTGTATAAAGACAAATAAAATTATTCACATGAACACTTTGCAAAGTGTTTCATCCTATACAAATGTTAGGCCTAAAACTTTGGCTTAGTTTGCTTAATGAGAGGGAGAACTGGAATAAAGACATCTGTGCTTAGCATATTTATGATATGAATACTATGATGACATAAATATTATGCCACAACCACTCCTGTCATAAAGATGTCCTTTTAGAAGCGGCCTAGTGTAGGGAAGATGACCCAGCTCCCTTCGTCTTCAACCAAAATGAACATGGCTAGCCGGAGAACCCAGACAGAGCCAGAGAATCCTTCTTAACCCACCTTCAGGAAGCAGCTATCAATTAACTACACCTGGCATAAAAGAAGAAACTTATTTAAAATCCCTGATCTAGGGGCTTAGAAAGTTTGATCTTTTTTTTTTTTTTTTAATACTTTAAGTTCTAGAGTACATGTGCACAACGTGCAGGTTTGTTACATATGTATACATGTGCCATGTTGGTGTGCTGCACTCATTAACTTCTCATTTACATTAGGTATATCTGCTAATACTATCTCTCCCCCCTCCCCCAACCCCACAACAGGCCCCGGTGTGTGATGTTCCCCTTCCTATGTCCATGTGTTCTCATTGTTCAATTCCCATCTATGAGTGAGAACATGCGGTGTTTGTTTTTTTGTTCTTGTGATAGTTTGCTAAGAATGATGGTTTCCAGCTTCATCCATGTCCCTACAAAGGACATGAACTCATCCTTTTTTGTGGCTGCATAGTATTCCATGGTATACATGTGCCACATTTTCCTAATCCAGTCTATCATTGACGGACATTTGGGTTGGTTGCAAGTCTTTGCTATTGTGAATAGTGCCGCAAAGTTTGATCTTTTGGCCAGTAGCATGGGCATTACCTGGGAGCTTGTTAGAAATGCCTATCCTGGGCCAGGCATGGCTCACGCCTGTAATTCCAGCACTTTGGGAGGCCGAGGCGGGCGGATCACCTGAGGTCAGGTGTTCCAGACCAGCCTGGCCAACGTGGAGAAACCCTGTCTCTACTAAAAATACAAAAATTAGCCGGGCGTGGTGGTGGGCGCCTGTAATCCCAGCTACTTGGGAGGCTGAGGCAGGAGAATCGCTTGACCCCGGGAAGCGGAGCTTGCAGTGAGCCGAGAGCGCGCCACTGCACTCCAGCCTAGGAGACGAAGCAAAAAACAAAAAACAACAACAACAAAAAACTAAAAAAGCGTTTCCTCAGTCCCTACCCCAGACCTATTGGATCACAATCAGCATTTTAACAAGACCCCCTAGGTGAGTCCTGTGTACTAGATGAGAGGATATATTTTGGATTGGTTTGAATCCCAGCTGAGCAGGTTACTACTGTGTGACCTCAAGCAAAGTGTTTAGATCATATAAGCCTGTTTCCTCGTCCACATGGTAAGGCACCTCAATGGGTTGTAGTAAGAATTAAAGAGGCTGAGGCTGTATGTAAGGCATTTTTCACAGAGCCTTCCAACAAATACCCAGTTAATAATGAAGCTCTTTTCATCGTATCATTTTGCACCATCTACAGCTGCTAACCATACTACACATCCATTCAGGATTCTGGAGCTGCTCAACAGGGAAGATTTCCAAAGCCCTCAAAGCCCTCCAAGCCCATGGGGTAGCGGGAAGGGGATGGGGACAGGAACACTGTCAGCAGTGCCTCTCCGAATACGCAGGATACTGTACATTTTGCAAAACATATTACTTATCGGATGATCTTGCTTTCAGATCTCCACTGCACGTGGCTTTATTGGAAACCTTCTGCTAGAGTCTAGACTCAGCCATGGAGTCTGGTGACCTGTGGGAGGGAGCAAGGGCCAGAATGCCTGCTAAATCGCTCTGGGTCCCCAGCCCTCTTCCTTAATCCCTTCTTAACTTTCCATCTGTCTCTGGTCTCCAGGGGTGCAGAACCACAACCCACCAGACCCCTCCTAGCTCCCGGCCCGGCGCTCAGCAGCCTGGGCTGCAACACTTTCCCCCAGGACCGGGAAGGCGGGGGAGGGGGTTTGGAGGGGGCGGAGCTCGGCCTCCTGCTGCCGCCGCTGCTGCTGCCGCCGCCGCCGCCTGCAAAGCTGTCGCCCCTCTCTCGGATGCTCAGGCTGGGCAGCGCTGGACAGATGGGTACACCCCGGGCCTGACGGATGAACAGTCGGGCAAGTGAACTCTCACCTCCAAACTGGCTCTGCGCCCGGCGGGGGCGGCGGCGGCGTCTGCAGCCCCGCGGTGGGGGCAGCCCCCTCGGTCTACGCCCGACTGCTGCGCGCCGCCTCTGCTCTTGGCATAGTAATTTCAGTTCCTGAACGCACGGAGCTCGCTCCGGGACCGGGCTGAGAAGGACCTCAGCTCGCGGGCCCGCCGGAGCCATCGGTGTGGCGCCGAGAGACGGTGCTTGGGATATGCGACGGGAAGCCCCCGCCACAGCGCAGGCAGTGGCCCCGCCGCGCCGCGGAGCCGGGCAGAGCAGGTAGGAGACGCCCCCTGCGCACCTCCGCCTGGCGGCCAGCGCGGGGGACCGGAGCCTGGTGGTGTGCTCTGTAGGGATGCGGAAGGGATTCGGTCCCACATTTTGCACAGGGATCCTTTGCCTGTTGCTCTTGTCTCTGTCCCATCCTGCGCTCTAGGAGGGGCAGTCTTTCTCGCAGGTGATGAATTTCTCTGCAAGGTCATTGCTCTCTTTGGCTCTGGCTTTGAAGGTAAATGGGAGAAGACGCCTGCTGATCGTGGGCAGGGAAATTTATAATCAATCGGGTCTGCACACTGCGAATATCCGAATATGAGGGGTGTGTGTGTGTGTGTGTGTGTGTGTGTGACATTTGTCTCATTTTCCTATGCTTATCCCCTTTAAGGTCAAAACATAGAAATATATATTACATATGGATGTATGTATGTGTGTGTATATACACACACATACATAAATGCATATGTAAATAGGTTTTCTTGAGGTAGGCAGAAAGAAGAGGAAGGGCGGGCAGGGGTTGATAAAGGGAAATCGTTGTAGAGACATGTTCACTAATAGAGGCGAACTTTGGAACCACATTAAATCAGGGTAGAGACTAGAGGTGATAAACGGTTCTTTCAAGATGGGCTTTAGAAGAGGTCTGAAGGAGCCTGTCAGCCAACACACACAGAAGATCTTCATGCTCTCCAGGCAGATGGAAACGATGTAGGCATCATTTCAGACGCAATAATGGACAGTGAAAGAGGGAAAAAAGGAGAGGTACTTAATATGCCACTGGGAAGTGAATTTTGGGTGATGGGAAGGCATCGAATCCAGACCAGGTTTCAAGGGCTTTCTGGAGGGCCATTGGGAGAAATCACCGCTTGGGGTGTAGGCAGTTCAAGGTTAAGACGATGTGAATGTCCACAAAGCAGCCGAGGAGGTGGGCAAAAGGCAAGGGCTTGGAGGGGGAGGGGAGAAACAGAGCTCTGAGCAGTCACTCAAGAAGCACCCACCTTTGAGTAAGGTGTCTTCTTCCTCTTGGTTAAAGCGGTACTTGGGTATGCTCCATCTAAATATTTTCACAACACATTTGTTTAAAGATCCATTGGACTATGTTTTTATTTTGTTTTTGCAAGGTATCTGGGTCATGGTGGGACTAGAAGAAACTGAAGTGTTTACAACACCAGCAAGATTTGGGAGAGAGGGTTGATTAAGGCTTTGCTTCATGAAATATTTACACATCTCCTGCGTGGGCTTTTGTTTGCTCTTGTTGGTGCTGCTGCATATTTTACTTTGATAATGCTTTGAGTGTACTTCGCCCGAATGTGCTTATTTTCCAGTTATAACCTATTCTTTCTTTTCCCATTGTGCTCACCATTGGCCTGCCCTGAGTAACAATTGTGGGAATAAAGGTACATGAGTCACAGCCCAAAGCAGAAAATCTCTGCTGCTATCTGCAAAAGACAGGAGTTTGCGTTAGAGAATGTTCTTTTTCGAGTTTTTGTGTGTGTTTAGTTTTTCAAGTTTTGTGTGTCTTTAATCGAGGGAATAGGTTATTGATTCAAAAGAGAAAAAAAAAACAGCAATTGCAATTGCAGGCCTAGATGTTATATGATTGAAATTTATTTTGGAAACAGCAGAGGAACTCATGGAGAGCCATGTACAGTGTGTTGTGGTGTGGTGAGCCTTCACCTAATCACTAACTAGACTTCTACGAAAATGATTAGGACAAAATCACAAGTGCATCAGCTTCACATGGGAAGTAGAGGACTGAGGCGTTGTATGAGTCAGATCAGTGTCAATTGGAGGGCAGGCTGGATTCCAGCAAGCTGTTTTGAAATTTGAGTGTTTTAATTGCCTCAAAAAAATTGCCCAATATGCTTAATTATTTGTTCCTGCAACATTTTCTTAATTATGCCTCAACATACTTAAAAGACTATATTTAGATCCAGCTATCCTTCACTGTTTGAATTTCCAGTTGCAAAATCTGCAGCTTGCAGGAAACACGGAAATATTGGTCTTGGAATCACAAAATTATAAAATGTTGGGCTCAGAGAAGGAGGACACATGATTCTAGCCACAGCTCTTATTTGAGCTCTTTCATTGGCAGCTGCTCCTGCCCTTTATGCACTCATTCATTCACTTTTTCATGAATATATGTTGATATATTCAACATATATTTAATCCTGGACTGGACATGGTCCTAGATTGTGGAATAGAAGAATAAACAAGACATAGTCTCAGCCTGCAAAACTTGGGAGGGACACTGCCAGCAACCGCTGGTGGAGTGCCCTGACAGGGTGCTGTGGAGGCCAGGGTAGAGGTGGAGAGAATAAGGAGAGTTTCCCATGGACCTGAAAGATGAGAGGACCTAGCCCAGTGAAGAAGAGAGGGAAGGACATTCCTGGCACGGGGACCAAAATAAGCAGAGACCAAGGAAAATACATAGCTCCAGGTGGTTGAAAAACAGTGTGAGTACATAAAGATGGTAAGACGAGAATGGAGAGGGCAGCAGGATCCACCTACAAACTGAAGTCCAAAAGGCCTGCCAACTCATCTGGTCAGTAAACCATTTTATCTGGGTGATTTAGGTGAATGCATTCATTTTGAGGATCTATGGTATTCAGATTACCCAAATTTATATTCTTCAAATATCTAGAAATTATATTTACCTTAATTTACAATAGGCTGCTTAAAGGGGGAAAAGTCTTAATTATTTTTGGCTCAAATATTTCATCTACAAATGTCTACCACCTACTTTGCATATTAGAAAAATAAGAGAGAGAATGAGGGAATAGAGGTTTGAATTATGTAGAAATGAGTTATAAAAATTCAAGGATTCTTATTTTTATGAGAATAGGGCTCAGGGGAAAAGAATGACAAAGAGTGTATATTCTAAGTATTTATTTGTCCTAGATGACTCCAAAAGGCAAACATATGATAGTGTAAAAAACAGACTGAACAAACAAGTAACTCAGGAACACAGGCTAAACAGACCCCAAAGGCCACATACATTTTTAAAAATTATTTTTTAAATGAGAGAAATAGTTACAGTAATCCCATAGTAATCATTAAGTGCCCTTCAAGAATGGTGCTTTTCAAACTAGCACACTGTGAAGTCAGTTTAGTGAGTCTGATCAGCATTTTTATTTTTGAAAAATAAAATACTAAAACAGAAGAGTAAGTATTGTTCATGAAATTCCTTAAATATATATATACGTATGTGTGTGTGTGTGCAAGCCTGCATAATGGACTGTGATATAAAATGTATACCTCATTATACATCATTTTCCAAAAAGTCTGAAAGCTACTGCTTTAAGTGATACAAAGAAGAGATGTTCCCAGTTTGCAAGATGCCAAGAGCCGACCAAGAGATCTGACAGATCTGATAGACAAGCATTTTCCGCAATATTCTGAATAGCATAATTGCCTGATTGAGGAAGGCAAGACTTACAATTTAGTGAGTACATGGCAGTAAAGTCAGAGAGCAAGATCCTTGGGGACTGAATTAATCTGGAAAGGCTTCAAGGAGGAGGGGGATCTTGAGTTAGTTTATAAAAGATGGATGGACCTGGATGTGCAGTGAGGAAGGGGTGCTGATTTCATGTCTATAGAAGGAGGAAGCAAAGAATGAGGAAGTAATGGCAGTTATATTTAAGAATCATTTAGAAAAGAAGAAATAAATATCAAGTTGGAAGAGAACTGCAGTAGAATTTCTGCTTGGACTGAAATATTACATGAGTTACTTTTTAAAAAAATAAATTTCATTGTGTATATTTAAAGTATACAACGTGATGTTATAAGATACATACATACATATTTTATATATTTTTTATATATACACATATATACATATTTTATATTTTTTATATATAAATATATATAATGGTATACATGTATATACATAAAATGTAAAATGGTGACGGTGTCTGTAGTGGAACCAAATAACGTATACATCTTTTATATCTACTACTTTGTATCCTTTGACCTGGATGCCCCCTTTTCCTCCCCTGATCATCTTCACCCTGGTAATCACTGTTTTATTCTCTAGCTCTGTATATTTGACCTTTTTTGAGTTGTTAATTATTTTATGACTAAGATCTATTTTCCTAATACTGCTACTTTAAGAAAATCTAGCCAGAGTGGCCATAACATCATAAATCTGCCATTTCCTGCCATCTTTTTATTTATTTTGCAGTAATTTACTGGTTAGGCCTTGTTCAGTTGAATGTTACTGTTGAACTATTGACATTACGAGATACACCACATTGTGGCGTGATTATTTCATTTCTCAGAATGCAACTACAGTCGTTGGCACAGAAGGCCGAGGTGGTCATGTGAGGAACTGACAGGCTGTGAAGATGAACCAGATCGCTTGGTAGCCATGAACTCCTAAAGGAACGGCAGCATCTGCCATATTTTCTTTTCGTCAGTTGCTCTATGACTTGTCCATCTTCTTAGTTAGATATTTAAATATGTTTGTATGCATTTCTAGAAAATTTATTCTTGTGTTTTGCTGTACCCTAACAGTTATTCTGAAGAGACAAAGTTAGAGAAGAAAACCTTTACTTGTGTTCCTGAACATTTTCTTGGTGGGCTTCATTCAGCTCTTGGTGTCTTTTCTCTGGAATAGAACAATTTTGTGATATTTTCACCCTTTTAAATGAAGCTATACCTTAAAACAGAAGACCAGGGCCAGTTAAGTCAGAGATTCATCTGCTTGAATTAGTTGATTTGGAATGCAACCAAATATGGAACTTTGCTTTTTTTAAAAAAATAAAAATGACTTGGACCTCTTTCTTATCCATATCAGAGTGTTCAAATTAGTGATAATCTAACTTTTTGCACGTAAGAGTCAAGTCTGGAATAACAAAAACATTTAGAGTCTGCATTTGGATTGAAATTCTGAAATTACTGAATTTCAGGGAGAAAATGTATACACTCTTACAATTTAAATTACGTACTCTCTTGAATGCCAGTGAGAAAAGTTTTCACAGCTTTTTAACTGGGCATATTGGAGTTGGCAACATAGTAACAGCTTTCTAATTGTTCATGTCGGTAATTAAATTATTGGCTTTATTTTGAAGCTGGCAGCATAATCTGGGGCCCCAATTATTATTACCAGGCAGTTATAAATGACCCTAATCTGAATCTGAATCTGAATCTGGAGGTGGGGCTTAGAAATCTGTATTTTTATAAAGGTCCCAAAAGGATTCCAGTACCCAGATTTGGAAACCATTGCCTTTATTTACAAAGAAATAAATGATTACAGATGAGTCCCAAGGAAGTTAATAACTGTTTCTAGTCACTAATAGAGCTGAAGCTAAAAATCCAGAACTCCTCTTTCTAATTCCCCAGTAATTCTTGGCTAAGGGAAAAAGGACCAGGACCTGAAGACAATGTCCAAGAGTTTTCTCCATGGTGAGGGAGGAGAATCAGTTACTGTGCACCCCTTCCTCCAAAATTGAGAGTCAATTCAGTAAGTCTGTCTAAATGACAATGCCATGATCTCATCTCTGTCCCAAGGGTCTAGCGTAGCAGAAATATCGTGGGGATCAGCTGGGTGATCTAAGACAAGACAATTTCTTGGCCTTACACACCAGATTCCATTTAAAATTTTTAATTCTTGGATCCTAAATAGCGTGGATACCAAGCCACCTCTAGAAGATTGGTTTAGTCAGGATTCACAGCTTTGTGACACTTACAGAAGCAAGAGAACCCTTAAAAAAATTCTGGAGGCTGGAAGAGTAAAAACTCACAATGTCAGGCATCTCTGGGGACCTCAGCATTGTTGCTAATTCAGTAATGGACAGCTGGAGGACGGAGATATATCTCCAAAGCCCCTTTGACAATCACATTTGCATCTGTTAATTTTCTGGAGGAAAAAAGAGTTACAGAGAATTTTTTTAAAACTTGAATTGCAAATAGTCCATCCAAGTGGGAGATCTGGTTTATGAAGAATAATCAGATGCTTTATGTTAATAGATTCTTGATTGTTTTTCAGAAATCAGTTGTTATTGATTTCTAAATAGCATAAAATTAAAATAAGCATATTGTGTCTATGGGAGACTCTTCTCTTTCTTTATAATGTATAACTTTGGTTTAATGAAATGCCTGAGGGAGTGAAGTGTTTGTGTGAACTATATTTTCTGAGTAATCAGAGCATTTTTTGTTTCAATTCTTGTTGACAGTTTTTCTAAAATGTAATTAGCCTGCAAATATTATCAAGATTTGAACTTTTGCATTGCCTCTGTGTCTTTATTCTGAATTATGACTGTACAGGACAGATATGCTGAATATAACATAGAAGTTTTTCTTGTAGTTCTTCCTTTTGACTCTGTGATATGAATGTGCTTTCTCAGTATACATTTTTTTAAAATTGTTGTTCAAAAATGCAAAAGACATTTGACTCACTGTGAGTTCCACTTTCTTGGAGTTTGATCTTTGCCTTTGCCATTACATCGCTTTGAAATGCTCATTCCTTCACTCTAAATTAGTTTCTCAATCCACTCAAAGCATGGTTTCAAGCTCCATGATTGCAGCAAAACTTTTGTAATTCTTAAGACCTGTTTCTAATTTATTTTATACATAGCATGATTCTTAAATTTATACTTAGTCATATTGTTAATTAAGCATGCCTTTCTTTGAATTTTTCTATAAGGTATTTCTCCTTGAAAAATGCAGGTAAAAATGAAGCAGCTAAAATTGTAATTGTTAATTAAAATTAAGAATTTTAAATTCCAGTAAAAATTTTAGTCAGAGCTAAAGTTAGTAAATGCATGTTCATTTTCACCTGCATCCTTGGTTGGGTAAAAATTGCTTATGACAAAGTGGGTATGGGTGATTGTTCTTGTTTTCATGTCGAACATGTTCTGAAAACAGTCAGAGAGCAGAAGTCTATCATTGTCAGGGTAAGGGGCTGAGCTCTGATTAAGTGAGTGAAAATGCACTTACAGTCTCCTTTCATATGAGGGATTGTCTACCCAAGTGGATTCTCAGAGCAGAAGAAAGCTTTGCTGTGAGCATCTGAGAGACCTGGTACTCTTCACTTTACCTGTCTGGGCCTCAGATTTGGAGATATATGTACCAAATCAGAATTGAAAACTGGCAGTCTGTGGGCCTAGCAGGAAAACTGTGGCCTCCAGGTATTTATTTTTTAATTAAGCCAGTGTTTAAACATCAGATCTATTATAAAAAATGAAGCCCTCACCCACATTCTCTAGGCTGGAGCTGAACAGCAATATATATGCTACTTCATTACTTCGCTGTAGTCCCCACTTCTCAATGTCTCACTGACATTGAGCATTTATATAAGTCACTTGTGCCCAACAGCTTCACTTAGTTGTGTTACTACCCCAAACCTGTAGGTATTGAGTCTGTAAAGTCTGGACTACTTAGGTGTTCCCTAAGTACCATTGAGCTCCAAAATGCTATGACTGTACTCATGAAATTGATGTGTCTACAAAGCAGAAAGGTGATGGCGCCAAATATAGTTAACCCCCATTAACCATGGTGAGGGTCTAAAAATTTTGCAGTATCAAAATTTGTAGAGTCTGTGAAAGTTTAATGAATAAAAATTGAGTTAACGTAGTCTGTTAAAGAATAACGGAGTTTTTCATCTGTGTACTTGCTTGCTTTTTACTGTACGACAAGTGGCAAATGAAAAATATTAGCAGTTTTAACAATAATGTAATTTATTTTTTCTTTACCTTAAAGACCAATGACTGAGATCTCACATTGGATTGCTTTATGTATTTTTAAATGCACCATATCTTTATCTTATGTATAACTTTTTACACATAGACCAAACTTGCATAGCTTCCTGAAAGTCCAGAGTGTATCTCAATCTTTCAAGTGATGCTGCATTTTATTTAGCAGGCCTGGCAGTTGAGATAAACTTTCAGGAGTAGTATCAACTCGTATCCCAGCTTGTGTTTCTGTATAGCCTGGAAATGCTCAGTTAATGATTACAGTAGGCTGTGTTTGCAACCCCTCTCTGAGGCTAGGCAGATCACTGCACAGTCTGGCCACTTGATTGTGTAGAACTGCTCCGTTACTATGGCTAAAAAATGAGGTGACTGCATCAGGGTTGATTTATTCATGTTGCAAATAAAGACAAATGCCCTTTTGGGGCAACAAGATGGAAAACTCAGACAGATCTCTTCGGTAGGGAAAGCTGTCTTCATAGCGCTCTGAAATCTCTCATGCCTTGTCAACTTCTCCTGCCACTTTCCTTCCTCATGCACACTTGCTGCATACCACCCCCACTTCGTGCCTCCTACTTTATTTCTAAAAACATCCCCTCATCTAATTATTAATCCTAAAGTGTCGGTGTTTCAACAGCTTCACTCCGAGAAGACAGTGCCGAGAATAGTACCAATCGAAACTAACAGAGGACACAGTGCCACATTGACTCTATGCTTTCTTTGAAGAGAGTGGCATTTCCTTATAGAATGGTGGCTGTGTTTAAGTATCAAGCGTCCTGTCACCTGAAATGGGTTGATAATATATAAAAGACCATAGGTGTTAAAAGTCTTTAGAGATAAAGTTATTTTTCTGAAAGTGCCATTTAAAACACAAATTTAGTTCACTGAAATGTTTATGCTCTTTTACGAAGAAACTGTTCTGCTATTCCCCTGGTGGCTATTTTGATGTTTAGAACTATAATGATAGGTTTTTAAAAAATCCTCCCTCTGGGGTTTGTGGCTTTTGAGTGATGAAATCTGAGCCTCCGAGAGGGAGGGGAAAAGTTAATAACCTGAGCTGGACTGGATTGAGAGCATGTCAGCTCCTTCTACTTTGCAAATTGAATCAAAGCTTTCCTCCAACTGGAAATAGGAATTTATTTAGGAGGTGAGAGATAGAATGTGAAATGGAGTTGGCAGAAGGCCCTGGTTTAAGAAAGGTGAATTCTTTGGATCATTTAATAAATCTGTATCGAGCACTTGAGATATATATATATACATATATATATATGTATGTATGTAAAACCCTGTTTTGTGTGCTAGGGACTCAAAATTGAATAATACATAGTCTGAACTCTCAAATAATTCCCAGACAACGGGAATAAGCTTAGTAATAAATATAGTTCAACAAAATTAGAATGGGCTCTTTTCCTGGTCATGATCTCAGAGAATTCCCCTGGTAGCCTAACAACCTGGGTCCCTCCTCTGTCCTAACCAAGCAGCCCTGTACCTCTTTCTTCCTTCCTGTATGCTGAGCAATTCAGCTTCATTTCCGTTCCTCTTCACAGCTTCACCACCTGCTTGCCACACCTGGGTTCCTTTCCTCCCTGCCAGGCTAACTTGAAAACTGTATGTCTTTCCCATACTCCACTTCCTTAATGTTGTAGAAAATAAAGTCACAGACACATGCATTTTTGACTTAGTTCTCCTAAAAACAACTAAGAAGCAGAGGGTAGCAGAAGTGACAAAAACGGAACAGATATAAGATGTAGAATTCTTACAAGAGTCTGCTGGTATGTGTACTACGAGAAATTTCTTTCTCATGAGGATACCAGAACCTCAGTGTAACTTCATTTCCATTTTTTTCCTATTTAAGAAAATATCCACACATGCCAGTGAAATGAGTGAGAGTGACATTATTATAGAAATAACTTGATTTTTGAGGTTAATATAATTCATTAGAGAAAACAGCTCTAAATTATACTTTAATAAATAATTTGCTGTCATTGGTACTTTATCATTGCTCATAAATTGTTTGTGATACACAAGTGTATTTTAAGACTGCTTAAGGGCCGCTGTTTTAGATAATTGCTTAGACTCTCAGGAAGCTCTTCCACCCTTGGGGAATGATCTTGAGTCAGATCATTATTGGGGAATGTACCCATTCCAATGGGACTGTAAATACCCAGCTATTTATGTAGCTGCTCTGTGAAATATCCCATGCCTTCTGGCTATCTTTTTATTCTGAGGAGGTGCTCACCACTCTCCATTGGTCTCCCTCTCCAGGGCTTCAACCTTGGAAGTTTAAGTGGTAATTCATGCCTCTGAAATGCCTAGTAAGTGATTCCATCTCTGTGTATTTGCCCTGACTGGGAGGAGAACCTCCTTTGCCTTGGAGCGCAGAGACTGGTGGTGTAGGGGAAATAAAAGAAAAGAGATGGAGCCTCAATTATAGAATTAATGATGATGAGTGGAAAAGAATGAAAGACCAACTAAACACATGCGGGAAGAGGGTTTAAAATTCATTAAAGAATGAACAAGAAACAAAACAAAACAAAACAAAACAAAAAAACACTTGAGGCACTTTGCCATCTTGATTCTAGAGCATAAGAGAACCCTAATACATGTCTCCATATATATCCATCTACTTTCCAAAGGAAATGAGTGAAGGCTAGATTACAGATATGTATAAATCCTTAAAAATTTTATTCTTCAGGCTTATCTGCCAGTGACGTCTTGCTAAAACCACTTCTCCTTTAAAGAAATCTCTGAGGTTTGTACTACTAAATAATAACACATTAATAATTCCCCATTCTAGAGATGAGGAAATAGATAGCATAACTTGCCCAAAGTCCCACAGATGGTAATGGAGCTGTGTGAATTCAGTTGTTCAATGTCAAAGGCCATGAGCTTCACCACTATGCTACACTGCAGGACTCTGTTGGTGATGCAAATCACAGTGGGTCAAAATGTAAGGACTCAGTACGATTTTATGGACTTCTGTCTTCTATCTTGGATTTCATCTTGTGTTGCTTAAAAAGCAAATGTGAAAGCTTCTAAATGAGCAATAAGACATTTAAAAAAACACAGGGTGAGTTCAAGGACAGATATTTTAGGTTAAAATTTTATAGATCATTGCATAGGTGATAACATTGGCAAACATAAATTTTATCAAAATACCAGGTAACACATATGTTCAGCAAATAACATTTCTTTGTTTCTCAAAAGAAAAACCAAATGTGTTTCTTATGTCACATGTGTGTGCACACCCACACACATACATATGCACACACACACACACAAACAAGAAAAAACAAACATGTGTCTTTATTTAACTGCCTATGGACTTTGGACCTAGAAACTATTTATAGAACTAGTGTTTCCGTGATTGATGTTTTAATCATAGACATTCATTTACTTATGAAAGTTAAGCAATTCCTTATTACAGCTTACAGCTAAGTGTTCTCATTGCAAATGGAATACTAAGAAAAAAAAAGGTAATCCATGCACAGGAGGCCTATTTCAGACAAATTCCTTCTTAAAACTGTAGTTCTAATGAATTAATGGTACTCGGTAGGAGGATGAATATACCTGTCTGTCCATTTGGAAGGTGAAAATCCAATAACTGAAAAAAGCCGTGATTTCTGCCTTATTTTTTTAGTTCCTTAATTAGCAATTGATTTTTTTTTCTAGTAAAAGAAAATGGACAGAAATCACCTAGAGGCATTAGTCTTATTACTGGACCCTTTTTATCACTCTGGAATGTCTTTACCACCTCATGTCATTTCAGAATTCAAACTCTTTGTTCCCGGAGGTAACACAGTAGAGAGCACTGCTTTTCAGACTGCAGATTTCCAGCAGTGACCTGTGAGAGGATCTTACGTAGTATACAGATTTGCTTTGGATTTTAATACTTATAAATTTATTTAAATGTAGAAATATGTTCAGAACACATTTCAAAGTATATTTTTAAAAATATATGCTACAAAAAATAATATAACAAGTACATCAAACCTGTAATTTCACAGATGTTATTTTTTAGGGCAAGGCTAATGTTTTCAACCAGTGCACCAGTTAAAGTCAATTTAATGAAAAATATTGAGTTAAAAAAAATGGTTTAGATAGGAAGCACATGAGGCTAAAATCATGAAATGGGTACACAAATGTCACAGTCCCTGAAAGTGGAACATGAAGGCATGTCATTGCCCACAGCACCTCAGGTCCTCTCTAGAAATGAGAGGGCTGGTCCAGAAATCCCTAAGAGCAATTCTAGCTCTGATGCCCCACCACTTGTTTTTTTTTAAATCTTGCTTGTTTTCTTCTTCATTCACAGGCTTATTTTCTGAATTTTAGGCCCATTCTGCCTTTGTTGGAACCCAAACGGGCCCTTGTTATCTCCCCCTCTTCATCATCACCAAGCATGTATGCCTTCATTCATTTACGCATGTAGTCATTTAGCCCTACGCCCTATGGAGAGCTTATGGACTAGGTAATGTGGGCATGCAAGAAAGCTACAGAGTTCTAGACCTCTGACTTCTGTGTAAAATGAATATATTTGTCTGTGTTTCACATTGAAGTTAAAGCCCTTGAATGAAAGGCCTGGACTTCTGCCATCATCTTGTCTTTGTAGATCTTGGACAAATAAGAGATATTCAATGGAAGACCCCTTCATTGATAAAATGCATTATCAAGGCTCACGTTACAAATTTAAAATGTGTGTTGCTGTAAATATAAGTGCATAATGTGTGAGAATGGAAAAAAGGGGGGTCTACATTTCCTAGCTAGAAATGTCTAATTCTTGGGTCGTTTTGAATACAAAGGGAAAAAATTAGTACTTTCGTGTTTTGGAGTAGTCGTTAATACATCTTTGGTCTGTTAGAAATCTTTATAAGTCTGAGTCATATGAGGAATTTTAACACTTGTCAGTTTTTTGAGCTTTTTGTAAACATCAGCTACATTGAGAGGTGCACCAAGTTTCAATAGTGCTTATTGCTTTTTCATATAATTAAACTCCAAACACATGGTTAAAGTATATGATTATTTTTCCTTGGGAATTTGTCCTTGAGAAACTTTGTTAAGATGTTTTAAAGCACTTGAGTGTGGTGAGTATAAATTGTCACAAACGTTTATGTGATGTCAATGGAGCTGTTTTATGCTTGCCAGTAATTCATAAGATTTTGCTATAGTGGTGAAAAGGATATAGCAGTGGTTTCCTGCTGGAGTTTCTATATAACAGTGAGAAAAGCATCAGAGGATGTAGTTGGTTGTGGTTGTTTGCTCATACCCTGCTGCTCTTTTCTTTTTTGTAAAAAACAGGAAGCTGAAATGTGTTCTTTACTTAGTTCAATTGATGTTTAATAAGGACTTATCTGTGTGCCAGTATGGGAGGATGTAAAAATGAGAAGATGCATCCCTGCCTTTAAAGACCATAAAATCTTCAGAAATTATGTAAAACATTAGGAATTTAAGTAAAAAGGTCGAAGTGCTTCATGGCAGTATTTATTTATTCTCAATGCACATACAGTATGATAAAAATTGATTAACTGAAATTGGTTTCAATTTTCTTTCTTAGAGGAGTTGGGTCTCATTTTGTCACCCAGGCTGGTCTTAAACTCCTGGGCTCAGCTGATTCTCCCACCTTTGCCTCCCAAAGTGCTGAGATTACAAATGTGAGCCACCATGCCCAGCCTGTTTTCAAAATTTTAATGTTTAGATTTCATCATGAGTGACATAACTTTCCAAGTGTCACATTAAAACAAATTTCGAAGAAGCAGCTAATTCACTCAAGTAGTCTTTAACTCATTATTATGCCGAAGTTCAAATTAATTGTTAGTTTTTCTGTATTCTCTGGTTATGGAGCAGACTCCCAATTCCTCGGCTTACCAGTTTTGAGAGGAATTGTGTAAAAGAGCATATTCCAAGTCCCTATCCCCAAAACAAGGGAGAATAAAATAACATACTTAGGCTCAGTACATTAGTACTATTTCTTTTGACAATATCATAAATTTTAAAAAAGAAAGGCATGCACTAAAGAATATTTGTAACCAAGTACATATTCTGAATAGAAAAGATTTAATGGAATCCCTATCACTTAGAAAAGCAGAACCACTATGGTAATATGGAATAATGGATTTATTTTCAGTTTTAGACCTTGAACAATTGTGGGAGCTTTGCAGTCGCTTTCACGTCACATCTGGTATGGAGCTAAAGTCATCATAGGTTAGCAGAGCTGGCAACTGGGAAGAAAACCTAGATTTGAAGTAGAGCTGAGCAAGGGAGAACCTGCAGGAGAAAATGAAACCCATAAAGATAAACTGGAACTTGTATTTGACTCATACTTCTCCAGCCTCAATGACCCTGACTTGAACAGCCCGAAAGGGACTGGCACTCTTCACTGCAAAGCCATTCGTGCACCTGGCCCAGAAACCAAAAGAGGAGATCTGTGGGGAGCCAAATGTCCGGCAGCCTGGCTGCTGCCTGCCATGGACAAGGTGATCTGGGAGGTCAGTGAGCTGCACTTGTTGACTACACTGACCTTCAGAGCAGAATGCTGCTGTTTCACTTTTACCTTCCAAAGGTCACACAAATTTCCTTTGTAGCCAACTGGAATGAAGAACGATTTAGGAAAGGGAATTCTGGGAATGAGTTTCCATCAGATCTAAGACAGTGGTACAAAACCACCATAGAGGATGCTAGCCCATAAAAGGAGAAATGTTTGCAGTCATTTCTGCAGGAAGTCCCTTGCTTTTAAGTTCTCCAAGAAACCTTCCAGCTGAAGGATAACTAATCCATGCTGCTCATGAACTATGTTTAAGAAGTTTTCTTATATAGACTTCTATAGACTTATGCAAATTTTCTTCTATACACAACTAGAACTTGTTGGTTTAATTCCATTCAAAAACTGAAGTTTCAGAAGAAGTAGATATTAATGTAAAGAAATTCCAAGATTCATGTCATTTACCACTGAACTCATCTCTCCAAGGTATGCATCATCCTACAATATAAAAGTTAATGAGATTAACTCCCATGTGGCTGGTTGATGTAGTGACAAACTTATTTTCTGCCACAATAGATTCTAATCTCTATTTTTAGATTTCTGTAGGTGCTACAGAAGGTTTATATAATATAATGTTACAGAAAAATGAAAGTTCAGTTAAGAAGTTGCCTCCCCCATGTTTCTTTTATTTATTGTTTTGTTTTGAGTCTCTTGCTTGTAAGCATGTGTAATTGGTGCTGTATGAAGTGGTGAGTTTACCAATGGTGGAAGCCAGATGCTATAACCATCAATAAATGGCTATAGCATTTAAATGGAGGTTGGCCTCTGTGTCTTCTGAGAACCTTTCCATTTTCAAGATTCTTTGAGTCTTTATCAGTGACCCTCAACCTCTTTTTTGCCCCAACTCACTTGACAAATAGTATGTACAGATCAGGTCCCCTCTGTAATTCCAATTTCTTCTCTCTGACCTAAAAAACACATTGAAATATATGTGATCTAATTTGTGAAGTTAATTAATTAATAATTCTTAATTTCTTACTTAAGTACCAGTAATAACAATCTTGTCTTTTGTATAAGCACAAGAAATTTATTACACAAATATTTCACAATCCCAAATATATTTTCCAATTTAGCCCTTGGTAAAGCAAGAAAACAGAAATCTGTTTTTTCAGACATATACATGAAAATGGAAAAATTCATGAAAAGGGAAGAAAGTATATAGTTTTATTAAAATTCTTTTGGTGTTCCACAATTGACAAAATTAGCCAATACTAGATTAGCCTTTGGATGTATTAATTATGTCACTGTATGTGTTAATCTAATAATCTAATCTGATCACATAGAAGCATTTATTTAAGTAGCATGTGTTATTTGCAAATCCCTGCACTTGGGATGGGGTGGCAGAGCTTCATGTACACAAAGATGACTAAGAGTTTTTCCTTACCCACAAAGAAACCTTTAGTCTAGTGGGAGAGCTAATACAAAGAACCAAATGAAGGGAAAGGAGGAAAAACTGAATGTGGGCTGAGTATCAAAATAGAAATATTTTGGTTCTAAAAAGATGAAATGTTAAAATTCCATCCCACACTATATACTAAGAACAGTAGAGAAAAAAAAAAAAAAAAAAGCCCTGACAGTACCAAGTGTTGGTAAGGATATGAAGCAACTGGAACGCTACTATGTTACTAGTGAGAATACAAAATATAGTAGAGACACCATGGAAAATATTTTGGCAGTTTCTTATAAAGTTAAATGTTCACTTACCATATGACCACTCCTATTTAGCTAAGTGATGAGAAAACCTATGATAACATAAAAACTTATTTATAGTGGCTTTATTCATAATCTCCAAAAATGGGAAATAACTCAAATGTCCCTCAACTAGTAAAGGAATAAACAAACAGTGGCACATTCATGCAGTGAAACAATGTCCAGAAATAAAAAGGAACAAAGTATTGATATGCACAACAACAGGGATGAACGTCAAGTACATTATGCTAATTAAAGAAGCCAGACTGAAACAGCTAGGTGCTTTTATATTTATGTGACATTCTGGAGAACACAAAACTATGCAGGTGGAGAAAGAGGTCTGCATTAAAGGTGAGGAGAGTTTGACTACAAAGTGTCATGAAGGGAAATTTCTTGGTGGGGAGCAGTGGAAATTATTCTGTCTTGATTGTGGTGGTGGTTACACAGAAGCATTTATCGAAACTCAGACCTGTACACCAAAAAAAAGTAAATATAACTGTATGTGACTTGTGTTAATTCTTAAAGAAAAAATTCAGTCCCAAATCATGGTCAGGAATATAGCGTCCTCCTAGTTCTGAGGTCAGAAAAGCAGGCTATGGAGGAGATGTTAATCCTGCTCTCTGTTTATTGACACAGAAAAATGTGCTCTCTGAACAGATTTGCACTCTGATATCCAGAAATCTTGGGTTGGTTTCTGTCTCAAACGTCTCTTTAAATGGATGGAGGCAAGTATCATGGGACCCTGGATGTCAGCTGACAGTTCTGTTGCCTAAAATAATGTTATGTTCACCATCTGGTGAGCGTGTGTGGGAGTAGTGAGTGCTCACTGTGTCCTCTGCTGTTTGTGTGTGAATGGGGCATGCGGCAGTCTCTCCCCAACCTCATACTCACAGAAGCTGAGAGAAATTATTTATTCCAATATTGTTTATTGAGGTCTTATTAAATGAGAAATCCTGCACTACATGCTGTGAGGACTAAATAGGGAGCTTCTTAGAGTCCCTATCAAAAATGGAGCTTATAGCATGAGAGATAAGACATATGCCTCAATAACTGTAATTAAATCAGATTATGGTAAATCCTATAATCGACGTTTCCTCACTGTACTATGGCTGTTGAGAAGAGAAAGTCCTCACTTCCTGCTGAGGGTATCAGGAACGGGTTATTTTGTGGAGAGTATGGCATTTGTCCTGAAACTTAATGCTTCCAGCGAATCCTAAGCCCTTTGAGAAATGGATCCTTCCTGCCTTATTCACCCACTTTTTTCCATACCTAGCCCAGTCCCTGATACACTATTGCTCCATCAATGCTTTGGTGTTAATTAATGAATAAAAGAAAGAACAGTCAGCATTTTCAAAGGCAGAGAAGACAGTCCAGGGGACATGGCCTGAGCAGAGGAATGCAGGCAAATGCTTCAAGCATATTTGAAACACTAAGAGTAGGGCCAGGTGCAGTGGCTCACTCCTGTAATCCCAGCACTTTGGGAGGCCTACGCAAGAGGATGGGTTGAGCCTCAGGAGTTTGAGGCCAGCCTGCAACATGGCAAAACTCTGTCTCTACAAAAAATACAGAAATTAGCCGGGCATGGTGACACGCACCTGTAGTCCAGGTCTCTCACTCTGTCGCCCAGGCTGGAGTCTAATGTGCACCACTGCCCTCCAGCCTGGGTGACAGAGTGAGTCCCTGTCTCAAAAACAAAACAAAACAAAAACACTGAGAATAGTTCAGCTTGGCTGTAGTATGGGAGGATATGGGAAGCAATGTTTCAAAATGGTGTTGGAAACAAACTGGAGAGTGCCAGGTTAAGTGATTTGAACATTTTTCAGTCTAAGAAGTTACTGACAGACTTTTGAGCTCAGAGTGATGTGATCAGATCTGTGTTTTAAAAAAGATGTCATTTAACAATGATTATTAGACAGTCACTATTAGTGATTACATAAGCTGCATTGGAGGAGTGGAAAAACTGTGTCTGAGGCAGCTGTGCCTCATGCATGAAGGTACAGGCAGTTGTTGGACTATTACACCTGGAAAACAGGAATCAGAAGACCTGGGATCAAGTCCCCACTTTGCTTCTACACTGTGTAACAAAACTCATACGTTTCTGAAACCTCAGTTTTTGTATCTGTGAGGTTAGTATGGAAATTATAAGAAATAGTATCTGTGGGAGCTTGCTTTATTTTAAAGAGCTATATGAGTGTAACAGTTATTGTCATTTGAGTCTCGGCTCTTGGAAAGATAGTTGCAAATGTTTCTGGAGAGATGCCACAGGAGTTGGTGACTCTATGACTCTAGGAGGTAAGGGACAAAAGCTGTCAAAATGACTTCAGGTTTTGACTTGGAGAACATTGGTGCCATTAACAGAATTAGTGATGTCAAGAGGGAAAGTTTGTTTTGGCAGAATTATGTTGAATCTAGTGGTGGATATTATTTGGGACCCTGGCAGAATATGCAGGTCAGATATCTGGCCCGCACTTATTATGTAATAGAAGACGACCAGGCACATGAGGAAAGGGAGATGCCTGGCTTGAAAGCAATTAAGGTCAGTACCATTAGATACCCTAAGATCATACGAGATTATCAAGGACAGGAAAGAAGAGGCCTG
Organism: Homo sapiens; assembly: GCF_000001405.40. NCBI lineage: Eukaryota > Metazoa > Chordata > Mammalia > Primates > Hominidae > Homo > Homo sapiens. The sequence continues at coordinate 89,289,109 of NC_000004.12, read as the reverse complement.
AAGGAGAGAATTTTCAGTAAAACCAACATTTCGGGTCAAAGAACGAATTAGTTTGATCTAAGGCTACAAAGGGATGATCTGAAAGTGGAAAGAAAAGTCGACATAGGAAAATGTCAGAGAGGTAACCAGTGGTGAAAACGATGCCGTGAGTGCAAGGTAGATGAAGAATAAAATTCTGTTTCTTGATCTTAAAACTGAAAAACTAATGCCTGCCTGTGGGCTTGTTGTGGAGAGTAAATAAGCGACAGTGCTGAGTGCCATCTCTTATACACAGGAGGAGCTATTATTCGTACTGTTATTGAAATTTATTCTCATTTTTAACGTTACCCAGATCTTGTGAGGGTTATATGTGATGGTTCCTTTTTAAGATAAATCATAGGCTAAATTTGCTGCATAATAATATCTCCTGACCTTTAAAGGGTAAAATGTAGTTCAGCCCCAGTTTTAGAAGAACTGCATACTGTTCTGACAAGAGCATATTGTTTTTCTGAAACTCTCATGAGAGTGCCCTGCATGGAAAAACAAATTCCCCTCATCTGGGCCAAAGTTGAATCCTATCAAGGTACACAGAATAAGAACAACTTGCTCATCAGCTGCCTGCTGCCCTCATGTAGAATATATTAAACCTGAATTTCACTCCAGAAGTTTGCATTTATGCAAACTTAGTTGACCCAGAAAATCATTTGTGAAAAGGAAAAAGTTGAAGAGAATATTGGTTTAATATATACCCTTTCAACAATTTCTTATAAATGAGTGACCAAGACAGCATAGAACAACCATCAAATCTATTTGTGTCATACTGATTATATTTTATTCTTGATCTAGAAAGCCAAGCAAGAGCTAGTTGGCTCTGCAAAGAAAAAAACAAAAAACCTTTCTTTGGGATCACATGTCTTTTCTCAAATCGGCCACCTTAAAAATGCATGCAGTTAAGAAGTCACAGAGAGAAAACAGACACGGCTCAGGGACATCTGCCACTGCTCTGGGAAAAACTATCCAATGCCAGGAGCAAGATTCTGTGATCTGCACGGGCCCTCGAGGCACCGAAATTAGACAGTACATTATTCCATGTGTTCAAATGATCAGTCAAAAATCATGAGCGCTCCCAAGAAAATTGATGAAAAGAATTTTTTTGGTCATTATGTGATACAAGTTTGCTGGCCTGACACTGAAACTAGTGCAAATTTTCTTCCATATTTGCAGGGGTCAGTAAAAATCAAGATTATCATGGCATCAGCCTATCAGTCTTTCTTAACTTTAGGATTTATTATGATTTTCCTAATATTCAATAACACTTCTAAACACTCCCAACATTTCTCTCTTCTCTTTCATTCCACATTTTATTTAGTGGAGTCATTCATGTTTTACTCATTTCAGGGTTAGAACTTTGAAATAGTTTCTGGAATTAAATCCATTTTCTTAACCTGGCATTGAAGTCTATTCATAATAGGCTTGTGTCTAGAACTGAATTTCCCAATGAGTATCCCAAGCCCCAGCCCATTATCTCCCCATCCCAGCTCTTCCTGCATATACTTTCAAGTTCCAGGTAACAGTGTACCACAGGGACCACAGTAAGTCTGTACCTCCCTGCCTTTAAATCTTTCCTTAGCCTCTTCCCTCTGCCCAAAGGCTCAGCTTTTAAAACCCAACTCGAATATTTATCCTGTGCTAGGAAATAGGACACAGTTCAATTTGGTCAGTTTCATTGTATTAACCACAGGTTGTAACATATACAACCCCAAAATTTCAGTAGCTTAAGGAAATAAAATTATATGCATTTTTTAAAATCTCTGCCAAATACCTCCAAAACACCTTTTAAATTTATCCTAATGTTAATTAATCATTTGCTTTCTTGCTCTCTCATGGCATTTTTCTCTACATGTCTAGTACAAGAGTTATTTTTCATGGTGTATCTTCCCTGAAATATTTAGTTTTGGAGGCCAGTTTTGTATGTCTTGTATATATGTTTGTATAGCCCCCACAGAATTTAGCACAATGCCTTATACATAAGAAGCCTCAATAAATAGTTCTTGAATTCATTTGTTTTCCATTGAGTTCACTACTGAATTCCTCAAGATTCTGAGGCCAGAGTAGTTGTTTTGTTTTTAGAGACAGGGTCTTCTTATGTTACCCAGAGTGAAGTGCAGTGGCTATTCACAGGCATGATCATAGCTCACTATAGCCTCAAACTCCTGGGCTCAAGTGATCCTCCTGCCACATCCTCCCAAGTACCTGGGAATACAGGCACATACCACTGGGTCCAGCTGGAGTAGTAGAATTCAAAAATAATTTGCTTTCTAAGTACTTTGGGAGTACTACCTTCTAAATCCTTGTAAGATTAATAGTTATTTCTTTTTGTGTGTTGTTTTAAGTGTCTTGGTGTCTTCAATGTAATGGGAGAAAGAAAATATCTTCCCTATCAGTAATTGGTGACTTTTCTTTTTTGAGAGTCTTGTTTTCTCAAAGGAAAAAGACAAAATTAATGTATAAAAGGATATGTACGTAAGAAACAAAAAAAATTGAATTGGGAGTCACATTCTAAAAAACACAAAGAAAAAAGGCAAGAGAACTATAAAACTTTTAAAAGTAAGCTTTCTGAATATGATGAGGTAGATTCTCTGACAAAAAGAAATACCAGCTGTGATAAAGACACAGTGTAGGAAAGCACCAGCGAAAGACAAACTTGGCTGAAAGGGAAATACCAAAGCTTTTCCCAAGCAGGTCCCAGACAAAGAACAAGCAAAAGATTTTGCAGACCATCATTATACCATAGTTGTAATGAACACCATCCACCTGATACCATCTGTACAACTTTAATAAGACCATCAGCAAAAACCAGAGTTTAGTTGAAACTTTCTCATGTTTTGCAAGTTGGTGCTCCTCCTAACTTTTGCCTCCTTTCACTACCATTGTTAAAACAGTCAGAGAATATCACAACTCCTCAAGCATTATTTTTCTTAATTTTTATTAACAAATTAATGTCATCTTAGTTTACATATATATATATATATATATATACACACACACATACACGTACACATGTAATTGAGCAACCTCTGCAAGAAGGAAAATGTCTAAAAGTTAAAGAAAAGGATATGTTCTGCAAAAGAAAAAGTGAGAGAGCTGACAGTCTTTGCAACTGAGGAAGTCAAGCTAGAAAATGATTAATCCAAATGAAGAACTAGTATACGGCTTCTCTTTCCCCTGAGGATAAATTAAGCAGTTGGAGTAGCAGAGTTAGAGATTTAGGCAAAAGAATGAGCATTCTAACAAGCTACTTATCCATAGTAATTCCCTCCCAAACACCAGTTCATAAGCCAGTTCTTCTTGGATACACTGATTTACTTTGCATGCCTTTTCCCCATCTCTGTCAGTTTCAGTTTGTTTACAGAAGAATATTTGAGGAGTAATTATGGAGAAAGGAGATAGTAAAATTTGGGAAAAGTAAAAAGAAGTGAATTGGGTGACAGAACAGGAAGTTGAGATATTTGTGATGCAGCCTGAGGTGTCCAACACATTTTCAGAATTAAAATGTCATGTTATAAAGCATGATCTTTTGGTTATTCTATGATTGTGGAGTAGATGGGGTTGTAACCACCTGGGGGTTCTTCCTGCCCACTGCACAAATAAAGACCATGGCATTGCAGTAAAGAAAAAGTTTAATTGATGCGAGGCTGGCCATGCCACATGGTAGACAAAGTTATTACTCAAATCAATCTCATAAAGGCTCATATGTTTAGGGATTTTTCTTTTTTTTTAATTATTATACTTTAAGTTCTAGGGTACATGTGCACAACATGCAGGTTTGTTACCTAGGTATACATGTGCCATGTTGGTTTGCTGCACCCATCATTTACATTAGGTATTTCTCCTAATGTTGTCCCTCCCCCGCCCCCTGACCCCCCAACCGACCCCGCCCTGTGTAGGGTAGGGATTTTTCAAAGGCAGTTTGGGGGAAGGGGTGAGAGTGGCTAGGTGCTTGCTGCTGATTGGTTGGGGTGGAGATGAAATCATAGGGAGTCAAAGCTGTCTGTCCCCTTGAGCTGAGTCACTCCTCTGTGGGGCCACAGGAGCAGTTTGGCAGGACCAAGTGGAGCCAGCAGTGTCAGACATGCAAAAGGCCTGAAAAGATATCTCAAAAGGCCAGTCTACATTGGTGATGTTATTGCAGTAGTAATTGGGGAAGTTGCATATCTTGTGACCAGCCTATTAGCAGAATTCAGGCTCCTCTCCTTCCCCTAGCCTGATGGTCTCATTCTCATTTAAACTATAATCTAAATGTCTTCCAAAGTTAGCTAGGCCTAGGCCTAAGTCCAAGAATAATTAAGGCAGCTTGAAAGCTAAAGGCAAGGAATGGGGAGTTGGGTTGGCTAGATCAGATCTCCCCCACTGCCATAATATTCTCACTGATATAATTTTTGCAAAGGCGATTTCAGGGTGAGAAAAGGGAGCTAGGGAAGGAGCAGTGGACTTGGAAGGTAGACCTGGTGGTGAGTTCCTGTTAGTAAGAAAGCCCAAGTAATTCTACTACCATAATCACTAATATTATTGCTGTTACTACTAGCTAACCTGTGTGCAAAACTCTCTTCTAAGAATGCACAACAATCCTAGAGGAAGGTGTTATTTTCATTCCTGGGTGGCAAGTGTTACAAACCTTAGGCACTGGGGAGTCAACTAATTTGCCTGAGGCCACACAGCTTGTAAGTGGCCAACCAGATGTGAACCTGAATAATCTGATCCTAGAGGCATTGTTAACCACTGTGCCTCTCACACAGTGAAATGTTTCCAGAAGGTAAGGGACAGTAATTCTGAATGGCTGGCAGTCCTCCAGCATGTGGTCTTCAGCCTCCTGTCTCTGTTCATGCCGTTCATTTGCTTTAGTGGCCTCTTCCACCCACCCATTCCTTCACCTGGCTGACTCCCCATCCTTCAGGGCATTCTGCCCAGCACACCTTTCCAGAATCCTGCTGAGGCCCTTACCTCACCAGCTTGTGGTGGGTACCCTGTGATACCATCTGTCATAGCGTTTACCTCAACACAGTTGCTTTTCTGCCTTGTCTTAAAACCTTGGATCCTTCCATTCTTTCATCCTTCGCATTCAATCAGAGGGCACAGCTGATTTGACCTCTTCAGTATTTCTAGGTCCATCCTTCCCTCAGTTCCTGCTGCCAGTGCCCTACTTCTCACAGTTTCACTTACAAAGCCCCCCGCAGTTTTACTTTGTCACACCCTTTAGCCCTATATCTTGCATCCGGAGCTGCAGCCATGCCAACTAAATATTGTTCCAGCCCCACCCCACCCTCAACCACTTCCCCAGTAGGCTGCCTGTATATCTATTCATGCTTGTCCATATGCACCTGAAATGCCCTTTCCTCCCCACTGGTGAAGTCCTGCTTAGTTTTCAAGGCAGCATTGCTGTTGCTTACACTCAGAGGCCTTGGGTGGGCCTTCTCTTAGATATGCCAGCATTGTGCACTCATAACACCCTATGCCGAGCTCTACCAAAGGGCTCACCATTATACCGTAGTCCAGTCTCCCTTTATGTTTCTGCCTCCCCCACTAGATATGAACTTCCTGAAGGTGAGGACTGGCAGATTCCACCCACCTTGTGTGTACCATGATCTGTGTGATTACTTACTATGTTCCTGGTATTTTTTTCCTTCCCTGTTTTGCAGCAGATCTCCACTGGTTCCCCGGAAGCTTTCCCTGATTGCAAAAGTTGGAATGAGTCATTCTTTTCTTGTGTTACCATTGAAATCTGTAGCAATGAAATCACCTTTCTGCCCAGTGGATGTGAGCTTCTGAAGGCAGGAATTGAGCCTTTGTGGCTCTCTAGAACCCACCACAGGCCTGGCACATTGTGTATGTTAAACAATTTGGGATAGCCTAAAAAGTAATGTTTAATGTTTGTGCTACATAGGCCTATTGTTCAGCTGCATGAATTGAGTGAATAAGAAAAATAATTACTCTGAAGGCCTGTCTTTACTTCCTCTCATAGCCCTCAATGAAGCAAGGGATTTTACAAACAAAACACTAAAGGCCTTGGCTATCTTTGTTAATATTAATAACAATCGGTCTTTTTAGGCCTGAACGTATGTGCATAGTGTTCTTATCACTTTCAGAAAAACATTCCTCCATTACCATCTGAGGGTAACATAATCGCATGTGTGGCAAGTCATCAAATTAGTGAATTCTTAAAAGTCCAAGTTATTATATCTTTATTAGGCAGATTTCCACAGATTTGTGAGGTCTTCGATGTAGACTCTGAGACTGTGATTCATAGTTCCCATGACAGCAAAGTGGGGATAGCTCTCTGAGCCACCTCGGGCCACGAAGAGGTAGTTTTTAGTGGGTAAAAATCCCATACTTCTGACAAGTGATTTGTCAGATTAATATTCTACACCAGGGTTGTCCAGTCTTTTGGCTTCCCTGGGTCACGCTGGAATAATTGTCTTGGGCAACACATAAAACACACTAACAATAGCTGATCAGCTAAAAAAAAAAAAAAAAAAAAATTGCAAAAAAATCACATATGTTTTAAGAAAGTTTACAGATTTGTGTTGGGCTATGTTCAAAGCTGTCCTGGACTGCATAAGGACAAGCTTGTTCTACACACTTTGGATCCTTCCTTTCCTAATGAGGCTTATAAATCTGTGAGTTTATCCCAATAATAGATGCACACCACTGAAGCAGGTGAGAGATTACAACCCCTTGAGGGTCAAGGTAACAAGGCATGTTGGAAACATTCCTGACTCCCAGTATCTTATTGTTTACAAAGGATATTTCTATTATTTAGATACTCATATGACATTGATTTTTGTTATAAACTACTATTCAAAACAGTAAAATAAATTCAAAGCAAATAATTCATGATTTGAGATAGGATGGACATAATTCTCATCATTGCTAGTGAATATAGTTAACTTCAGTAATAGAAATGGCTATTCTTTTATGTTACAGTAATTTTGTTGGCAATGCATTATACACGAAATAAAAATCACATTTCTTTAGAGGCATGTTAGCATTCACCAAACAATAACTGTACTTCTTTTTCTTCTTGCCAGCACCATGCAGGATACTGAGACTACCAGGCACCCACTCACTCTCTACAGTACTCTTACTAAAGAGACCAAAAAAAAAAAAAAAAGATGACTGCATAGCAATGCATTATAATAAAGACTTTAGAATGCAATGAGACAACAGAGGAAAGACTTGTAATTAAGGGGGAATGGTTTAGGGATGGGAAAGTGCAAGGAAGGCTTCCCATAGAAGAAAATGCTGAGTTGTGTTGAGATTATTAGCAATGCAAGAAAGAGTAGAGAGGGTATTTTAGTTTCCTAGAGTGGCCATAACAAAATACCACAAACTGGGTGGCTTAAAACAACAGAAATGTGTTCTGTCCTTGTTCTGTGGGCTAATCATCTGAGAACAAGGTGTCAGCAGGGTTAGTTCCTTCCAGTGGCTCTAAGGGATAAGTTGTTCCATGTCTGATATAGATTGGATCTGTGTCCCCGCCTAAATCTCATGTTGAAATGTAATCCCCAGTGTTGGAGGTGGGGTCTGGTGGGAGGTGATTGGATCATGGGGCAGATTTCTCATGCATGGTTTAGTACCATCCTCTTAGTGCTGTCTTCACGACAGTGAGTGACTTCTCTGTGAGAAGTGAGATCTGTTTAAAACTATGTGGCAGCTGGGTGCGGTGGCTCACACCTGTAATCCCAGCACTTTGGGGAGCCGAGGTGGGCAGATCACGAGGTCACGAGTTCGAGACCAGCCTGGCCAACATGGCGAAACCCCGTCTCTACTAAAAATACAAAAATTAGCCAGGTGTGGTGGCGGGTGCCTGTAATCCCAGCTACTTGGAAGGCTGAGGCAGGGGAATTGCTTAAACCCAGGAAGTGGAGGTTGCAGTGAGCTGAGTTCACGCTATTGCACTCCAGCCTGGGTGACAAGAGCGAGACTCTATCTAAAAAAAAAAAAACATGAAACTATGTGGGACCTTGCTCTCTGTCTTGCTCCTACTCTGGCTATGTGATGTGCTTATCCCCCCCCTTCACCTTCCAACATGACTGTAAGTTTCCTGAGGCCTCTCCAGAAACATAGCGGATGCCAGCACCACGCTTCCCATAAAGCCTGAAGAACTGTGAGCCAACTCAACCTCTTTTCTTTATAAATTACCCAGTCTCAGCTATTCCTTTATAGCAATGCAGGAATAGCCTAATACAATGCCCCTTTTCTAACTTCTGGTGGTTGCCAGCAATCCTTGGCATTTTTTGGTTAATAGATGCATCACTCCTATCTCTGTTTCAGTTTCCACAGGACTTTCTTCCCTTCTTGCTTGTGTGTCTGTGTCTATGTCCTAATTTCTTTCTTATAAGGACACCCATCATATTGGATTTAGGGCCCACCCTAACCCTGTATGACTTTGTCCTAACTTGATTATATCTGCAAAAACCTATTTTCAAATAAAATTACATTCACCGGTTCTAGGTGGACCTGAATTTTAGGGGACAGTGTCCAACACAGTAGAGAGCATTCAGGAAACAGGAAGCAGCTTGGAAGAAGGCAGAGAGGCCATGACATATTTGAGCAACCATTGATCCTTCCTTATGGTTGTATTGAAAGGCTCTGGAGGACCTAACAAGAGACATGAAGCTTAAGAGGCAACAGAAGCCTCATCTTACTTGTATGCCAAACTCAAGAATTTGAACTTCATCTTGAAATATGTGGGTACCATAAAAGGATTTTAATTCTGGGACTTGCATGATCATATTTGCATTTTAGAAAAATTTCTCCGGCAGCAATTTAGAGAATTGAAGAAGGTACAGATCGGAGGCAGAGAGATCAGTTAAGAAGGCTTATTTCTGGTAAGAAATGATAGAGCCTACATTATATCAGTAGGAAGACTAGAGAGGAGGTGGGTAGACATAGGAGATATTACAAAGGAAGGATCCATAAACACCAAGTTTAGTTGGATGTTTAGTTGGATGTCAGCAATGAGGAGAGAGAGGCGAGAATGACTTTGAAGTTTCTGGCATGGATGAGAAGATGAAGATGGCATTCACTGAGATAATTAAGAAGGAAGAACAAGCTTAGAAGTGAAAACGGATGAGTTTTGGACATATTTAATTTACGATATCAATAGGACTTCTAAATGGAGAGTTGCTATTTTGGAGATGAATAAGGGAGCTCTGGCTGGAGATGAATTTTCAGATTTATGAACATATAAGTAATTAGGTCCTCCAGGTTGAGTGTATAGAGTGAGAAGAACAGGAGGTCTGGAAAATGCCAACATTTAGGAAATGAACTGAGAAAAAAGAACTGAAGAATGGCATTAAGGAGGAAACTTCTGTAGAGAAAAGAGGAAAACCAAGTAAGAGCCTAGCGCAGATAAGAGCTTCCAGAGGACAGTGTCAGAATATGGAGTGCTGCAGAGAAGGCAACAAAGATAAGGAGAGAAACGTGTTCATTTGTTTTGGCCAAGTCCAGTGATTTGTGGCTTGAGCAAGGGCAGTTTCAGCGGAATAGCAGAAATGACAAAGAAACAACATGATAGTAGATTTGGGAGTGACTGTGCAAGAAGTGGGGAGTGTGGGGATTGTAGACTGTCTTTTTAAGAAGTTGAGTTGTAAGGAAAGCAGAGCTATATGTAAGTCAGTAGCTACATGGGCCAGGAAAGACTTTTCCCTGATGATAGAGGCTTGAGCACGCTGTCATCCAAATGAAGTGGGAACACATGGGCTCTATAGAGCAGTTAGGGTATGGCCATGGTGGCAGGGCGCGGGTGGTGAGACAGGAAAAAGTTGGGACATCTCTTCCAAATAAAGGAGTCTACTGAGGACATGTTTTAAAGGCAGTTGAGCAATTTCTCACACAACTGCTATTATGAGCTATTTGTTAATATGAAATAAAAAACTCCTTTTCTTCATGCTTCATGTAATGGGCAGTGTTTTGCTGTCCAACCTCCCCAAATTCACTGTTTTCTTTTTACAACACTCCTGTCTTGTCCAGGGGAATCGGTTCTTCCCTCTGTGCTCAGCCTTGGTGAAACTGCCAGTCAAGCTGCCCTGCCTTCTCCTCGTCAAGGCCCAACTGGGCCTCTCTCCCAGGACTTTGTATCTGGAGGCTTTAAATGGAACCAAGGGTTTGGGAGATGAGGGTGATCAGAGTTTCTTCCAGTGACAGGCCTCTACCATGACTTGGTTTGTACCCTCTTTGAACCTGCTTCCATAGGTTTCCCCTCAATTCTGTGACTACCCCAGATCCTTGGACAGGCTGTAGTGCCTAAGACTCTGGAGCTGCACAGCTTGGGTTCAAATCCATATTTAGACATACCCTAACTGCACAACCTGGAGCAAGTTACTTAACTTCTATGTGCCTTGGCTTCCTCATCTGTAAAGTGGGGCTAATAGCAGTACCTACTATATAGGCATTAATCTAGACATTAATGAGTCCAGTGCTTAGAAAGGTGGCTAATCAAAGTAAGTGCTATAGGTGCTGGTTATTGTTATTCTAATAAATTCTTCTTGTCTGTATGCTAGCCAGGATCATTTGCTTCTGTGTGCCGCCAATGGAATAATGGATGCCTCCTTTATTCCAAATTAGTAACATTTTATTGTACTGAACTTGGAAATATAGACATAATTAATAATTTTATAGAAACTGATTATTTTTGACAATTTGGAAAAAGAAGGAGAATTTAAATATGTCATTATCGCTGTGGCAAATGAACGAAAGCTCTCATTTAAGAATCAGATAAAGGAAGTTAATGAGAGACACTAATGGCATGTTTTTACAGAATTTTGGAGAACGAAAATAAGGGAGAGATTTTTGAAAATTTTTTGAAATATGGTAGCTCATTAGCTGTTCATAGAAATGAGACATAATGATCGATCCTTTCTTTAAGTTCAGAACACAGTAGAAAATACAGTGAACTGGAAATCTGATTTGGAACTCATGTCACTCATGTCCCCGAGAGGTTCATTTTTCTCACTGAGCCTCACTTTCCTCACTCAGAAAATGCCAACTTCTGTCTGACACTGAGTTTCAGGGTAGTCTGTTACACAGCAATATTGCAGCAATAGCTAACTGATACATGGATTTATAAAGCTGTGGGATTGGGAGAGATCACCCAAGGAAAATACGGGGTGGTGAAAAACAACAAGGTATAGATCTGAGCTGAGGAGCAGGAACTACCCAAGATGAACCAGGCAGAAAGACGGAAGAAAACGAACAGGCTGTGTGGATCATGGCTGCCAATAGAACCGCATATTTCAAGGAAGAAACCTGCACATGTTGCTAAGAGGTCAACTAAGATGAGGGCAGAAAGTCCTTTGGATCCCTCCACATCAAGGTCATCAGTGACCACAGCGTGAAACTAGATGGACTCCAGTGACGAAGGCTGAGCTTTCTGAGTCAAACAATGGGCAACTGGTGACAAGACAGTGGGCCCAGAAGGCTCAGACACCCAAAGGCAGAGGATGAAAAAGGAGTTTGGAATTACTAAGATGTCCACATCAGGTGACTCAGCAGTTGGCAGACGGGGAAGACATGGCAGTCTCCTTGTTGCAGACAAGTAGCCTGAAGGTCAGCATTGTCCACTGACCATATAAGGTCCTGTGACAAAAGGGGCAAAGCCAAGCTGTAGACCTGGTGGGCGGAACGAGGGTCAGCAGCCAGGGATAGTGAACAGGAAACATTCAGTCCTGCTTTCCTTGGGGGTCCTGGTCCCTTCCCTGTCATGCCCAGTCTGTGGACTGCAGACCCCTCCTTGGGGACGGACATTCCACTCCTGCACATCACTCATGCCTCGCACCTGGACAAATTCTGTCAGTTTTCTCGCGAATTTAGCCCACAAATGAAGGGAATACTGGCCACTATGGTTACCATTTGGGCCTGGATCTAAACTTTCTAAACTATTTTGAGAAGCCAGCCATGACCCCAAAAGCCACTACAATAGAAAATAGATTGTTCTGAGGCCACAGCACCGTCCAACTTTAATGGTTCTAGGAGAAAAATTCTTTGTTTGGACTGAAGACTCCTCCCAAGATGTGTGTGAGAAGCTCGTGTATCAGAATAAATAGTTGAAAGGAAAAAAAAAGACATTAAAATTATCTTTTTTAATGTAAATTGTTATACATAGGTCCGCCTAAACCAGCATATTTGACACATATCTTTATGAGCTTTCATTTCATTGGACATGTCCTCCTCCCACCCCCATATAGGAATATTAATTATGAGTTCCAACTTGAGCTGCAGGAGCTCATCTCATGCTGCTAGATTCTCAGTAGGTGAAGCACCACCCAGCCAACATTGTCCCCTCCACAGATGAGAGTAGGAGAAACGATGCCATCAACTTTGAACTACCATCATGGGGTAATAGGAAAGTGACTGGGAAACACTGTACTGTGCTAATAGGCCTGACAAGAATAATAGTCTCTAGCTTCTTCCTTCATTTCTTAATGGTTTGCAGTGCACTCACATTATCTTCTTCTTTTACCTTTCAAGGATTTCAGGTGAGGGGAGGCTATATGTCTCATGTGTAACAGATTACCTGTATTTTCTGTAGAGGAACACTAGAGAGATAGCTAGTTTTTCAAAAGAAATTGCTGATGGTGTCTTTTTCAACTAGTCTCTCTGCACATATAAATGATAAGCAAAAGCAAAATTCAAAATCTAGGTGATAATTGAAGTGACTAGTGCAGTATCAACTAATGAAAGGAGTCTGTAATTAAGAAAGATTCCATTAAAAGATGAATTAGAATATCATCAACAAGAACTATAATAATCTTACTAAAATAAATATTTTAAAGACACCTAAAGAGCAATGCATAGACAAGTTGTAAAATAAATAAGAAGAGAAGTAAAAATTATATAAAATAAAATTGTACATGATATCTGGTGCATAGTAGATACTAAATAAATATCTGTTAAAGAATGGTTGGTCTATTCAAAATTCATTGTTATCATAAAAAAATACCCTATATTATTTGCTGTGTGGCAAGGGACAAGATGGGCTCTGGGCTCAGAGAAAAGTACTACTGTTTATCCTTATTCTACTAATTATAGCAAGAATTTCCTGGAATTCAGTTCTCTTGAGGCAGGTAAAACTCGCAGAACTTTTCCTTGAAATTAAATCGGCCTGGCCTAGGTTAATTGTAGGCATTATTCATTATGGAACTGGGAGCTCCACATAAAACTGACCCCCATTAAGGTGAGTTAGGCAGATTGGAGTTTTTTCTTTGTGAAATGTGTTGGCAAATATTAACCCATCTGATCGGTATCCCAGATTGCATTACCGTGACGGCATTGTAGTTCGTCATTGCTGGTGATGTGGACAAGGAGGCAAACAAAGGTCTACTTCATTAAAGGAGGGAAAAAATAACAACCGAGTCAAAGGTTACACAACCATTTCTTGGGCAGCTCTTTGCAGGGCTGGTAGGAAATGGGTGAAAGGAGGAAGGAGAGCTGCATTCTGCTCCTCCAAGAGTGTATGCAATTATTATCTTGTTAGCCAGGGCACCAAACTGCCAGAGCAGATCTTACCCGACTGTCAGGGAATCTGTTCTGAAGAAAGAAGAGGAAAGCTATCCTTTTGTCTTTTATGTATGTTTTGATTCTCTTTTTCTACTGATTCCAAGATACCCACATAACCTAAGGTCAAGGAATGTGCTAACTCAATCCAGCATTGAGTGGCTGCTGGCTCTCGACAGGGTACTATTATTTTAACATTGATTAGAATATCTTGACTAGCAAAATATAGACATTATCGGTAAAAATTTCAAATTAGATACGCAGCTTTTGTTCTATTACCCAAATCACAGGGCCAAACCTGTCTTGCAATTGAGCCTTCTTTGCAAACAAAGTCATTGCTTTACTCTTAGGGTAATTGCTTCCCACCCATCCCCTATGTGTGGGCTCACATACCATACACTGTGCACATGCGCGTGGACACACACACACACACACACACAGAGTTACTTAGTCCATTATTGGAAAATATAGAAGCTACCAGAACACAGTGCTTGCCAAAGAGGCTGAAGCTCTTCTGGGCACATCCACAGCTCCTAAACCCATCCTGCCTCAGTGTTCATATTTGGTGACAAACACCAGCCATCCAAGCCTCCTCATTTACCTGTCAGTAATGGGTCTTTTCCGGAGTAGGACAGCAGCTACCTGTCGTCACTCCTCTACCTCAGTGCCAATCTGATTAGCTCTGAAAGTTTATCAGGAAGGCAGGCAACACTGGAAAGACAAGGGGTTGGGAGACAATTGCTGACAAATGTAGTCCTTTCTACCCTTCCCCACCCACAGCATCATCCCAGAAGGCCCAATCTCTGCCTCATCCTACAAGTTCCTGAGACCTGTAATTTTTTTAAAGCCTTCCAGATCATTCTGCTGCACAACTAAGTTTGGGATCCACAATCCAGGCCAAACTTCTCATTTCCCAGATGAAGATACTGAGGCTCCAAAAAAATCAAGTCTGTGTCTTCTAAATAACAGTGTTTTCCCCATTGCCCTGTGTTGCCTTCCTGCAAGTTTTCTTTTGGACATGCCTTCAGGGACACTGTGAAAATCAACATGATTACTATCAAATAATTACCCTTTTGTCCAGTCCGTGCAAATATCAACATAGTCAAAAAGGCAAGTATCTTTTAGTACAATTATAAGAGAAATTTTGACGTCACGAACCCCCTGGAAAGAGACCCTGGAACCCTAAAAAGCCCAGGAACTATACTTTGAGAACTTCCAAATAAACATTTCAGCTTCCTTGCTGTTATCCCACACCTTAGTAAGGATAGCAACAACAGGCAAAAATAAACATGTTTCATTTCAACAAGCACAGTTAAACACAAACATACTTCACCTCGACAACAACACAGTTAAATAGCACTTCGGGGTTATTTTGTCTTCTATTACCAATCATTTATTTGGCGTGTTGCTGTACGTGCTAGATTCTTTCTCATGAGAGAAATGACACCACTCATCGGGCAAAGTCTTTGTCTGTCTTGGTCAAGCCCTCTTCCCCCATTTGTCTAATCCTCTCATTGTCTGTCTTTCCCACTCTGGAATTATCATTTGTTTAGACATCTGCCTTTCTGACTTCATAATACGCTTCTTGAGGACAGAGTCTATGTTTACTCATGTCGTATCCTCAGTGCCCACTTTAGCACTTAGTACACTATTGCTTAATTAATTGGACTACATTAAACTGGCATTGGATATAACAGTGAGGAAGATCTGCCATTTGGAAGGAGGGACACGTACCATAACATATTAGTCATGGGTGTTGTACACACAGGTCATTTCCAGGAGGTTCGTGAGGTCATATCACAGAGATTTGCTGGCTGGAGTACAGCACCTATGAAAAAAGTGTTTCTGTAATCATGAGGCATGTGTTTGTTTGTTTGTCTGTTTGTTTTTTGAGACGGAGTCTCACTCTGTCACCCAAGCTGGAGTGCAGTGGCCTGATCTTGGCTCACTGCAACCTCTGCCTCCCTGGTTCAAGCAATTCCCTGCCTCAGCCTCCTGAGTAGCTGGGATTACAGGTGCCCATCACCACGCCTAGCTAATTTTTGTATTTTTAGTAGAGACAGGGTTTAACCATTTTGGCCAGGTCTTGAACTGGTCTTGAACTCCTGACCTCGTGATCCACCCACCTTGGCCTCCCAAAGTCCTGGGATTACAGATCTGAGCCACTGCGCCCGACCGAGGCATGTTTTTTAACATTAGTTTATGTTCTAGCAATTACAGAGGTAGGAGTGGTGAGGCTCTGTTGCCATAAATCTGTTTGACTCCAGATTAACTGTTTTTTGCAGCTTGTTGAAATTCTATATCAATTAATGTTACATTCTAAATTGATGTAATATTCTGCTTTGTCATGATATGACCTTCAGGAGATGTGAACCCCAATTTGTAGATTTAAGCTCCAATTTTTAGTGGTGATTGCATTAAAGCTATAACTGGGGTTATCATTTGGGATTGGGAACAAGTTTACTAAATTTTCAGATGGCATAAACTTAGTGAGATTGCCATGTAATGCATTTACTGAGTGTTTCTTAAATTAAGAAAAATAAATGATCTACAAAAAAAAATGTGGTTCATTCCTTCTTTCTCATTTTCAACACTTCTAAAGCTCTATGTGCTAGATTCTGTGATAGATACCAGAGGGCCCAAGCTGATGGTTACCTATTTGGATGGAGCTCTGAATTAAGCTTGCTGTTTTTAATCTGTGGGTCACTATGCATATCAATTTGGTGAGTTTCAGTGAGCATTTTTAAATGGAATAGAATTGAATAGAGAATATCAGAAGATAAGTGTTGTTTTATTAACATTTGATTTTGGTAAAATAGGTAGGTAGTTGAATATGAATGTGTGTACTGGGTTGTTATATCATTTTTTTTTACACTGGATGGTGTCAAAAAAGCATGAAATCCACTGGTGTAGCTGATTCACAGAGAAAGTTTGTGATAGCCTAAATATTCCATTAAAGCAAAAGTTCTACTAACCACACTCATTTTAAAACAATTAGAAACATACCGTCAGAAAAGTACCAAACAAATTCAGAGGAAATGGAAGTTTGAGTTAAATGCTCAAAGAGTAATGGAGAATATCAAAAGAAAATTTCATTTTCATAAGTTCTAAACTGATAAGTGCAGTGATAATCGTGATTGCCACTCTGGTGTGACTGATCATGAATCTTCAAAAGGAAATTGCTTATGGAGTCAGCAGAGATGTATGTGGTATGGTAGGCATGATCCCACTCAGTGCCCAACACCAGCAATTGCCATTTTATGAGTCTGTTGCCTTCCACTTTCCACTCAATTTTCCTGCAGTCTTTTTCTAGAAACCCAACTTTTACAGCCTTCCCGCTAAGATACAGGCCCCATTTCCAGGTTCTTGTTTCCTCCACCACCCTCCATAACCCGTTACTCTGTCTTAGTCCTTTCAGGCTGCTGTAACAGAATACCACAGACTGCATAGCTTACAAACAACAGAAATTTATTTCTGGAGGCTGGAAAGTCCAAGGTCAAGGTTCCGGCAGTCAGTGTCTCGAGAAGGTTCCCTTTCTGGTTCATTGACAGCTGTCTTCTTGCCACAACCTCACATGGGAAGGAGGTTTTTGGAGTACTCCGGGGTCTCTTTTACAAAAGCAATAATCTCATTCATTAGGTCCCTGACCTCATGACCTAATCACTTCCCAAAGGCCCCACCTCCAAATAATCATCACATTGGGTTTGAGGTTTCAACATGAGTTGTGGAGAAACACAAATATTCAGTCTGTAGCAGAGAGCAAGTTCTGATGATTCTGGCTTCAAGACGTGTATTGCACCCTTGTCTTTCTTTCTCTACTGCCCTTCTTATTGCTTGTCCAGACTATTGTTTTAACCATTTGTCCATCTCCTTTACTCCACTACCCCCAATACAGCCAGCCCTCTCTATCCATGAATTTCACATCCATGGATTCCTCCAACCATGGATCAAAAATATTCCTCAAGAAAACAATAAAAAATAGCAATACAATAATAAAAAATACAAGTTTTTAAAATACCATATAACAACTCTTTACATAGCATTTACATTGTATTTGGTATTATAAGTAATCTAGAAAAAATGTAAAATACATGGAAGGATGTGTGTAGGTTATATGCAAATACTACGTTTTGTTTAAGGGGCTTGAGCATCCGTGGATTTTGGTGTCTGAAGTGGGGGTCCTGGATGATGGTATGTCTATACCATGCACTGGGAATGGGTCTTTGATCCTGCCATTCCTATCATGGTACCATGTCAATAAGCTTACAAAGAATGCAGGCTCTAAAGTCAGCAGTATTTCTTACTAGCTATTTGACTTTGGGCAAATTGATTAAATTTTCTGAGCTTCAGTTTCATTGACTATAAAATATGAGTTAAATGAGTTCTACCTCCTAGGATTATTGTGAAGTTTCAATAAGGTAATGCTTATGAAATCTTTAGAACATAAAAGCACCTAGAGCATAGTAACATTCAACAAAATATGTTCCCACATCATAATATATTGCTAACCTCTGGGGTGTATACTCTTCAGGCCACTAATCAACTTCCCATAGTCTGACACATTGTATTCAAAACACTAGTCAGATCCTTCCACTTCACAGCCTGACCACGGTACCTATCCCTGAGCATTGTAGCCTATGAAATGTTTGTCTTCTCTTTCAGTTTCCACTTCCACAATGCATATTTATTCTTCTAGGCTGCACCAAGTTCCAATTTCTGCATAGTACTTTTTGTTTTCTTTCATTCACTTGGCCCTTAGCAATATGTCTAATTAGTTATTGTTTCTCCTATGTGTACCTTGATGCATGAAATTTATAGCAAACCAGCCTGGGCAACCTGGTGAAACCTCCTCTCTTCAAATACGAAAAGAATTAGCCAGGTGCAGTGGTGTGCCCCTGAAGTACCAGCTACTGGGAGGCAGAGGTGGGAGGATCGCTTGAGCCAGAAGGTTGAGGCTGCATATATATCTATATTTTATATATATATATATATATATATATATATATATATAAATTATATACATATATAAATATATATAATATATATGAGAGATGTCGTAGCAAACAAAAAAATTAAAATGCCAAATATGGTAAATACATACAGGAAAAAGAGTACAGTTGAAAGAATAAGAAATAGATGAGTCGTTTGTATTTCCAGACTCAGAGAGGTATACATTTGTCTGGCAACTTTGATAAGTTATTTGATTTCAGTTAACTCACTTTTGGTTGTTTTTTTGTTTGTTTGTTTGTTTGTTTTGCCATAAAAGAGAATTGCAGAGAGACTTACTTAGTCGCCAGGTTTTTTATATCAACCTTACAAGTCATCAATATTAATCTACCATCTTCATTCCTGAGAAGCTGTACCACCACTAGACAAAGGGAAGCCTTTATATTTTTATTTCTCCTGTTCCTTTTGCCCTTTTATGGTGAATAAATTCATCATATCTCTCTTGTCACTTTCTTTATACTTTTTAATGTCACCATGTATTCTGTTTTGGTAACTTTAACATGGTAATGAATGGACAAATCATGCTAAATATTTTCTCCTTAAATGAGAATTAAAGATACTCAAGCTAAGAGAATTAATACTCAAGATTTGCACATTATTGATTGAGTAAATTAATCCAACCATTGAAAACATTATTTTAAGTTAAAAGGACATTTATTCTCTTAGTTCCTCAAGTATTTGATTTAAAGCTTAGTGTGATGGAACCCCGTTGTTACAGGAAAATATTCCAGTCTTTCCACAAACATTTTTGAGCACCGGTTATGTGCTCAAACCACATAGCAAGAGATTGGATTATTTTGTAGCACCTAATCATCTTTCTTGAAGATGAAATGGAAATTCCTACTGCACAATCCTCATGGTTTTTTCAACAGTTGAGTAGGTTTGAAGACCATATTTTGTCTTGTATAGGAGAATAAGGTTCAAAATAATGGGTATCTTAACCTTAATCCAAGCAAAATGTCAGTTAGATATAATCATCTCTTGTATCTTGCCTGCTCTAGTGAACAATTTCTGTAATAAATTTCACAGTTGAAGGATTAAGCCTTAGAAATGATTCATTATGAAAAGAGTGAGTACAAAATACACTAGCCTTTTGGAGGAGGTAGGAGAAAGACTGCGCAGATGGGGCTTGTAGAGGGGGCGGTGTGGACGTTGTAACACAGATCTAGTTCTGAAAAGATGCCCTGAAAGAGAAGTTTAGTAATATACTACCATGGTGATTTGCTATCTCCTTAATAATTGCTTCCCACATTCAGCAGGCTAGCCTGCTGAAGAAATTCATTATTGCTCAATTGAAGTATTCATCTAATTTGTAAAGGAAACCCAGCAGGACCATTCTAACAGGAAGAATGAGAAGCAGGAACGATGGTCATCTATGAAAAACATTATTTGTACCAGAGTATTAAACATTGTTTATAAAATCAGAAGAAAATTTTTCCTCAAGATACCAATGACTAACCTAGAAATATTTGGAGATCCTTTCTGCATGGGAATAAATCTGCCATCCCACCTGTCATGAACCTTCATAGCCATGCATATCAATCATACCTCAAACTCATGAGCTTCTCCTTTTTCTTCTTCCAGCTGTTATTCTTAAAGTTTATCTTAACAGTCATTCAAGGGTTATGTAATACTTCACTATTTTTCTTGCTTTCATAGCCAGTTCCTCAAGAGAGATATAAATATTTAACAACTGGCTTTCTGGGGGAAAAGTGCCGAATTTAGAGAGCTTGCCAAATTCTGGGGTGTGAATATTCCCTCAGTGGCCCGATTTCAAGCTACCTACATGATGTCACTGATCATGGGGTTGGAAAGAGATGAACACAACCAGCTCTGTGAGCCAGCTCCACCACACAATTGATTGTGGGCCTGCTATTCCCATCTTTCTACACTTGTATACTTCAGTAGTGGCTTCAGAATTTTTACATAAAAGGGAATTTCAGGATCAACTCAGTTGGAAGGGGTGGCTTCATAGGAAGTACACTGCTTTTATTGGACTATACATTTATTTGAAGTGAGTTGTGGGGGGATTTGGGAGGGGTAGCAGAGGTGCCCTGCCTGTGCCCTTTGCCTACCCTTGGCATAGCCACTCACAAACATCTTCTAGTCTAGCCTTGTTCCCTGTGCTTGAACCATCTTTGCAATCTCTCCAACATTCTCCTAATCACTCTGGTTTGAAATCTTAGAATCATCCCTGATTCTTTTTCTAGCCTTGCTTCCTACATGCCACCAGTCATTAAATGCTGCCAATGCCACTTCTGTAATAATTTCCATATCTCTTTTCTCTTTGTATTCTTACTAACAACATTGATGGATTCTTTCCTATCTCTTGTATGGAAACAGCCTCATAGTTGATCACTCTACCTGTGGACTTTCCCCTGCTAATCAGAGCAACTTTAAAACTACTTCTTTTTTAAGTTTTCTAATTGTTTCACTGGTCTGTTGGAAAACCTCTAGTAACTTCCTATTGCCCACCACAAAAGCCCAAACTTGTTGAGGCTATTAAGGCTTTCCAGTTTTACTCAATCTGTTTGTTGTCTCCCAGTAATAGCCACTTTTGCGTAACTACATCCCAGTATTATGCTTTTACAAATATCACGCAATCTGATAAGTCAGGCACATCTAGGTGTGTACTAGATGATAAATGTTTCTGATGATACCTCTGCTTATGAATATACTATGCTGAAGCTTTCAGGACAACCCACCCTTTCCCGAATAAGTGGAATATTCCCCCAACATCTGCACCTTTCTTTGTGTAGGTTTCTCTAATGTCCTCCCTCCTGTACAGTTGAAATCTTCCCTATCATTTAAAGTCCAACTCAAATGCATGTAGCACTTATAGACATTAATAACAAAAGAAGAGATAATAGATCCTAAATTCAGAAGTAAAAGAGACTGTGGCATCTATATGGCTTACACCAGAAGCCAGAGATGGACTGGGGCCCAGACAGGAAAGAATGTTAAGGACCAATGAGGACCAGTGATAAGCAACTCCTAGAAAAGGTATTTTAATGCTGTTGAACCAGATGCATCATGTGCCTCCATGTCAGGGTGACAGTGAACCTTCTAAAGCTGGTTAGTACTATCAAGCAGCAACATATAATAAGGGTACCTCACCGAGGCAGGTCTAATCCCAGATTTCTTCTCAGATATCTAGTACAGCCTAATTATATACTTCATACCCATGTGTAGAACTGGTTTAAACAAAGTAAGAACTGGTGTAATATTGGAAAATCCAGAGAGTGCATTGATATAAAACAAGATTCAAAAGTGCAGTTGCAGAGAGGAACACCCTTCTCAATTTTGCACCATGAATATTCTTAGCGGTGGTTAACTCGGAAGTTTTAACAAGGATTATAAAATGGGAAACCTCTTGGCTATGGGGTTCGACTTGGTAGGAATCTTGTTTTCCCAGTGTTACCCTTCTTTTACATTTTGCTACATTTTACACAGTTGAAATAAGACTGTTTCCAGAGTTTTTCAAATACAAAAGAATAGTTTTAAAAATCACCCATAACCCCACCCTATGGTAACCAACTGACACTTAGTCTACTTCCTTCTAATTTTCTTTACATATATATTTTCTCTACATGTTATGTTATATATAAATTTATTGCAGCCTATAGCATCACAATTAATTGATATATCAAAAATTAGTAAAAATTAAGAACTATAAAAATGACACATATATTCCTAAGGTTTTTCTTTCAACTTAAAACACTTGAATTTGTATCATTCACTAAGGATTTAGTGAGTTTATATCATTCACTAATCATTTATAAGGCCAGATGTCTTCTTTGAGAACGGATCCATTGATTGGAGTTTTGGATCATCTTTCTTACAGAAACTCACTATGGAACCTCAATATTTTTCTGCTTCCATTTTGTTACAATAGGGAGATGCAGTTGTAATTAAGAATAAGAATGTTAGGTGTTTACAACGATTTTCCTATCTTTTACAGCTGTCTCACTCACCCTTAATGCAATAGCAACTTGGTTTTAGCAACCCACCTTTGTCAAGTTTTCCTAAACCATTCAACTTCATTTCAAAGGAACAAGAACACTTTCTGAACTCATGCTTCATCCTTTTTATATAATATAATTGTAGTCAAATTATGTGGTGAAAAGAACAAGAGTAAGTGGCATGCATAAGTTTATGAAGAGCCACTTACTCTTGGTCTCATGCAATATCAGTGACAGGTACTGGGCAGGCCTGCCAGAGAGAGGCCCACCAGCTGCCAGGATTCCTTGAGTCATGGCATCCTCAGGAAGTCCCACTTTGGGAACAGAAAATTTGTCTGTCCGTTAGGGGCAGATTATTGAGCAAGTTTCTTCTGTATAACCCTACAATGAACTTCATTGTTCATAAGCCCTAACCAGTTATTTTGTTTACTATCTTAAATTCAATTCCAAGGGGTAGAATCACTGGCTCAAAGGGTATAGATATTTGTGATGTTCTTAATCAGTTGGTTAATTTGTGTTCCTATAAGCAGTACTGAGAATACTGCACCCCACCCTTACAACAACTGAACATTATTCTTAATCTTTGACATTAAATACACAAAAATGTAGCGCTTTGTGTTAATTTACCTGAGTATGGTACTACATAATGTGGTGGAGCTCACCCCTCCATGCATTTCAACTTCTCCTAAGAAGCAGTTTAAAAATTGTCATATCTTATCATTTTAGTTACAAACTATATTACATTGTTACAAAGTAAGTAATGAAAAACAGCATATTGATTCTGTTAGAAAATATTGGCAAATAAATTATATTAGGCCTATGCCAACATAAAAAGGAGGAGCAAGGGAAGAAAGGAGAAAAGGAAGGAAGGAAGGGTGGAAGGAAGGAAGAAAAGTCCAATAATTCCAGTGGTATAGTATAATAAATAAGCATCTGCTGAAATTTTTTGGAAGGGAAACAATATTTTAATGTTTAGCTTTGTTCTAAAGCATAGTAGTCCGCAAGGTCAACATATGTTCCTAGCCACTATTACCCTAATGAACTCATCACAAAGTTTTAAATGTTCCAGAAAACATCCAAGGAGCAAATATAGTTATAAGTATTCCCTAGGTTAGAAAGACAAATTTGAAAGAATATTCTTTAATTTTGGGTATTTTTCTGTAAATGTATTTATTATTACATTTTTTCCAAAGTATTTTAAACAAAAAGGGGTATTGTAATCAGTTGCTTACAAGTCCCCAAGTAAGATGTACCCTATCTACAAACAGAATTAGAAATTTCCTGTCTCCATAGCAGATGACTTTAGAGGAATAGAATTTATTATTTAAATTAGCCCCTCAAAACACTGATATATATCCCTTTATATTAAAACCATATCTTAAGTGAAAATTGAGAATAGTATAATAATAATTATGGTGGCAGTATTGCTTAGCATTTGAACTATAATTATCCCCAAAACACCCAGGATGTATGATTACCTCACCTATATATGTCCTTAGAGAAAAATCTATCTTTGAGTGCAATTAGTAAAAGCTAACTGAAAACCATAAAAACTGTAGCATACTACAAATGCAGGCCAAAACACAAAAGGCAGTATTTATTAATTTAACAAATGTTTGCTGAGAGCTTATTATGGGCTGTTCCCTGATCTAGGCACTTAGGGTATCAATGAGCAAAAAAAGACAAAATCTTGCCCCCTTGAAGCTTGCATTCCAGCAGGGGAAGACATTTCATATATAATACTCACAATAAATGGGTAAATGTTTTGGTATTTTAGGTGATTAATGTTATGGAAAAAAATAGTAATTTCAGCTGGGCTTCAGAAGTGGCAGAGAGTGGAAGTCAATGGACTTGCAGTTTAACAATAGCTTAGTCTGCAGGAACCTCTTTGCAAATGGACATATGAGCAAAGCCCTGCATGATCCCTCCACCTCGTATCTCTAATCTTGCCCCTTATTCTGTCCTCACCTGCTTGGCTCCAGCTGCCATTCTGAACTCCTCACTCTTCCCCATGAGCTCCTACATAAGACCTTTGCACTAGCTGCACCCTCTGCCTAGAACTCTCTTCCCCAAGTATGCAGGGAAGAGAAGGCAGCCAAAAAAGAACCAAGTATAAGGCTTAGTTTGTTTGTGTTGTTATAAAGGAATACCTGAGGCTAGGTAATTTATTAAGAAAAGAGGTTTATTTCACTCACAGTTCTGCAGGTTGTACAAAAAGCCTGGGACCAGTATCTGCTTCTGGGGAAGGCTTCAGGCTGCTTCCACTCATGGTAGAAGGCAAAAGGGAGCCAGGGTGTGCAGAGATCAAACTGGGAGAGAGGAAGCAAGAGAGGGGCAGTAGGTGCCAGGCTCTTTTTATCTATCAGCTCTCATGGGAACTAATAGAGAACTCATTCATCTGCAAGGGAAGACATTATTCACAAGGAATCCACCCCCATGACCTAAACACATCTCACTAGGCCCCACCTCCAACACTGGGGATTAAATTTCAACACGAGTTTTGGAAAGACAAACATTGAAACTATAGAAGAGGCAATATGTGCAAAGTGTCCTGAGGTTGGTAAAACAAACTGATATAGAAGAAGAGAAATGGAACAATTGCTACTGTTTGGTGTTATCAGAAAAGATCTTGGGGCAAAATTACCTTTCAAAAATGCTTTTGAAATGTTTTCTTTTATCCCCATACATTATGAGTTCATGTTTATTTCCCATTCTGTACTCTTGGAGACACTTAAGAACATGAGTTTGGGAGTCAGACTTGGTTTTGAATTTCAACTCTGCTACTTAGTAAATGCACATCTTTGATGAGCTGAAATTCTCTGGGCCTCAGTTTCCTCATCTGTAAAATGAAGACCATAATCCTTTTTTGAAGCTTGTTTTCAGATACGTAAATAACACACAGAATCTGACAAATGACAATAATGCTGCAGGACTTTTCCTTAGTTCAGCTAAAGATGGGGTACTTTGTCCTACAGCCACGAAAATTCAGGCTCACAGGCAATTTGAATGGTTAGTAATACAGGGTTTTATTGAGTGAAAAGGAAGAAGGGGAAACAGGGACACTCCAAAGGCCTGAGTCCCTGCTACAGTGCTTCCTGCCTGGCCATTTGAATCCCAGGTTTCACACAGGAAGAGGAGGGGCCAGGCTCCTCCCTGCAGCAAATGGTGCAGACTTCCTGGGCCTCCACCCCAGTGCACATTCCCGCCAGTGCACAGGCTGGATGGAGATTCTCCGGGGACCCCCTCCCACCTGGCTATCTCAATAAGAGAACATACCAATCAGAAAATGAAATGGATCAGATAGTGAAGGACATTTTTTTAAATTGTGCCCAAATGTATACATCTTATTTTGTAGGTGAATGGGGAACGATTAAAATTTTTTATGCACAGAGAAGTGGCATATTTGTTTGTTTTACAAAGGTAACATTAGCAGCAAGTGGCGGGTAAGTGTTTAGCATTGACTGAATGAGACCAGTTAGTATAATATTGTGCTTTCATGAGATATGATAAATTCAGTTAAGCCCAGTACTGACAGAAGACGTGGATTTGATAACTGGCAATTAAAATATGTTTTCTAAATTTTGTATGTTGACATTTAGTCAATTCCCAAAATATAGACTAGAGAAATAAAAATAAATGCATTTTTTTCTTAATCACTTTTATTGATGTTTTGACTTAATTTCGTAGTTGTTTGTCTTAGGTCATCTTTGGATTTATTGTTTGAGGAATGTATGATTTGAAAACCAACTGCTAGAGCTACCAGGAATAGGAAAGTAGGGGGATGGCGGAGGGTGGGCAGGGCAGAGAAATCAACTAATAAACAGGAGTCAGAAAGTCTGGGAAAAGTAACTTAAGTAAACTTTTATTTTGTGGCCTAACAGACATTACTTTAAAAAGCATTTCTCAGCTGTTGACTTTGAAAACTACTCACATTGCCCAGCTTGGAGCTTTTAGATAACCAAGATGGATAAGAAAATTATGGTTTCCTTAGTTGCATGGCCAGGCTGACCTCCCTGCACAGCAAAGAGCAGATGGAAAGGGTGTTGAAGCGTAGACCAGCACGAATCCATCATCACTGACAGAAACGTCAGCGTGCATGCTTGCTCAGTTTTGCCTAGGTGAGGAGCACCAGGCCTTACATTTTTTTTATTATTTTTGAGTAGGTAATAAGTTCATATAGTTTAAAATTCCAAAAATACAAAAGGATACTAAGCGAAAAATGTTCCATCCATTCTGTCCCCCAAGCACCATCTTCCTTCTCTGATAGCAATTTTTTATTTATCCTTGCAGCAATATTTTATATGTCTACAAGCAAAGATACTCATTTTTCTCTTCTTAATACAAATGGTAGCATACAAAATATGCCAGTATCTTGAAATTTTATTATTATTATTGGATTTTTGTTTTGTTTTAGTTGCTGTTTTACTTAAAAATGTATTTTGGAGATTATTCCATATCAATTCTTTTTTTTTTTTTTTTTTTGAGACTGGGTCTCACTCCGTCATCTAGGCTGGAGTGCAGTGGCAGCATCTCAACTCACTGCAACCTCTGCCTCCCAGGCTCAAGCAGTTCCACCACCTCAGCCTCCTAACCAAGTAGCTGGGACCACAGGCGCGTGCCACCATGCCAGGCTAATTTGTGTGTGTGTGTGTATTTTTAGTAGAGACGGGGTTTCACCATGTTGCCCAGGCTGGTCTTGAACTCCTAAGCTCAGGCTATCCACCCCCCTACAGCCTCCCGAAGTCCTAGAATTACAGCTGGAGCCACCTCACCCAGCCCCATATCAATTCTTAAAGAGCTTCCTCGTTACTGAGTATGGCTGCTTAGTATTCATTTCATCAAAATAGCATAATTTTTATAACTAACTTCTTATTAATGGACATTTAAATTGCTTCTAATCTGTTGTTATTTCATGTAGTGAAAAACCTTGTGCATATATCAATTAGCACATTTATTTAGTTTACTTACAACATTAGTACCTGAGGTGGAATTGCAGAGTCAGTGTATACAAACTGGCATTTTTGATAAACATTGCCAAATTGTTCCTTATAGGAATTATACTAACTTGCATTCTCACAGGTAGAGTATGAGAAGTGCTCTCTTTGACTTGAGAGCCGAAAACTATATCATTAAGTCATATCCAGCTGGAATAAGTTATCTTACATCAACTCACAGGCATTCATTCTAAGGAGATTTCTGTCTATCAAAGGTAAATATGCTCACCTCCTGGATCAGTGGTTCTTTCAATCAGGGACAATTACGTCCTCCCAGAAATGTCTGGAGACATTTTTTATTGTCACAGCTGGAAGTAGGGGCACTACTGGGATCTGGGGAGCGGAGGCCAGCATTGCGCTGCTAAACATCCTACTGTGCATAGGACAATCCTCCTTTCTTCCCTTCCCCACTACAAGCTATCTGGTCCAAAATGTCGATAGTTCCAGGGTGAGAAACTCTACCCTAGATTAACATCTAGCTCCTCTTGATCATATTAAATACGTCTTACAAAGCTTAGGATTCTCCACTCTAATTTAAGATCTGTGCTGAATAAAATGACAAATCCTCTGTACTTCTATAGGACATTGGGGGGCGGGGGTTGTGTTTTGTTTCTTTTACAACACTTTAATTCTGTTTAATGCAGGAAGTGTGAGCTCCTCAGAGACATAAGTGTGTCTTATTTATATTTGTATACTGAATATCTGGCACAAAAAGGCAGTTAGCTTATTAAATAAATGAATGGATGTCAGCAGTATTTTGTAATTGTCTTTGTGTGATTTAAGGGATTATTTTATCTTTAATGAAAGACCATTCTTTTTCATCTTTACTTGATTCACCTTTCTCTTATTTCAAATGTTCACTTTTCTTTAGACTTACTTACATAGGGGCAACTTTTTCTAGCCTATAGAATAGCTATACAGGAAATGTCAATTGAATTAGAAATATTGGCCTTTTCCCTGATTTGAACATCTACAAAGCAGTTTATTACCACTGCATTAAGCCACTTAATTATATACACTCTTGCTCACTTATAGCTTCTTATTGAATTTGTCTTGTCTCCTCAAAAGGATTGATATTTCCTTAAGGGCAAAAAGCAAAACCTTTATGTACTCGCGATGCCTAACTTAATGTTTTACAGACTGTAAAGCAAGAGAGTGACGGGTTCTTTCCTTCTCTTCCTCGCTTTTTTAATCACAACTGTCAGATCAAACCTGAAGATTGTGGCCCCAGCAAAGAAGCTATTCATTCTCAAGAGCAGAGCACCCCACATTCTCTCAGGCAGCCTGGTTCTCCTTGCAAACAGCAAATGGGGAGCACAGAGCAGGTATAGACCATAAGACCCTGAGGAATTTGCCTATTCCTGGGTTTCTCTGTGTTCTCTAAGAGCAGAAGAGCCCCCAAGGCACCATCTCAGTGAACAGCTCCCTTTCCCTGTGGATTCCTCACTGTATAAATATTGCCACCAGACATTTTTCCATCCTCCAATGTGATTAAAGACCCAAGTAGGGCCAGGCGTGGTGGCTCACGCCTGTAATCCCAGCACTTTGGGAGACTGAAGCCGGTGGATCACCTGAGGTCAGGAGTTCGAGACCAGCCTGGCCAACATGGCGAAACCCCTTCTCTGTTAAAAATACAAAAAAATTAGCCAGGTGTGGTGGCACACATCTGTAATCCCAGCTGCTCAGGAGGCTGAGGCAAGAGTACTGCTTGAACTTGGTGGTGTCTGACTTGGTGGTGTCTGATGTGAGCTAAAAGCAGAAATTACCAATAAGCTCTCAGCCTATTATGGCATAGCAGGGATCTCCCACTTAGGTGTCCGCCTCTGCATTTGGAAGATGCCTTTGCCAAAAGGCAAGCAAGTGGAGTGGAAGACTTGTTTTAATGTGAACCTGGAACAGTTGGGGGTGGTAGAGGGGGGCAGTGTGGCAGCCAGAGAAAAAGGCAGCAAGATCAGTAAGGTCAAGAATGCAGCAAGGACAAGAATACTTGTTTGTAAGGCTGAGTGGCACTTTACTGGTGCTAAATATATCCTGTAGAAAATTGGGATGCAGAGCAGCTTTGATCATATCTAACACAGGATTTTAAAATGCAAATGCAAAAACATGCAAATGGAGGCTGCCTAGTTTACTTTTATTAGCGTGTTGTTTAACCCTGAGATTAGCCCTGAGATCCTGTTGCATTCTCTTTGCAATTAAAATAAGCTTGCAATTGAAGTCCTTCAAAGCTGAGTTGCAAAAGAAGAAAATATTCAGATTTGAATATTTGTCAGGCAAACCAAGTAGATGGTAAGATCCAGCTTGATTAGAGAAGGAAAGAATAACAAACCTAAATGTTTTAATCACCTCTTCTGGAGAAGAGTTCAAGTTTTTTAAAAAATATTTTTGTTGAAAACGGACCAAAAAAGTCTATTCCTCCCACCTGAATGAAAAAGAATAAAGCTTATTGTGTGTTAATTTTCAAGTTAGCTAAATGTTACTTCTTCAAGTGGTAGTCTTTAGATTGGGATTTAGGGGAACATATAGTAAACTTATTTAAATGTTGGACCATGTAAGATGGACTCTCTGTAAAATACATTTCATAATTCCTGCCTCCATAGGTAAATTATGCCAAAATACGAATTTTTAAGAATAATAACTCACGATTGTTTATTATATTCTAAGCAGCATGCTAAGTGTTTAACCTATTTCATTTGAGCTCATAACAAGTCTTTGAAGCAGGTCCATTTTATTTTGTGACATTTTCCAATGCCATAGAGAAAAGGATACTAATGTGCAGCCGTGGAAAGGCTGCTAGTGACAGGGCTCAGAAACTACCCCGACGTAGGGCGCCTTGGCATAGTGACTATTTTAAGCTGAAGGAATTTGAGAAATGGCAAGTACAGGAAGGACTCTCACGCCCCTTTCTCTCCAAAGCAGGTCATACGACCCTCATGTGAGGGGTGCCCTCCCCATACCCAGAGGGAATCCAAGTGGAGTCAAAGGAACAGGCCTTGCTAAGTTTCCAGCAGTTTACTACTCTTAGCTCCTGCCCATTTGTCTTATCACATTTTTCCATGATTTTCCACTCTTCATCAACCCTACTATAAAAATGCTCAGGTTTGGCCAGGCACAGTGGCTCATGCCTGTAATCCCAGCACTTTGGGAGGTCGAGGGAGTGGATCACGAGGTCAGGAGATGGAGACCATCCTGGCTAACATGATGAAACCCCATCTCTACTAAAAAGACAAAAACTAGCTGGGTGTTGTGGTGCATGCCTTTAATCCTAGCTACTCGGGAGACTGAGGCACGAGAATTGCTTGAACCCAGGAGGTGGAGGTTGCAGGTTGGCACCACTGTGCTCCACCCTGGTGACAGAGCAAGACTCTGTCTCAAAAAAAAAAAATGCTCAGGCTTAACCATTCTACAAGTCTTCATTTCCTTTTGAAGGCTTCTATGTCACATAAAGCTTATGTTAAATACAGTTATATGCTTTTCTTTTGATACTCTGGCGTTTGTCTGGAAATTCTTTTTCCTACTACCTTCCTAGGTTCTCAGGGCTCCAGCCAGAGAACCTAGGAAGGTAAGAGGAAAAAGAATTTTCCCTCCCCTAAAACACTGAGCGTAAACCTTCTAAAATGATCTGCAAATATGTGTGTGTACACGTACATGCATGTGATTCTAGAGGGTTCATGGTTTTCATCAACTTCTCAGAAGAGTCTATGGCTCTTAAAATGTCCAAACTGGATTAATCATTATGAAGATTTCTGTATCGGATTTCTGTATTGCCCAATTGACCTTTATTAGCTTCGGTTAGTAATAGGGTTTAAAGGAATGTTCCTATACCACTATGCTTTTTGAGTTTTCTGTTACTGTTCTTACTGTCTGATGATGCTGCTTGTCCAAGTCATTGAGTTTGCCTCCACAAAAAATAAAAATTAAAAGAGGTCTCTCTTCCCTGTGTAAAACTGGTTAACAATGTGGACTCAGGAGCCAGATGGTCTGGATTTAAATTCGGTCTGCACAACTCACTAGTGGTGTGACCTTGCCTCAGATTCCAGATCTGCAAAGCAGGGCACATAGTAAGACCATCCTTATAGAGCTGTTCTAAGGAGTAGATGAGTTCACATACAGAACAGTGTCTGCAATAGAGAAAGCAAGAAATAAGTGCTTGCTGTCCCATGATTCTAATCTGTTGTGAATTTAGAAGCCATCTGTTCAAATTGTATTTGACAAAAGGGGGAATATTTAGGGTCATCGTGCTTCTTAAACCCCTTTTTTTTTAACCTCTTGGTTTTTATCCAGTCTTGCTTACAGTGGAATTCAGTAAGATAACAGGCCATGCGCTCGTTTTTCTAGAACAATGTTGAAAAGACAAACTGGATGGGGAGAAGGGATGCAGCTTGTTTCTCATGAGCCTTTTATTAAAGTAACCATTATAATTGAAAGTCCACATGACACTGTTAGTAGCACTAAGCAAAGCAGTCTTCCTTTCTCTTCAGCCATTTTGACTTGCTTTAGCCACAGTCTGAAGGGACAAAACAATTTTTCAGCTAATGTCTTCAAAAAGTGCATTTTAGGCAGCTGTTAGTGCCCCGGTATGATGTTTTTAAAGAAAGAAGAAGGGACTGCTCTTCCCAGCCTGTGGCTGTTTCCTAGGATTGAATCACTTCTCCTTCAAACTCTGCACTGGCAGAATCTGCTGGGTTCAGAATGCAAATGATCCAGGCAAAAGTTCCCAATTAAAGGGAGCAATTAGATCAGATTGAATAGGATGCCAGATGATGTTTTTTCTTTACTCTTTTCTTGAGGATTAGTAATCTCTTACTTTTTGCCTTGCTGTTCTCTGAGGGTCTTTGCAGGAGCTATCTGATTACTAAAAACAGCTGTCAGATGGCTGGAAAGAAAGGTGCTCACTGAGGTCCCTGTAACTCTTATTTAATATCACTAAAGAGGCATGATGACATCCTGGAGCCCTTGTTCTAGCAGTGCAGTGGTTCTGAAGTGGGCTAAGGTAATTGCTGCCCACAGGATTATCACTATGACCTGCACTACATCAGCCTCCTGTCGGTCCAGGGCCACCACACCTCTCCCCATCCGTTCTGCTTAATGCTCTTCCCATCAGCGTGGCTTTGGGGGAAGTCACAAAGGGCTGAGATTCCCTGCTGCCTCTCTTATTAAGTGCAGGTGTCTGTTATGAAAATAGGCAGCATGGCATAGTAGTGGAACTCACTATTTTCAGAATGGTCAGTGACAGTGTCAGCTTTCAACAAGCTGGTTGGACTTTCCCTAAGGTGACCAGTTATGAATGTCACTGTAGTGGATGTTAATGCCATCTAGGCTGCCCCTGGATTGCAAATCACTTGCAAATAGAAGGTTCCCTCTCCTCTAGGGAGATATATATAGATATATAGATATCTATAAAAATTTTAAAATTTTTTCTTTCTTTCCATTTTCTTCTCATGGTTACAGTTAATAAGGAAGCAGCATAGGAAGGGTCCAGGCATTCGCATCCATTAGAATTCAGTTCAACAGGAATTACAGGTATTCCATCTTGAGTGGGTTACTTAGCCTCTGGGCCTCAGTTTCCCTCCCTGTAAAAGGTGGATAATGTTTACCCTGAAGTCTTGCTGTATTACCAGAACAAGGCTTTAAGTCTCTGCTCACGATTTTAAGGATAGGTGCCAAAAGAGTCTGCTGTCAAGGATACGGTTCCCATTAAACTTAAAGATAAACTCAGAGGTACCATTAGCTTCTGTGTGATTTCTGCTCAATTCAGGAAGAATTTATAATGTTACAGAGAGTCTTTTAAGAAAACCTTTATTTGCTGAGCCCTCTTCTCAACCAGGTCTTGACCTTAGGCATCTGTGTTCATCTTTTGCAGAGTCCAGTTTTAGCAAGAACCTTGCTAAGCCAGCTTAGAGAGAATTCACCATCCCTGACATCTGATCGCTTTGGTCAACCATGCTTTCAGCAAGAATTTGTTAAGTGGTTTAGCAAAAATCCCCCTTCGCTTGATGTCTCCTCTTAGTAATTTTACATCCACTGACACACCTGCCCCCCACCACAACCCTCTCCTTGGCTAAATATCTCTACTTGTTCTTGTTGTATTTGAATTTGAGCCCCATCTCTCTACTCTATTGCAATATTCTTGATACCCATCACAAAAGTCCTGAATAAAGTCTTCTTACCATTTTAACAAGTGTCAGAATAACTTTTACTTTAACACAGATAAAAGCTTAAATACCAAGGTTTCTAAAAGAGGCTAACACTTTTATGGTGCTTAATATGTGCCAAGTTGCTGTTTGTTCTAAAGGCCAAATCTATTCCTCATGACAACCCAATGAGGCTGTACTATTATTATCCTCAGTTTATAGATTAAACTGGGGCCCTGAGAGGTTGAGTTACTTGCCCAAGCACACAGAGCTAAAGCTAGGTGGTGGAACTGATATTCTAATCCAAGGAGTCTGCCCCAGAGTCCATGTTCTTAAACACAATGTCAGACTGCCCTCAGAGGCCTGCAAATTAGAGTGGGAAGTCTACTGTCAGTACTCTTAGAGCAAGGTCTTCAAACCCAGCTGCACACACAACCCCAGGTAAGTAATGTTAACAAGTGTAGCAGGACTCCTGGTCACTTGGAGAGTCCACGCCCGTCAAGGGGGACAGTTCTTCTCAGCGCCACCTAGTGGTTGCCATGTGGAAATGCAAACCTTAACAATAAATAGAGGCAAGGGAGAATTCTGGATTTTTATGAAAGATCTCTTCAATTCAAAAGAAAAAGAAGGAAAAGAAAGGGAAGGAAAAAGGGAAAGAGTTCCATCATTGTGGAAAACATTGTGGAGATTCCTCAAAGACCTAAAAACAGAACTACCATTCAACCCAGCAATTCCATTATGGTGTATATTCCAAAGGATTATAAATCGTTCTGTCGTAAAGACACATGCATGTGTATGTTCATTGCAGCACTATTCACGATAGCAAAGACATGGAATCAACCTAAATGCCCAGCAATGATAAACTGGATAAAGAAAATGTGATACGCATACACCATGGAATACTATGCAGCCATAAAAAAAGAATGAGATCATGTCTTTTGCAGAAACATGGATAGAGCTGGAGGCCATTATCCTTAGCAAACTAATGCAGCAACAGAAAATCAAATACTTCACTTTTAAGTGGGAGCTAAATGATGAGAACCCATGGACACATACAGGAGAACAACAGACACTAGGGCCTATCAGAGGGTGGAGAGTGGGAGGAGGGAGAGGATCAGAAAAAAACTAACTAATGGGTACTAGGCTTAATAACTGGGTGATGAAATAATCTGTTCAGCAAACCCCTGTTACATGAGTTTACCCATGTAACAAACCTACACATTTACCTCTGAACTTAAAAAAAAGGTTTAAAAAAAGAGAAAGAAGGAAAAAGAAAGGGAAGGGGAAGAGGAAAGGAAGGAGGAAGAGAAAACCATGCAGGACACACACTCCACACACACACACACACACACACCCAGATGCAACACACCCTTCTGTAGAAGGGACTCATTAAGTCTGGGGGCCACCTGTTTGCACCTCATTTTTAGTGCAAGTTATTAAATCTTACCATAATGGACTCTGGTTGATGATAAAGACACATACTCCCCATTCTAAACCAACAAGTAGTTATACTTTTTAAATGTTCGATTTGCCTGACCCACTGGAGCCCATAGATTTCTGCCAGTCAGTGAGGGAGGGAAGGAGTGTTGGTTCAGAACTTCGGCGAGTCTCTTCTGGGCTCAGGGAGATGCTGTGACAATTCCATTAGCAGACAGATTGGAGAGTAGTATTGATTTGTTATCTATGCATAAATACAGAGATTTCAAGTGCTAGGTCTTAGCCAAGCAATTTGGGCTTTTCTTCTTGAACTTCAATTGATGGACAATTAAACCTCTATTAGCAAAGCAAATGAAATAAAACGCACTTTCAAAGTTAAACTAAAAGTTAGCTATGTGTTGGAAATGGAAGTAAACACAGTGGACTTCTGAGAGTTTTGTGAAGTCATCTTCATCTAAGTCTTTTAACTTTCAGTTGCTGAACTTTGAGCTGTTCATGTTTTATAGTCCTCTTTGGCGAATTAACTTCCTTGGCACCAGCCTTACAACACAGGAGATATTCTGTGTTCCTGGCTTTATGAGACCTTCCAACTTTTCGTAGCAGGTGTTCAGCGTTCTTGGTTTTAGTTATCTAAACCTGGGTTACAGACACATAAAGTTTAATAAGTAAGATAACACCATTTTCTCACTTCCAAAAGCACTCTTTTACATTATGTTTTTCTTAACATTTCATGCCATGGATCAAATTTTCCTGTACGTTTGACATTTGGCAGAGCTGTAATAATGGCCATTTTGGAGGGTAACAGGATCAATTAACAACTTTTTATGCACAAGACCCTGCACTGTGTCCTCTGGAGTCAACAGAAATGAATCAATAGGCTTCTTTCTTTTCCTTCCGGGGCTTGCAGTGTTTTTGGAAAAATGAGGCATTTATATAAGTAACAATGGTGCGAAAACAGTGCATGAAAAGAACAATACAAAGGACACAGACGACCAACCAACCTGTAGGAGTTGTTTTTTTTTTTTTTTTCTTTTTTGAGAAAAGAGAGACTTCATAACTTGAAGGCTTTAGAGGACTTCAGAAAAAAAATGGGATTTAAGTGGGGCCTTGAAGAATAGGTAGGCTTTTTGAGGATGAGGAGGGCAGACAGTGGGAGGAAAAGTATAATAAACACAAATGCAAAACAGAGTGAAAGACTGGCTGGGGCAGAGCAAGTGATTTTGCAACAGAATACTGGGGTAAGGAAGAAATAGAATAGAAACCTACAGAAATGGTTTGAGCAGAAAGCAGTTAAGACCAGGGATGGGAAAATATTCAACCTATTCATATAAAGAATGAAGTTAGAAGGAAGAGCTTGTTTAGAGGAGAAAATGCATTCTATTTATTGTTAGATCTTATGTGATAGTAGATCACCTGGATTACATTGAGCTAAAGGATAAAATTATGTATTTTCAAAATCTAGGTCCAACCGGATTTGATTTTGCCTTATTTTGACACTTTGTAGCCTGAGTGAAGATCATACAGTTTGATGTATTATTCATCATGTGCAAAGAAGTGGAATCCTTGAATTTTGGAGCTGGAAAGATCCTCAGAAATCATTTAATTCATTTTGCCAGTGAGTTAATTTGGGGTTCAGAAAGATTGAGTGATTAGCCTGAAGTAACATGGCTTATTAATGATAAATATTAAAACACAGTCATCCACTAATTTCTGATCCATTGCTTTGTCCACATGACCTAGTGTCTAGTTATTCTTTCTAAAAAAATGCTTATAGGCCAGGTTCATGGGCTTCTACCTATAATCCTAGCACTTTCAGAGGTTGAGGCAGGAGGATCACTTGAGTCCAGGAGTTCAAGACTACCCTGGGCAACATGGAGAGACTCTGTCTCTACAAAAAAATTAAAAATTAGCTGAGCATGGTGGCATTCACCTGTAGTCCCAGCTACTTGGGAGGCCGAGGTGGGAAGATAGCTTGAGCCTGGGAGGTCGAGGCTGCAGTGAGCCATGACTGCATCCCTGAACTCCAGCCTAGGTGACAGAGCAAGACCCTGTCTCAAAAAAAAAAAAAGCTTATATA
The DNA here is from genome assembly GCF_000001405.40 of Homo sapiens. Classification (NCBI taxonomy): domain Eukaryota; kingdom Metazoa; phylum Chordata; class Mammalia; order Primates; family Hominidae; genus Homo; species Homo sapiens. The sequence continues at coordinate 89,251,968 of NC_000004.12, read as the reverse complement.
TAAACACACACATATAATTTTACATAATGATATGCCCTAAATCATTTCTGATTTTTAAAATTCAGCATTTTCCACCTTTGGGTACTTTCATCTCCCCTCTCTGTCCCCAACTTATCACTCTCCCTCTATTTAACACCTAATATGTCTCATTCCAAATGTTTTTAGAATTTATGTAATCATACACAGACATATCTGTGTGTGTGCCTGTTTGTATGCATACATATGCAGTGTTTTAGGTCATTGTTTTACAAAAATGAAAATGTATATGCTGTTTTCTGGACCTTGTTTTTCTCATTCAATCATACCTTGAGGAAATCTCTTCCATGTGAAAAGTTATAGCTGAATTATTTACTTTACTGGTTGCATAATACTCTGTAGTAGAATTACATCATGACTTTTCCTATCATTCTGCCTATTTATAAAGACCAGTCTGTTTTTCTTCTACAAATAGTACTTCAGGAAACATCCCCATATTCATATATGTTGGTGTTTCTATTTCTGTTGATAGAGTTGGTATCATTGAGTCAAGGAAATGTGTATTTATAGTTTTAAAAATTAAACTGCCTCCATAAGAAAGCTGTAACAATACATATTTATTTGCACCTACAATTAATAAAAACACTTCCTTTTGCTAGGTCTCCCTAGACCTTACTATTAAAAGTCTATTTTTTTTAAGATTTTGCAGATGCAACTGGTGTGAAGTCAAATTGCATTGTTACTTTATTTGCATTATTTGACTACAAATGAATTTGATCATCTTTTCATAAGCTTGATGGTTACTTAAATTTCGTATCTTGTAAACTATGTTTTTATATTTGTTATCCATTTTTTCAATGGATTATTTGATCTCCTCATAAATGTTAAAGAGCTCCTGCTATATTATAGGTATTTTTGCCTGCCCTCTAGGGTTATACACTTTTTATTTCCCCCAAAATCTTGTATTTTTTATAGCATCTTTTGTCATGCCATAAAATTCAGGTTTTGAATTTTATTTAGTCACCTATGTTTGTTTTCTCTTACAGTGTTTCTACCATCTCAGAAAAAGCCTAGCTCACCTGTCTCTAGATTACATTTATGATTCGTAGGTTTTCTTATATGATTTTATTTATTTATTTTATATTTTAACCTTTAATCCACTGCATCCATCTAGGATTTATTTTTGGAATTGGTATAATATAAACATCTACTTTTCTTTTCTTCCAGATGCATGAACAGTTTGCCAACTCCTTCTATGAAATAACTCAGCCTTTCACCACCAAATTGTAATACTTCTTTTGTCATAGATTAAGTCCCCATTTATATTTGGATCTATCCCTAGATTTCTTATTTCACATATCTGTTTATGCCTACTTCAATACTTACTTATTGATTTAATTAGAGTGGCTTTACAGGATTTTCTGACATCTGCTAAGTCAGATTACACCAATAACTTTTGAGGTAGTTAGCAAACTTAGGTAGATACATGAAAAACCTATTTGCTAGACATTAGTGGGATGCAAGCAGAAACTAATATATCAAAATAATATTTTCGTAATTATAATTTTTTTCAAAATCTTTTTCTCAAGTCTATTTTTATTTATTTATTTTTCTTCTCCCTCCCCACAAGGTCTATTTTTATATCAACAGGTATGGGAAGAAAAGTTTTTAATGTGCTCTTATAAAAACGACAGTTTGGTTTATTTTTCAATCCTTAAGCGACGTACTGTATTAATGATGCTGTTTCCTTGATTCACAGGCTGGTTCTTCAGAGGAATCATCCCTGACTGTGTCATCACTCTGAGCTCTGACTGCGCTCCCCTCCCCCACCAGTGGGACCAGTACTCAAGAGAGCTCTGGAGTGCTCCTGAAGAGAAATTCCATGGGGACTGTACCTGACCCTCTGAGATCAGCTAAAACTTCCCTGATTGCAGCTTCCGGAAAAGAAGACGATCTAGGAGAGCCACAGGCTGCCTCACCTCGGCATCGACCAGCTCTCCTGTGTAAGAATGCCAATGGCTTTTCAGGTGCCCCTGCAGAACCAGACCTCAGCCCCAGGGCAGCTGCCGAAGCCCTGATGCAGGTTTGTGAGCATGAGACCACCCAACCAGATATGTCTTCTCCTGGTGTGTTCAATGAAGTGCAGAAAGCACCTGCCACATTCAACTCTCCCGGCAATCCCCAGCTGCCAGGGAGCAGCCAGCCCGCAGCATCAGCCCCGAGTTCTGCAGCAGGAAGGGATCTTATACACACACCATTGACAATGCCCGCCAATCAGCACACCTGCCAGTCCATCCCAGGTGATCAGCCCAATGCCATCACCTCATCCATGCCTGAAGATTCCCTGATGAGATCACAGAGAACCTCAAATAGAGAGCAACCTGAGAAACCAAGTTGTCCTGTGGGAGGCGTCCTCAGTAGCAGCAAAGATCAGGTGTCCTGTGAGTTTCCTTCTCCAGAAACAATCCAGGGAACAGTGCAGACTCCAGTGACAGCAGCCAGGGTGGTCAGTCACTCATCCTCTCCTGTAGGTGGACCTGAAGGGGAAAGGCAGGGAGCCATCTGTGACTCTGAAATGAGGTCCTGTAAACCTCTAACTAGAGAATCTGGATGTTCAGAGAACAAGCAGCCCTCTGTCACTGCCTCGGGCCCCCAAGGCACAACTTCTGTGACACCTCAACCAACCCCCCTCACTAGCGAACCTTCGGCATGTCCCCCAGGTCCAGAGAAGGTGCCGCTGCCAGCACAGCGTCAGATGTCAAGGTTCAAAGAAGCCAGTACGATGACCAACCAAGCTGAAAGTGAAATCAAGGAAGTTCCCAGCAGGGCTTGGCAAGATGCGGAGGTGCAGGCAGTGGCGAGTGTCGAGAGCAGATCCGTCTCCACCAGCCCCAGTATCCTCACTGCATTTCTGAAGGAAAGCCGTGCTCCTGAGCATTTTGAACAAGAGCAGCTGCGTGTCATTTGCCACAGCAGTGGGAGCCACACACTGGAGCTCTCTGACAGCACGCTAGCCCCCCAGGAGTCCAGCCAGTGCCCTGGCATCATGCCACAGGTGCACATTCAGGCAGCTGCAGCTGAGTCTACAGCTTTCCAACGGGAAAATAAACTTGCGAGCCTACCAGGTGGGGTCCTTAAAACCTCATCAATCAATTTGGTCTCCAGTAATGCCCAGCATACGTGTAAAGAAGATGGGAGGTTAGCAGGAATGACTCCAGTGAGGGAAGAGTCAACTGCTAAAAAGCTCGCAGGTACTAATTCTAGCTCCCTGAAAGCTACCGCCATTGACCAGATTTCTATCAGTGCATGCAGTCAAGCTGAAACAAGTTATGGATTGGGGAAATTTGAAACCAGGCCATCTGAGTTTGCAGAGAAAACGACAAACGGCCACAAAACAGACCCAGATTGCAAACTATCTGACTCTTGTGGCTCTATCAGCAAAGCTGATCATTCTGGGAGCTTGGATCCCACTAATAAAGGAGATGCAAGGGAAAAGAAGCCTGCATCTCCTCAGGTAGTAAAAGAAAAAGAGTCTACTGGCACTGATACCTCGGATGCCAAAACCCTACTGCTCAATCCTAAATCCCAAGAAAGTGGAGGCACAGAATCAGCTGCTAATCCTACACCCTCCCCAATTAGGAAGAACCAGGAGAGCACCTTAGAAGAAAACAGACAGACCAAGACAGCCACCAGCCTGAGCCTGCCATCTGATCCCATGGGTGACTCCAGCCCAGGTTCTGGCAAGAAGACCCCATCTCGCTCCGTCAAAGCCAGCCCACGCAGGCCCAGCCGCGTCAGCGAGTTCCTCAAGGAGCAAAAGTTAAATGTGACAGCAGCTGCTGCTCAGGTAGGACTCACTCCAGGAGATAAGAAAAAGCAGCTTGGCGCAGACTCCAAGCTCCAGCTGAAACAGTCCAAGCGTGTCAGGGACGTCGTGTGGGATGAGCAGGGAATGACCTGGGAAGTGTATGGTGCATCCTTGGACGCAGAGTCCCTGGGAATCGCGATCCAGAACCATTTGCAAAGACAAATCAGGGAACATGAGAAATTAATCAAAACTCAAAATAGCCAGACCCGGAGATCCATTTCCTCAGATACTTCTTCAAATAAGAAGCTCAGAGGAAGGCAGCACAGTGTTTTCCAGTCCATGCTGCAGAACTTCCGACGCCCCAACTGCTGCGTCCGTCCTGCCCCGTCTTCTGTGTTAGATTGAAAGGGAGTATTTATGGGAGTTTGTGTATAAATTTACGGTATTCACATGCGTCCCTCTATGTCAAAGCTTGCTTAGTTTTTTGCTGCAAGACTAGGAAGAAAAAGCAAGTATTCACTATAGGAAATTGCTATTAAAAATTGTTAGATCCTTTGACCTGGAGCTCTATAAACAAAAATGTCATTTCAATTTGAAAGAAGGAACAAGAAAAGAGAAACAAGCTTCACTGAAGGTTTGCAACCTTAACAAATTGAAAATAATACTCACTGGGTTTTTAAAAATATGATGTTGTTCATAGAAATAGCATTATTGTATCATTATACATGTATTATTTTGTATAACTGCCTCAATTTATCACACAGTAGTAGTTCCATTAAAATCCCTGCTTCATATTGAAAGTAGCAAAAACACTATTGGCGAAAACATTGTTATAATTTCTAGTCTTATTGCAGTAAGAATGCTGTAACCACACAAATTATAAATAGGTGATAAGAACCATAATGAAAAAAATGAGAACATATTTGATTCATTCCTAGGCCAGATAACATTAAATAAAAACAGTTAAATGTGTAAAATATGAAATATGAATTAATGTTTATAAACATCTGCAGACAACTCTTTTTATAAACCTTCTTATTGCTGTTAATAAATATAAGAAAGTTATATTAGGAACATTAGCTAAGCTTTTGACTATGAAAACTGCCTACATTAAACATGGATTTATATAGACCCATTTTCCTGCACTGAAGGCAAGGCGCATCTCTGTGATTCTGACCAGACATATTCATATTTTCTTACCCTAGAGGAAGTACATGGGACTGAATTCTTGAAAAGAGCCATCAAATTAGGGATAATACTAAATTGATACTGTGCAGGTGTTCTCCAGTGATATTCTACTGAGAATGCTAAGGTTCTGGTCAGGAACTATAAATAGCAGATTACCAAACACTGCTTTTTCTGTGATGATAAAAGCCTCATAAGTAACAAAAACAATGTTTAATTTAGACTCCTGTAAACAGGATGCAATTAGTGATTTTTTTTAATTGGGTTCAGTAACTTCCAGTAACAAATGTAGTCAACACCAAATTAGAATGTGAGCTTCCTTACAATTTTTGTACATAGACTACTATCATCTAATTGCTTAAATATATATGCTGGAGTAAAAAGGTAACTTCTGCAAACTTATTGATTTTAAGAGAAATACCCATAATATCCTTCAAACCCAATGAAAGAAGAGGCCTTTACGAAAACATGGCTTGTGATTTGGGTGGATTATACTTCCTGGGACCTTGGCCCTCCCGTGTCTCCAGAAGAGACGTGTGTCCCGAGACACATGAGTATCCTCCAAGGCACTGGCCTGGATGAGCAGCATCGCCTTGAGAATTGGGGTAGTGTGGAAAGGAAGAATGAACAACGGCCCTGGGAAGCCTTCCCTTCCTGCAGATATTGTTGGGGGAGTGCTGGTCTCCATTTTGCGTTTAGAAAACCAGACTTAGATGCTGGAGGGGCACCGGTTGTCTTCTTTGAACTCATTCCCCGTAATGAGCTAGAAAAGAGTACCTAACCATAGGTATTCTCTCTAGAGACTCATGTGTCCCGTGGGTACAGTCAATTCACAGTATCTGTTCTGGCTTTTTTCACTTTAATTCTGTTCTGCACATTCTGAACATATGCAGGAAAAAAAATCATTCCTGAACTTAGCACAAGCTACACTCGACACAACCTAAATTAGTAAAAAGCCTTTGATTTATTTTGAAGCAATTTAACTGTAGACAAAGCTTGCATATATGGAACAGTATTCTCAGAGCCTGAGAGTTGTTACAGTTGTTCTATTTGGAAATTAGAAGGAATTTTTTAATAAGGCACATTTTTCAGTTTCTTACCCATTGGTGTCTATTAAGAATACTATGTAATGTTGAAATTTCCATCAAATTACCAAGCAAATTACTATTAATGATTAGAGATTTAGCCTAACACTCTCTCTTTGGGCCTTAAATACCCATTTGTAGTTGTGTTCGTGTCACTTCTGTCTCAGATGCCTCTGCCAGGACATAATCTCTCTAACTCTTGCTAGCTGGCTTCTCCCTCCCACATGGGCATACATGCTGTGTATACACAGAGTACAGCCTGTGTACACAGTAGCAGCTGTCAACAGGGCCTACTCCAGATGGGTGGCCCCAGGTAATCCTCTGCTGTAAAGTGGCTAGAACAGGCTGTCCCTGCATTAAAATAGGTGAGAATAAGGAATTTCGCCTCTGATAATAATATTTATTTTCATGACTTTAGAGTAACCACATGATTTGTAAACAGTTAAATGAAGCAGAGGCCTGAGAGAGTTGTTGGCATTTGTCTCACATTAAATACATTAAAATTGCTAGATTTGCTATTGTGGTTATGTCTATCAAAACTTTAAGAAAATTTGTTTAATGTACTGAGTTTAACTGATTTTCTTTGGTGCTGGGACCAAATTCTTCACTTCTACAACACTCAAGAGATTGTCACAAAATATTACAAAAATATTGTTTGTTTTGTGGCTCATTAAACCCTATATAACTAACAGCTTTTAAGGACATTAACAGAAATATATCTTCAGATGGATAAATAAGATAGGGACCTATTCAAGACAGCAGCATTTTTGTATTGTGATACCTCCCCTAAGTTACTCTCACAATAAAACCTTATTTGAGAATTTTCCTTCACTTCAATCTGTGACATAGCATTAGGCATTTAGTATACCTTATTTGTGAAACCTAAGGTTCATTCAACAGATGAAGCTGCAAAACAGTTTTCTTGGTAGACTCTTGGAACTTGCTCAGTTTTTTCCTTACTTTACCTGCATGACACACATTGGGTTGAAAGTTGTTTGGTTTTACCCTTCATTTCTCTTAGATATGATTTGGTTCTTTTTCATGCATTATATTTTTGAAATATATGGAGGAAATATTTTATTGAATCAAGAAATAGAAAATATTCCTTAAACCAGTAGTAAAAAGGTGAGTTAGAACTCCATGTCTGGAAGACAATTCAACATTTAAAATATTAAGATGCTATACCACTTAACAAGTGAATACTAAAATTTTTAATTTAAAGATTGATTGTTCTGTTTTTATGACCATGAGAAAAATGTGACAGCTTCAGCTGTCATATGTTTATCTTGAATGCTTTTCTAATTATGTATTTCTGGATTATTGACTTTGAATGCCACAGACCAACTACTTTACATAGAGTAAAATATTGATTAACCTTTGTGCTTTGGGTCACTGGCAAAAGTTGAACATCCTGATAAGTCAATGTTAACCAGAAACCTTTTTGTTCACGTCTGAAATTGAATATTTATAAAATGTGTTAGTATGTTTCCTGCCTTGATAAGTTCACCTATATTGAATGTAATTTGATCTTTGATAATTTTTTTTAATCTTGAGAATTCTCTGATACTGTTTTGAATACCAGTGTTCACCATGTTATAAAGTTAAACATAAAAATTGAAATAAATTGAACTAAATATGCATGTGTAACATATACCTTAGAGGTTGGATTTCAGAACCAAATTCATAATAGGAGCTTGCTGTCTTAAAGTAGAAAGCAGAAGAGGAAAATAGCATTTGTTTGTATTCTAGCATATTGAGGTTTCACTGTTCCTAGCTTATACTAATGTTTTTCCTCTCATTTCTGGGAATGCCTGTCATTCTGAGAATCCCTATATATAGCATACCAAGAACAGAGTATGATGTTACTTTAAAATGTGTTTACAGAGGATATATGCAAGTGTGCTGTTAATATAAATTGTTTGTCCTTTTCTGCATCCACTTTGTTACTGTTTTGCTGCCAAAATGTGTGAAATGTGTGTCTTCTCTTCCTCCTACATATTGTGCCAAGTGTTTAAAATTTTGTCTACTCCTAGTAACACATAATTAACCACATCCCTTGTCTACTTTTATGAATCAGTATAAAGAAAAACAATACATTAGGATAAGGTTTGCATATATGTATATGTGTTTTTATTGAAAACTGGGCACTTGTAGCCTTGTGTAGACCTCTACCTGCCTGATTTACTAATTATCTGTAATGCTGCCATGGAGATGATGCTGTTTACTCTCTCCTGCTTTGTTCTAAGTGGTGTTTGAGAAGTGAGGCCTGTGAATTTCCCTTTGTGGTAGAACAGTGAACTCAGCAGTATCTTGCATAAGTGAGCCGACTACCTTATTCCCACTCTGTTTTTGTGTACATGGTGAAATCAGAAGTCAAACATCCCCTTTAGTGTTTGTTATTTTACATATGTATCTGAGCATTTTGTTTTCTGTTAGCAATGCTTCCTGATGTTGTGCGTGGCCCTTTTTGGTTGATTCTCTCCAAATTCGGGTCAGCTGCTGCCACCTGGCAAATAACAGAGGATATGCTGAATCTCCTGTCCATCCTTGTAACGATATCCTTCTTAATGAAATTCTTCAACTGGCTGAGCAATTACAAATGTCATCTGTCCAGACACATGGGCTTAAGGATGTCTACAAAATTTTAGACATTTTTGCAAATGGGAAAAAAAATAGTCTTGTAAATACTGAAACAGATTTCCATGAACTTTATCCTACTCTTGGAAAGAAAACAATTCTCCTTGGCTGCAGAAATCAAATAAGCTGGGTTTGCAATGACCAAGGACATAAATGAAGATGGATTGAAGTGGAAAAATTCTGTCTCCCAAGTGATCAGTGACATCTGCCAGAGGTCATTACAGCTACTTTTAACTGTGAACAGTCACCAGCTAAACTACTCACTTGCCACAACAAAATAACCTCTCTCAAAATAAATCCAGTGCATCTGTATATATGTGTAGATAGCAGCAACAAACAATCCTGAAACATTATTTTTGGCTGTTAGGTAAGTAAACGTGATGATAATTATAAACAACATTCAAATAACCTTGGACCTTGGTGAAATGACTTGTGGTGGCCAGAATGGTGCAACAAGATGTTATTTGCAAGTTTTTTTAAGACACAAATATCTCAGATACTAATAATGAGAATAAAGACTGTTGAATATGAAATTAAAGCCAAGCAATAATGTGCCAAAAAGAGGCAGTTATACCAGCAAATGCATCTATTATGGGCACACCATTATATAATGATGGTTTGCTTTATGAAGACTGACTGTAACCCACAGGATAAAATAAGCAAAGGCATAGTTTCTGCTTTCTTCCTGGAAAAACTTGTTTAGAAGCTTCATAAAGAGGTACAGCACTAATGAGCATTAGTCAGGATACAGTTGGCATCTATGTTTTTATGTGAGCCCAGAGGGAAGAGGAGCCACTCAAAGTCTTGCTGGCTTAAAACTCAAGACAGCTGCAACCAGAAGTTTTGTTGAAATGGAGACTTTAAACTTATGGTAATTACTCTTTCTGGACACTAGCATGTAGAAAGCAATTCAGTTAACTCTGCCCAGAGGATTACCAGCTTTAGCTGTGAAAAAATGGGCTCCCGGATGTAAAATCACTAAAACATGAGATCTTGTATCCAAAGAGGCTTCAAATGATGCCTTACAGAAAACGATGCTCCAGATGGGCACTTCTAAATGCTAACTCTTCATCAAGTATCTTTCTGGATTCAAGCTCAAAATTAATTGGCTGCAAAATAGTAGGAATAAAAATCACATATTTTACACTTTAGAAAAGGATATTGATGATCAACCTGCATGGTGATAATTATGATGAGATACCCCAGTGATTTAATGATGTTAGAAAGAATTAAATGGGAGAGAATTGCTAACAGCTTTCTTGATCTCTTAACTATGGAGATGTCATTCATTTATTTCTGGGGTGAAAATTATAGCTTGCTTTTTGACATTGCTGCTAGTATTGTTCTTTGTTGCTTTAAAAATTGTCTCTCTTTAGAAAAACTCTTGAGCAGTTAAACAGTTTTTTTTCTGATTCATATCATTGCTTTTAATAACATGTAAAGGCTGTGTGTAGAGCAAACTATATAAAATGAGTAGAAAGGGCTTACTCATGTTAATTGGCATCCTTGATGATTTTAGTTGAGATTCCTTAACATTTATTTTAGATCACATCTTTACGTAACTTATTTTTCCTAATGTTTTCCATCGTGTCTTAAAATGATGCTGGTATATCAGGAGATTGCAGTATTATAGTCATACTCCCCAATCCCTAGAGGAGAGGAAAGACTAATTCTTGTTTTAAGGGCCCCTGGAGATACCTTTTATTAAGGTTGAAAAAGGTCAACACAGCCTGAAAATAAGAAAAATATATACTAGCAATTACTAATTTTCTAAATGTGTGTATCTCTGCTGTACTAATGTGTGAACAATATGTCGTGCATAATACTGTAGCTGGTCGTGGTATGTCAATACATTCTGTGAGTGTGTACAGTCTGAGTGATCAGTTTTCTATTTTTATGTGTAAAAAAAATAACTTGTCGTATCCCATTTAAAGGCCAATTTCTGTATTCAGGCAGGCATATGTACATACATGAATAAAGCCAACAAAAGTGTGCACATGTATTCAGTAACAGAATTTGTCCTTTTATTTTTGAAGGTCAGAAAGGGCTGTTTGATTTGTGTTTTTTTTTTATCATCTCCTTGAGTAGGTAACATAATTATCACAAAGGCTGAATATAGTAATCAGTACATTGGCATATTATTAAATATGCCAGGGCTAAGTAACCATGCCATTAGTCACAGGTAAGGTCAGTTCTTTGACCACTGGGATAATTTACATTCCTCACACATCCTCTCCGTGTTAAGTGTGTGACTAGGATGTACATACTATGGGTGTGATTGTGTACATACCTTGTATGAATTATCTAAATCCTCAAAGCAGTTGCAGGAAAGAAGGAAGATGAAACAGTTGTTCAAAAGCCTCAAAAGGGCTAATCAATATATATTTTTCATTTTCTACACATAAAAATGTAAATAGCTTATCCACATATATAGGCACACATAATACATTTTATTTATACTAGTATATTCAGATAAATCACAAATTAAAACCACTAATTGAAAGTTGCATATTTCCATGACTGCTCTGTTTTACAAATATTATTATTGAATGAGATGCCCCCCCAATTAATGGTGTTACTCCCTGGTAGCAGATTTTGTGCTTAGAAAACTCCAGCAACTGAAGCACAGACTGGTAACTGAGTAGCTACAGGGAATTAATGCTTCTCTTTAAGCACCTAATTTCATATCTGGAAATGGCAAACAGGGATGAAAATCGATTATGTTTTGGAGACTCCTTTTGGACATGTATCAGTGTGTTGATTTGCACAAACCAATAAAAGCCCTACATTTTTTGGAAATGGATCCCTAGATTTCAAGCATGTATAATCACTCAAAGTGGATATGATCACAGGCATTCTTCTCTTGAGCTCAGCAAAACTATGCCTACCAACACCGAAGAGAAGTCAAAGATTTAAATGAAAAAAAATTGCAGATGATGTTGGTGAGATAATAGGATATGAGCAATGAACCCTTGGGTGGGGTTCCAGGGCACTTAAATTGCCTCGTGTCTTGAGTTCCTTAAGATGGACTCAAACAAAAAATTAGTATTATCAATAACAGGTAATACTGTGTGGATTCTAACAACATTAGAATCATTAGCTGGCAAGTGTCAACTCTGAACAAGATTTGTCAGCTTATCATAATTCCAACCAGTTAATTGATATTGTTCGAATTTATCTCATTTTTTCTCAAAGGAAGTGCTCTATTAGGGATCAAAAAGTCTCACCTGGTTCTTAAAACCTAACACAATTTGACCTTGAATCCTCGACACTAAAAATTACGTTGGTTGGGTATCAGATTGAAAATATGCATGGAGGCTGGGCGTGGTGGCTCACACCTGCAATCCCAGCACTTTGGGAGGCCAAGGCAGGCAGATCACCTGAGGTCAGGAGTTCAAGACCAGCCTGGCCAACATGGCAAAACCCCGTCTCTACTAAAAATACAAAAACTAGCCGGGCATGGTGGTGTGTGCCTGTAATCCCAGCTACTCGGGAGGCTGAGGTGGGAGAATCACTTGAACCTGGGAAGCAGAGGTTGCAGTGAGCCAAGTTCGCGCCATTGCACTCCAGCCTGGGAGACAGGGCAAGGCTCTGTCTCAAAAAAAAGAAAATATAAATGGAAATACCAGAATCACCCCTTGATAGAGAATTCCATTTGGCAAAGTACAAACAACCACTTCTCAGTAGAAAGTTAAGAATAACATTTAAAAACATATTCATGTTTTAGAGAACGAATGTGCCATCGTTGTATATTAAATAAAAATAAAAGATTAACCAGCTATAAGAACACTACAATTACAACTAGAGTGGCAGTGTTTTTTAACTAATAAAAGTATACATGTTTATAAGTGCAGCATACCTGAAATCTTGATGTTTGTCAATACTTATGGTTGCTTCAAAGATAAATTTATGTGATTATTTTTGAAAGATGTGTATTAATTTGAATAATACCCAGAAAAATTATAACTTAAAAATTGCAGTTTTCAATATGAGAATCATTTATGTGTGTAAATACTCAACTAAGAAAGATCAAAAGTGTGGTATAATATTACAAGAAAAAATATTCAAAATGGAAAGTCCATTTATGAATGTATTAATATTAAAATCCAAAGTTATGTTTTTTTATAATGTCTACATTATAATGTTTACAAAGGCCATAAAATCATTTCAGAAAGTTCTCATCCTCCAGATATTGACCAATAAAACTTCATTTCCTAGAAAAAAGAAGAAATGTTATAATTTATACAAAGATGAAGTAAGATTTTGGAATTACGTATACTTACACCTTCATTTTGGATTTGATTTTTGAATGGATGCTTAAAATTCTGATATTCAACTAATGACTTAGTTTTACCATCAAAAAATTTAGATTATGATTTTTTTGCATCTCACTTTTCATAATAAATGTAATATAGATACAATTTATTCTGTTTTTTGTTGATGTTATTATTGTTTCCACTGCTATTGAAATCGTTCTTTTAACCATGAATGTGCAGAATCAGTTGATTTTCCATGTGACAGCTTCTGCTAGGAATCTGCAGTGGAACTGGAAGTATTTGCAATGAAAGAACTTTTTTCTTTAATTAAAATAGAATTCCCATAGAATCAACAATTCCTCCTGGTCATCAAACGCGAGGTTTTTCCTGTACTTGGTAGAGCAGAGTGTGTGTGTGTTTGTGCGTTGTGTGTGTGTTGTTTGGTGAGAATGATGAGAGCTGAGCATTGTGAAAATACAGGCGGGGGTGGGGTAACAGAGCTGGGTAGGGGTCCAGGGCGCTTAGATTGCCTTATTGTCCAGGCTTAGATGCCTCTTACCCAGAGCCATCAGGTGTACCCTATATAGCTCCAGCCTTTCTGCCTACTCCTGAGAAGATAAACTGGGATCCTGCAGTCTGGATTCCTAGAAGGAGATGGAAAGCCCAGCCATATCCCCAGTTTGACTTGACCAGTAGTAAAACTAGCACTACAGTTTGATCCCTTTTTACCTCCTTGAATATCTTCAATTCATCAAGGATCTGTAAAGAAGGAGAGGTACAAGATATATGAAACCCAAATCTCAAAACAATGATTTAGTGAATTTCCCATGAACTTTAAACAGTGATTGCTTCAAAATTTCCAAGAGCCATACTCTCCCTCCAGCTGCTGTGTGTGTGTGTGTGTATAAATGCACACTATTTTAACCTAAAATGGTGCCCTGTGGCTGCCATTCTCTAACTCTTGCATACTTAAACATTTATTCTTGGTCAAATTAAAACCTCATGCATTTCCAAAGATATAAATGCCTTGCCTGGAGAAGTTAGATCTTGCAAGTCTCAGGAGGGCCGAGATGGTTTGTCTTATGCCTATAGCTGTTTATGTCCCACCAGTGGGTGTTTGTTTCATTAGGTGCCGTTTCCAGCCAAATGTTCTCATTCTTCACATCTTCAATGTTGAGTAGCAAACAGAAGAACATCCTTCTTAGCATAATATTGCTTCACTGGACTGATTGTGAACTCAAAATACCTCTTGTTTCTTGTGAAGGGTTTGCCTTTTGTAAACAATATAAGATCACTTTTGGTCAACCACCCTGTCTGAATTTATCTGGGCTGCTATAATAAAGTATCATAAACTGGGAGGCTTGTAAATAAATTTATTTCTTACAGTTTTGGAAGCTGGGAACCCCAAAATCAAGGCCAATTTGGTGTCTGGTGAGGGCCTACTTGCCGGCTCACGTGTGGTGCCTGTTTGCTGTGTCCTCACACAGTAAAAGGGATGAAGTGTCCCCTCCCGGGCCACTTTCAAAAGGGCACTAATCTCACTCATGAGGGCTCTGTGACCACCATCTAATCACCACCCAAAGCCCCCACTTTCTAACACCATCGCCTTAGGAGTTCAGACTTCAACATGAGTTTTGGAGGGATACAGACATTTAGACCATGGCATACACATTCTTAATGAACTTCTGAATGCCACCATTATTAAATTTTCTTCAACACCATTCTACACAACCACTGAGCTAATTGACAGAGTTCTAAAATGTTTAGACCCTTGTAACTACCTTAGCAATGTTCTGAAGCTGGTTTTTCTAAATATATCACAGAGGTCTAACATAGTTGAAATTCAAATTGTCTGGATGGAAGCTGAAAGTGCTTGCAGAGATTTCTGGTGGGAGTACTGGCATCTCAAGAATGGTATTTCCCTACACCTTTTTTAGTCCCGCTTGACGTCTCTCAATCAAACTGCAAAAGAGCCTTGACCTGCCATTAAAAATAATAATAAGCAGAATGTCATTGCCAAAGATTATTATAGGTGTTTAAAAGCAAGATAAGACTTCTTAAAGGGCTCCAAAGCATTTGCTTGTTATCTATGTTTTTTTAGCCCAAAGCCAAAACAAAAAATAATGCCTTTGTGCCAGACGTTTTGCTGGGCACTTCCATCTATGTCTCAACCTTAGGAGGTATAATGTATACATGCACAGTTTTACAATTTGTCAATGGCACAGATACTTGAGACATATAAATTGGATGATCACAGAGATATTGTGGTAAATATCTGGGCTTGGAATCAAAGGACCCTGGGTTCAAATCTCAGCTTCGAATCAAAGAAGCTAAATTCTTTGGCTGAGTAAACCAAAACACCTCCCACCAGACCCCACCTCCAAATTTCAACATGAAATTTGGAGAGGATAAATATCCAAATTATTTCAGTGCATTCATCTGGAAACTGAGAATAACAATGCTCACTTTGCAAATTTGTGGGAATTAAATGGCATAGGCAAAATATTGTTCTTTTCTTCTCTTACTCCTCTGAGTTTTGCTTTCTTCCACTTGAACTTTACCACTCAATTGTTAAAAGCCTTGAATTTTGCCATTGTATTCTATTTAATAAACTTTTGATAAATCTGGATAAATAATAAGAATTTTGTTTTGTTTTGTTTTGTTTTGTTTTCCCTCAGTGTCTCGCTCTGTCGCCCACGCTGGAGTGTGCAGTGGTGCGATCTCAGCTCACTGCAAGCTCCTTCTCCCGGATTCACGCCATTCTCCTGCCTCAGCCTCCTGAGTAGCTGGGACTACAGGCACCCACCACCACGTCCGGCTAATTTTTTGTATTTTTGGTAGAGATGGTGTTTCACTGTGTTAGGCAGGATGGTCTTGATCTCGTGACCTCATGATCCACCCACCTCAGCCTCCCAAAGTGCTGAGATTACAGGCATGAGCCACCACGCCTGGCCTAAGAATGGTTTTAATGTATGACTGTGAGATACATAAAATGTGACTTTAAAAGTATTTTTATTTTTTGTTTAAAGCATGAGGGAAACACATTCCAACATGTAAAATTGTCAGACCTTTAAGAATTAAGAAAAGATTTTAATTAAGTTTAACTGGGTCACATTAAATGCGATTTCTAAAATATAAAGTTAAGTACTAATAAAATATTACTAATTCAAAAAGGGAGGAAAGGGGAAACAAAATTGGTAAATTTACCTACATTAACACTTAAAACTTTGATAAAAAGTCTTCATAGACTAATTGAAAGAGAAGTCATGTACTGGAATCTAGCAAATAGAACACCTACAAATTAGTTTTAAAAGATGAGCAATAAAATAGATTACTCAAACTATATAAGCAAGCATCATAAACATATGAAAATATGCTAAACTTCACTAACAAATCTCTAATCCCCACAGTTTAATGTTGCTGGGGGAAACCTTCCAGATTCATGGGAGTTGAATTAAGAGCTTTATGTACAAGAGTTAGAAGAGGGTCCTTCGCCTGTATTAAGAGATCTTCCAGTTGGAGATACCTGGTGATGGGGGAGTGCGTGTATTAAGTCTGTTTTCATACTGCTATAAAGAACTACCCGAGACTGAGTAACTTGTAAAGAAAAAGGCTTAATTGATTAACAGTTCAGCATGGCTGGGGAGGGCTCAGGAAACTTACAATCATGGCAGAAGCCAAAGGGGAAGCAAGGCACCTTCTTCACAAGGCAGCAGGAAGGAGAATTGCTGAGCGAAGGGGGAAGAGCCCCTCATAAAACCATTAGATCTTGTGACAACTCACTCATTATCACAAGAACAGCATGGGGAAACCAACCCCATGATTCGATTACCTCCACCTGCTCTCTCCCTTGACATGGGGTTATGGAGATTACAATTCAAGATGAGATTTGGGTGGGGACACAAAGCTTAACCATCAGTGTCTGAGTGAGGCTGTAGAGGGAAGATTCTCCAAAGAGAACCTGGAAGCCCATGAGAGGAGTTCAATGTAAACACCTGCCACAGGCAGAGTGCAGCACTCAGGAAAGTGTGACCTTTCCAGACCCTCTTTCTTCCTCTTCCTCCCTGGTCTTCAACCAGATTATTTGGCAGAAATGGAATCTCTAGGGATGGAAAGAGAAAAGAATCAAAATCACAACCCTCTTCCCAATGTAGCTCTATAGGGCTTGTAAGGAGGGAACCCTGAGTTATAAACAAGAATTACAGTATTACTTACATGATTATTACATGAGACTTGGCATTTTAAATTTGAATTGAGACTATATTTGCAATTTTGAATGACCTGTGGCTGAATCAAGAAGTGTACCCAAAACTGAAATAGATGTTGTCACTAATGATGACCTTACCGTGATTATGAGATCTACTTAGCCCCTAAAGGCATCTACATTTGTGGCTCCTGATCGTCTAGAGGCCCCAAAATTACTGTAGGTTTTAGAGGTCAACAACAATATCAGACCCTCCACAGGGAGTGGAAAGAAAGAGTGCTGCAATTTTTTAAAGGCCCACTGTGGTAGGCAAAACCTGAAGATGCTCCCCAAGATTCCCAGCCTTGGTATGCACACACCTTTTCCCCATTATTCAATCACTGCTGGATGTAATACAGGTTGTAATTAGGGAGATTATCTGGGTGGGCCTGACATAATCACATGAGCCCTTTAAAAGACAGAGTATTCTCCTGCTGATTCCAGAAGAGGAAGTCAGAGAGATGCTCCAGCTGGCCTAGGAGAAAGCAAACGTCCTTGTGAACTGCCTATGGAGGCCACATTTGCAGGAATTGCAGACAACCTTTAGGAGCTGAGAGTGATCCCGGCTGATAGCTAGAAGGGAAACAGGAACGCAGTTATACAATTGCAAGAAAATCAATTCTGCCAACAACCATCTTGGAAAAGGACATCCAAGCTCAGATGAAGACTGCAGCCCTGATGGTCTCCTTGATTTCAGCCAGAGAAAACCCTAACCAGAGAATCAAGCTAGCCTGCCTGGACTACAGAAATTGAGAGATAATGAATTTATATTATATTAAGTTGTTAAGTTTGCAGTAGTTCATTGTGTGGCCACAAAACTAATACAACGCCATTCAGCTCAATTAGGGATTCAAAATTGCCAAAGATCAATTTTGTAGTAAAGGACTTGCTTATGTCCATGCTACCCAAACCAGGACACACAAACCCTTCTATCCTGAAGCATCGATTTTACTGAAAAATGTGATGGTAGTTTTAATGAGTAAATGCTGAAGTCATTTTAATATTGTAGCAAACATAAATTTATTGTACTAGATATCTTTCATTTTCTCTTCTCTATTCATTCTTCACCCTTATTCATCTTGTCCTATGCACTTGGAGGCTGACTTGCATTGGCAGATTCAACAGGCTCCCTTGCCATCCTGCTATCCATTGCATTCAGCCATTCAGAAGTGCTGGCTAGAGGCGGTGGCAGGGAAGAGAGTAAGGTTGGAGCATTTGTTTCCTGAATACTCCCACCCCTAATAGGATGCCTCATGTTGGCCATGTCAAGCTCAACAAATTCAGAACCCCTACCAGGCAGATCTCTCCATTAGGCTGGGTCCTGTCAACTCCTCCTTCCCTTTGACTTGTCAGGCCTAAGAGGGATGTGCCTGACCCCAGTTTGTCGCTAGACAGTACTGTGCTATTACTTTGTGATTGCCCTAAAACCTACCTATACCTTTATAAATAATCTGTTTATAACACTCTCCTCAGTTACCCAGTTTGAAAATGACAGCTGTCTCCTGCCAGAAGCTGACTGATAGAGGCATCAAAGGACAAATTCACAGTCTTCAAATGATAAAACAGGAGATTTTAGACCGATTTTTCTTTGGCTGGCTTCATCAATTCCCCTTTACCCTGCAGTTTTATAAGTTTACTATTCTCACCCACCTTTAGGGATAGTACTGCATAAAATTTGAAAAGCATTTCTTTGTGTAAATAGTGTAGATCATATGTATAGATGATTTTCTTTACTATATGATAAAGTGTCATTTTCAGTAAAAGAGAAGCTACTGATGTAAAATAGGTACTAACTTGTCACAGATGTCTTCATGAATAAATATTTCATGAAATTATATGCCTCAATTTCCCCATTCACAAAATAAGACAGTTAGTATTATTTGTCTCTGGTCACAACTAAATTTATATATAAATTGTATCAGTCTGTTTTCACACTGCTAATAAAGAAAGACACACCTGAAACTGGGTAATTTATAAAGGAAAGAGGATTAATGGACTCACAGTTCCACATGGCTAGGGAGGCCTCACAATCATGGCAGAAGGCAAATGAGGAGCAAAGTCATGTCTTACAAGGCAGCAGGCAAGGGAGAGAGCATGTGCGGAGGAACTTTCCTTTATAAAACCATCATAAATCATGAGACTTATTCACTATCATGAGAAAAGCACCAGAAAGACCCACCCTCATGATTCAATTACCTCTTACCGGGTCCCTCCCATGACACATGGGAATTATGGGAGCTACAATTCAAGATTTGGGTGGGGACACCGTCAAACCATATCATAGGTGATTATGCTTTGATATTTTCTCCAGACTGTTTCAATAATTAATAATAATGGCTGAGGTATATTAAGTGTTTACTACATACTAGACATTATTCTATGTTTCTTATACATAGAATGCTGGGAGGGGCTGCCGTGAAGGTCACTGACATGCCCTATGCCCTGGAGACATTTTCCCCATTGCCTTGGTGATTAACATTTGGCTCCTCGTTACTTATGCAATTTCTGCAGCCAGCTTGAATTTCTCCCGAGAAATGGGTTTTTCTTTTCTATCAGATTGTCAGCCTGCAAATTTTCCAAACTTTTATGCTCTGTCACCTCTTGAGTGCTTTGTTGCTTAAAAATTTCTTCCACCAGATACCCTAAACCATCTCTCTCAAATTCAAAGTTACACAGATCTCTAGGGCAAGTGCAAAATGCCACCAGTCTCTTTGCTAAAGCATGCAAAAGTGACCTTTACTCCAGTCCTAGTAAGTTCCTCATCTCCATTTGAGACCACCTCGGCCTGGATTTTGTTGTCCACATCACTATCAGCATTTTGGTCAAAGCCATTTAACAAGTCTCTAACAAGTTCCAGACTTTCTCACATTGTTCTATCTTCTTCTGACCCCTCCAAACTCTTCTACCCTCTACTACCCGGCACTGGGTAGTTTATAAAGGAAAGGACTCACAGTTCCACATGGCTGGGGAGGCCTCAGGAAACTTACAATTATGGCTTAAGTGAAGGGGAAGCAAGAACCTTCTTCACATGGCAGCAGGGAAGAGAAGTGCAAGCAGGGGAAATGCCAGATGCTTATAAGACCATCAGATCTCGTGAGAACTCACTATCACAAGAACAGCATGGGGAAACTGCCCCCATGATCCAATCACCTCCCTCCCTCAACAGGGGGATTATAGGTCGCTCCCTTGACATATGGGGATTACAATTTGAGATGAGATTTGGGTGGGGACACATAGTCAAATCATATCAATTATCTTATTATGCTTCACAATAACCTACAATGTAAACATTATTATTATTGTCGTGCCTGTTTTATGGATGTCGAGCCAAAATGCAGATTGGAGCATATAGTGAGTAAATGGTGGCACCAAGACTCAAACCACTCAAGCCTGGTGTCATCATCCAGGCACCTAACTAGGCACTGCATTGTTGCACACTAACATGCTGATAAAAACAAAAGTGATTATCAGGATGTTAAATACTACTTGAATAAAACCTAATGGTTTTCTCCTTGTGACCTACCTGATACATTCTCCTATTGACCGTTACAATGTTTTAGTAACTCAATGTTTCGGTAACTCAGAGAATTATTTGATGTCACTAATATAGTAACAACTTTCCCTAAATCAAAGTCAGAATATAAAAAGGGGAACAATTACTTTTAGAGAGTAAATAAGGATCACTCAAATATATTTCCTCTAAATAATATATAAAGTGGCAGAAAAGGAAAAAAAACAGACTAAGCCATCAAAATATCCACTCATTCTCTATGCAAACCTCATATTCACATTAACAAAAATTTTGTCATGACTGCATAAAACATAGGAAAACACTAAGAAATGATGTAACGATATAAAGAGAAAAGCTATAAAATTATTTGCCCTTTTCTTGGGAAAAGAAAACAACATATGGGTGTATGAAGGCATTTTATGTTCAATCTGAAGTACAGTTGTACAAATTAAAGGCTATGTATTGTCTCGTGTAGCAAATGAGATTGCAGCAAATGACATTGCTTTCTACCCTCACTAGTGTTTTAATAATTAAGTTAAATTTTTATAAACGTTATACATGCAATTCATAAAATATATGAACAAGCCTTGAGCATATTTGAAAATAATTCATAAAATTATTGGAAAGTATAAATAAATGTTTAATTTTACCACCAGGCTCCTTGATGAAAGAACTGAGACCTAATACAATTTCCTTTTTCCCTCGAAGGTGAACCGCTCATTTAAAGATACTAATCTTAGTAACATTGGCCCAAGGTAGGGCTTTAAAGTAATTATGAATTTAAAGATGATGCAATCATTTCATTTTGTGACAATTTTTTATCTATTTTCAAAGGAGGCACATTGCAACAAAACAGGAGCCAGCAACACATCTGACACAGGTGAAGAAGGAAGGCTTGATTGCGGTCATCACTTCACAATGTATATGTATATCAAAACATGTTGTGCACCCTTAAGCCATACAATTTTTATTTGTTAATTATATCTCAATAAAGCTAGGGAGAAATTTTTAAAAATAAATGTTTTTATAAAGGAAGGAAAGGAAGTCACAAACACAACGCATTAGTACTCTTTGGGAAAAGTATCAGAAACACTAAAGAAATAAGCACTGACACAGATGATTTGCTAGATAACTGGTCAATTTAGGAAAAACAAGAACAGATCATATCTCCTTCTGAAAACTTTCCAGGGCATAATAACCAGCTCTGCCTATATTTGGGAGAATTTTTCTACATTAGGTCAAATGTCAACCTGAATCTGAATCCTAGAACCCAAAATGGATTCAAACAAAATGAAATCAGAAGAACCACTCTTTTACTCAACAGACATATATTACGCACCTGCACCCAACATGTATTAGAAATTTGAGTGACCCTCAGCCTTACCCTGCAGAGGCTCCCAGATACATAAACCACTAAACACAGCAATATGAGAAGGGCCATGTTAGAGCCATTATCAGTTACTTTAGGAGCCCAGAAGTTGAGCACTGGCCCTGCCTATAAAGTTCAATCATGAAGATAAAGAATGGAAATAAAAGAACACCGTACACACTGTCTGTGTGTATATTTGCACTCCTGTATATTTATAGTTTCTTGTATTATAATGTCATAAGTTATTTGTCACTGGACACATAATACCCACCACATAGGTAAATTTTTACTAATGTAATTTTTTTAGGTCACATAATTGATTAGATGTGATACTTTTAAGCGGACTGTAACATGAAAAATCACTGTGTGAATGAACACTGAAAAGAAAAACTTTTATGTATTATATTATATATATATATACAATATGAGGAGATGATACAGTATGATATATGACATGGAGAGATGAACCTTCATTATTCAGAACCCCTAAATCATGTCTGGAACCAGTAGTTGAGGAAGATACATCTGATTCAAAATAATTTTTAAGAGTGCTTTTTTGTTCCTACAAAACATATAAGGCCCACTGTTTCCTTTTGTTTTTACCTGTTGTGTTTGTGATCTATGGAACATATATATAACAAAGAATGCCAAATATCAGTTCAGAAAAAAAAATGGCCTACCAGTGTTCAATGTTTCCTAATACAAAAACAATAAATCACATTATATTCTTCAGTGAAAAAGTCATGTGAATCAACACAAAATTGGTCTAAAACAGGAATCTACTTCTCACGTGCTCACCTTGGGTGCCCTCTAACTTGGTTTGCCTTGAAGTGCTCAGTATCCTCACACCCCCATACTAGGAACTACAGTGTAGAAGGAGTGTTCTCACATAGCCATCAGGAATTTGGTATGTCAGTATTTGAGGCAGATGCAATTTAGTGATTGCACTCTTGTGACAGCAGATACCAATTCATTAGCAGCCCTGTTCAGACAACAGGGCTCCTCACTGTCCACGTCTTGCCTGGTTATTGATGAACATTAAAGAAGCAACAGGAATGAATAAGAAATTATGCCATTGGTCTAAATCTATCTAATGCATCCTTTCAAGTTCTTGAGAGACAACACATTTATTTTTCCAACCTTGTCCTACATGGTCAAAAGTTGTACAGTTCTGTTCATAATGCTTATCTGTGTTTAGTGCATGTCTTAGTCATGGAAACAGGCAAGGTTATGGTGGCCTGGGTTTTCTTTTTTAGTCTCTACTATACTCTTGGGATATTGAAGAGTCTTCAAAACCAAAATTATCCCAGTTTAATTTAAAAGAGCCAGAGAGAAATCCTCTTTTCACAATTTGACTATTCAACCTATAGATTTCAGAGGGTTTCTATCCCCCTAACATGAATAGGAGTAATATTAAAATCTTCTAAGCCCACACGCTGCCTATAATATAAGCTGACACCTTTAAAGTGTTAGCGTTTGTAGCCATCAACACCACTCCTTGATGTCGCCTGCACCTGGCACACCATTCCTATACGTCCCTCCAGTAGAGACAGGCAGAAACTACATCCCATTTATGAACTAGCACTAGAAATTGTATAGCATCCTTTCTGAGATACTCCATTAGTCAAGGCAGTTACAAGCCCTGCCTAGATTCAAGGGGAGAAAACAAACCCCACTGAGAAGTGTGTCAATCGCCTTGTAAGGAAATCATGTGAGTTTGATAACCATATTGGTGCCGCCATCTTTAGAACATAAAATCTGTGCTCTGTCGTACCCTTCCTCCAAAGGTAAGGCGGGCCCAGTTCTTAGACATATAATGACCTTTCTCTCCTGGTTCAGTTGGAACCAAAGACTTACTTTACTCAGCTGTAGTATCAGTAATTAATAACTTTACATCATTCGTGAAAGTTCAGCTAGAAATGAATAATATTTAAATTAAGAATGCACTACGTAAGACTTTGTAATAAACTGTCTAATTGGAAGTTTATTGCGAGGTTAAGTCTCTTAAACTAACTTCCCTAATGAAACGGAAAAATTTTTTTAATAATTTGGCAAAAATAAATATTGAATCCTAAATTTAAATAAGAGAAGGAAACAGTAATTAATTGAAATCATTTATACCACATCGTTATCTAAAACCTGGCTGTTGGTAAGAATGGCATAACATTCCATTTTAATTTTTAAATATAAAGTTAATTAACAGATTTCTGGACTATGGACTTTAATAAATTATCAGTAATCACTAACAAAATAATTATTTGAATAATAAATGCCTTCTAGGTGTTTGAAGTTCCTCAAGCTGGTGGAGGGGAAAAGGAGTTTCCTCATATATTTCTTAAATCTCTTAGTTTTCCACCTTCAAACGTCTGTATTTTTTCTCTTTTGCAAGAAACTTTCAATTAAGCAACCATAACTTCAAGCCTTTGTCTAAATCATATTAAATTCTGAACAGACACGTTCCAACATGATCGTTGATCAAACTTGAGAGCAGGGAAGCAAAAAGAAAATCTACGTAGATACATCTTCATTTCTGTACCCTGTATGAAAAAAAAATGTAGTTACAATATCGCCAAGGTCTTCTCTGGAATTTGAGACCTCAGTAAAAGCCTTTTCCGTATCCATGGATTAAAGAAAAAGAGAGTGAACTGCCCTACCCTAAGCGTTGGAACCTGGAGTTAGCCTTGCCAGGGCAGTGAAACCCAAGGAATGAAGCCACGGGTTGCATGAGAAAAACCAAGCTGTGACTGCCCTCTGCTGGAAAGGTCTGGATGACCTGTCTCTGAAACTCTTGGTAGGCCCTAGAGGTAGTTCCCCTCCACTCTCCCTCCTGCCAACTGTGAACAAAAGTTCTCTGAAAAGGAATTTGAAGGAAAGAGACTTTATTCCAGTGAACAGTTTGCTAACTGGTGAGACACAGCCTTAGGTGTAAAACAAAGGTGGTTCCAGAGAACAAAGAAAGAGTGTGGGTTTTATAGCAAAAGCTTCAGCCCAGCTTCCCGAGCAGGTCCTTTTATGTAAACAAAGGATTCAAACTTCCTTATTGCTGATTGGCTGACACAGCTGAGTTCTGATTGATTGATAGAGCCAAGCTGTGACTGGTTGGTTCAGGTGAGCTCTGAAAGTCCCAAAGTTAAAAAAGTGTGGCTTTTTGTGCATCTCAGAGTATGTGTGTGAACTTTAGTCAGCACATAGCTCCTTGGTCTATTTTAAATAGCCACTTGGGATCCATTCTGAAGGACTGACTCTTTCAAGTTCACATTTGTTCACACAACTAAGCCCATAAATGCCCCATCAGCTAGTTGCTACAACCTCCACCCTGTCTGCTCCAGCCTGCCACCATGCTAGATCTTTCTTCTCCTTAGGTCTGTACTGTGACTTCTTAATTAGTAGTAAGTAAGCCGTGGGTCTTTGCTTTCCCCATTAATTGCCAAGGTGACATTCTGCCACAAGCCTGAGACATCTGTCTCTTCACCAATTCCACCCAAAAAAACTGAAGTATTTTATCTTTAGAGATGAGATGGGCAAAATAGGCTACAAGCATAGCTGACTGCTGTACAATCCACTCATGCCTCTGAGTTATCTTCTTTAACACACAGCTATTCTAGAATGGAATAGAAAGGTCTATGCCCTACAAGAGACCCATGCGTGAATCGTAATGTGTATGCTAACTAAAATAACATATTTCTAAAGAACTTAATTATAATTGCATAATTGTAATTACTTTTGTCCTAGATTAACATATTTGAAAAAATAAATTATTTACATAATTCAAAAACCTTGAGCTCTTACCCGTCTGTGGATTTGAATGACCATACATCATGATTTAAGCCAAAATTTATCTGATTTATCACGCTTATCTGTACAATTATCAGCTACCTCCTTAATTATATTTCACATAGCCACCTCTGACAATCCCTGGGGAGTTACACAAATGCCCACAAAACAGTAAAATTGTATTCTTCCCCTCCTCGCTTTTAGATGGTTTCTGCTGTTTGCAAATCCATCATAAATACCATTACCACAGCTCCAGGTACTTTCTGGGGATTGCCTGCCAATCCCATGAAGTTGTCTCCCTGACTTTCCAATGCCTAAAGACCCTTGAGCTAGTGAACCCTATAGTTTTACTGCACTTAAGCTAAACTCAATTCAGCACATAAGGAAAAATAATGGTGTCTCTAGGTAAGGATCAGAGAAAGCCCATAAACCTTGGTGAAACTGAGAGCTAAACCTCCTCTTAACCTCTCTATCTTATAGTCTCTGCTGCCCCAAACTCATCCTGCCTTTATTATCTGGAGAGCAAAAGGAGAAAAAATCTTTCCCCCTCCAAATTCTGTTCTCCCATGCACATTACCTATTAATTCACTGATAGATCAGCTCTCTTGGTAAACCAGTTTATTCAACGGAGTAGATGGAGGGAAAGGTAATAAAAGAAAGTCTTGGTGGTGATCAAATTTGAGAACCCTGAGCTATGTTGTGTTTAAGCCCCTCTACAGGACTTTTTTTTCTTGATGATAAAACTTCTGACATCAATTTGCTCGCCAGGAATGTGAAAGTTTTTCTTATCTAACTTTCCTGGAGTACTTTCTCCCTATCACCATTCCTACCACTACCACTTCCAACCAATCCAATACTTATTCTCAATTTTTCCTCCCTTGCTCTGTCTAATAAGCATTATATATCTTATCTATGAAGTACAGTCTGTCTCTAGGTAGCTCTATACTGCAGGGATTTTTTTTTTCAGCTCGCGAGACTAATTTTTGTGTTTTATTGTCTAAACTCTTTTTATTTTTCCTACTCTCAGATGTCACCAAACAGCAATTTAAGAGTTTGATGTTGATAAGCCTCTTTATATATTAAAAAGATAATAATATTTATAACTTATTGAGTGCTTTAAAGATATCATCTTATATTATGTCATACTGTGATCAATACATTCCTATCCTCATTTAGAGAATTTTTTTAACAGTGATTTATTCTTTAAAAAAAAATCAATAAGATGACAGAGCAAGGACTCAAAACCAAATCTGTTTGTTTTCAAGTCCATACCCCTACATTTCTGCTCAGTAAAAGTTGAGAATAAGGAAGGAAACAAAAAGAGGCCTCTGCAACCAAAATAAATGTCACAAAGTCCATGTGCTAAAGCTCATTAACTTATCCCAGAGGGAATCCCTCAGACTCATAATCAGAGCCTATTCAGTCTAATCCTTGTCACAATTCTAGATTACCTGTTTTCTACATCTGTGTCAGATAGGAAACAGCATGTTGAAAGCACTGAAAATAACAAGAGATGTAATTAACATATTTGGCGTAAGGAAGAGACATGAAAGCTACAAAAATTAGTCTCACAAAGTGAAAAAAAAATCTGCAGGATAGACCTACCTAGAGGCAAATACCTCTACACTCTAGTATCAAATGAGTGCAAGAGTTGATTTTCATAAATCCTAAGAACATCTTTTTGTTGTTCTTATACCCCACTTACGATAACTC